>NC_000019.10:43604510-43907540 GCF_000001405.40 Homo sapiens | reverse complement strand
GTATCATTTGCAGTAAAAAGTTTGAATTTTGATATACTCCTATTTATTGTTTTGCTTATGCTTTTGGTGTATCCAAAATATCATTGCCTATTCCAAGCTCATGAAGATTTGCCCCTGTGTTGTCTTTGAAGAGTTTTATAGTGTTAGCTCCTATAGGATTTAGGTCAGTGATGTGAGTTAATTTTTGTGTATGGTATAAAGTAGAATTCCAACTTCATTCTTTCTTTGCAGACAGATATCCAGTTGTCTTACCATAATTTGTTGAGAAGACTATTCTTTCCCCTACTAAATGGCCGTAGCACCCTTATTGAAAATGAATCGACAGTGTCAAGACTTACTTCTGGACTTTTAAATCTATTCCACTCATCTCTATGTCTACCCTTGTGCCAGTACCACACTGTAGTTTTCCAGTAACTTTTGAAATTGGGAAATGCGAGTCCTCCAACTTTGTTCTTCCTTTCTAAAGTTGTTTTGGTTATTTTGGGTCCCTTGTGTCTCCATATGAATTTAGGATCAGCTGGTCAATTTCTAGAGGCAGTGGGGTTGGGAGGGGGGAGCCAGCTAGGATATTGTTAAGGACTGCATTGAATCCATAGGTCAATTTGGGAGGTATTGGCATCTTAACAATATTAACTTTTCTTATCCATGAACCACAGATGTCTTTCCTTTTATTTAGGTCGTCTTTAATTTCTTTCAATGATGTTTTATAATTTTCAGTGTACAAACTTTCCTCTTCATTTGTTAACTTTATTCCTTAAGTATTTTCTTCAAATTCTGTTGTAAATGGAATTGTTTTCCTACTTTCATTTTTTGATTATTCATTGCTAGTGTGTAAGAACACAATTTTTTTGCATATTGATCTTCCTGTAACTTTGCTGAACTCATTTACTAGTCTTATTAGTTTTTTGTGATTTCCTTAGGACTTTATGTATATAAAATCATATCTGCAAATATAGCTTTACTTCTTCATTGTACTTCTTCATTTCCATATGGATGTCTCTTATTTCATTTATTTGCCTAGTTGCCCTGGCTAGAACCTCCAGCATGTATCAAATAGAAGTGGTGAGAGTTGGCTGGGCGTGGTGGCTCATGCCTGTAATTCCAGCACTTTGAGAGACTGAGGCAGGGAGATCACTTGAGGTCAGGAGTTCAAGACCAGCCTGGGCAACATGGTGAAACCCCATCTCTACTAAAAATACAAAAATTAGACGGGCGTGGTGGTAGGTGCCTTTAATTCCAGCTACTAGGAGGCTGAGGCAGGGGAATCCCTTGAACACGGAAGGCGGAGGTTGCCGTGAGCTGAGATCGCGCCACTGTACTCCAGCCTGGGCAACAGGGCAAGACTCCTGTCTCAAAAAAAAAAAAAAAAAAAAAAAGTGGTGAGAGTGCACATCTTTGTCTTGTCCCTGATCTTAGAAAGTACTCTGTCTTTCACCATTAAGTATGATATTGGCTGTGGGTGTTTTATAGGTGGTATGTTGAAGAAGTTCCCTTCCATTTCTAATTTGTTGAATGTGTTTTTTATCATGAACAGGTGTGCACATTTCATGGATTTCTCTCTTTTTTTTGTTTCCTTCTGCCTACTTTGGGTTTCAGATGTTCTTTTTTTCTTGTTTCTTAAGGTAAAAGCTTAGGTCACTATATTAGTCTGTTCTCACACTGCTATAAAGAAATCCCTAAGACTGAGTAATTTATAAAGAAAAGAGGTTTAGTTGCTCACAGTGCTGCAGGCTGTACAGGAAACACAGTGGCTTCTGCTTCTGGGGAGGTCTCAAGGAGCTTTTACTTATGGCACAAATCACATGGCTGGAGCAGGAGGAAGAGAGCAAGGGAGGAGGTGCCATGTACTTTCGAACAACCAGATCTCCTGAGAATTCACTCACTATACAGTACCAAAGGCGGATAGTGCTAAACCATTCATGAGAACTCCACACCCACGATCTATTCACCTCCCACCAGGCCCTACCGTCAACACTGGGGATTACAATTTGACATGAGATTTAGTGGGGACACAGATCCAAACCATATCAGTCACTGATGGACGAATACAGTGTTTATCTTAAGAAACAAGAGAAAAAGAAGAGCATCTGAAACCCAAACCATATCAGTCACTGAGACACTCTTCTCTTTTAATATAGGCATTTAATGCTATAAATTTTCCTTGAAGTCTTATTTTATCTACATCCTATATGTTTTGATATGTTGTTTTTATTTTTTATTTTATTTTATTTGACCTATAGACTCTGAAATGCTGGCCGGGTGTGGTGACTCACACCTGTAATCCCAGCACTCTGGGAGGCCCAGAAGGGCAGGTCACTAGGGAGTTGGAGACTAGCCTAGCTAACATGGCGAAACCCTGTCTCTACTAAAAATACAAAAATTAGCCTGGTGTACAGCTTACACCTGTAGTCCCAGCTACTTGGGAAGCTGAGGCAGGAAAATCGCTTGAACTCAGGAGGTGGAGGTTGCAGTGAGCTAAGACTGTGCCACTACACTCCAGCCTGGGTGACAGAGCAAGACTGTCTCAAAAAAAAAAAAAAAAAGTTATTTAGTTCCTGCTATCTTTTTGTTATTGATTCCTAATTTAATTCCATTGTGGAATAGAGAATGTATTTTATATAACTTGAATCCTTATAAAGCTTTTGAGATTTGTTGCATGGTCCAGGTTATGGCCTATCTTGACATATGTACTTGGAAAAATTGGGCAATTTGCTGCTGTTTGGCAGAATGTTAATGTCAATTAAATTTAATTGGTTGATAATATTGTTCAAGTTTTCTCTGTCCTTATTGATTTTTCATCTATCAATTGTCAGCAGAGTATTACTATGTTTAACTATAATTGTTATGTCAATTTCTGTAGAGTTTTACACATTTTTGTGTTTTTGGTCTTTTATCCAGTCTGTTGTTCATTCTGGGTCATTTCTACTGTTCTGTCTTCCAGTTTCCTGATTCTTTCCTCTGTTCTTTCCTTTCTGCTGCTGAGTACATCCAATGAGTTTTTAATTGGTTACTAAATTTCTCAGGAGTCAAAATTCCTTGGTGTTCCATTATATCTTTGATTTCTTTGCTGAGACATTCTATATTTTAATTTATTTCAAGCATGTTCATAATTATTGTCTGAAGCATTTTTAAGGTGGATGCTTTAAAATTCTTGTCAAATAGTTCAAATATTTCTATCATCCTAGTGTAGGCATCTATTGAGTCTTTTTCATTCAGTTTGAGATCTTCCCAGTTCTTGGTGTGGTAAGTGATTTTCTGTTAGAACTGAACATTTTTGGTTTTCTGATCTGAGGCTCTGGATCATACCTAACAAAGTACCACCGACTGGGCAGCTTAAACAACACCAATTAATTTCCTTACAGTTCTGAAGGGTAGAAGTCTGATATCAAGGTGTCAGCAGTATTGTTTCTTGTGAGGTCTCTCTCTTTGGCTTGTAGATGGCCATGTTCTTCTGGTAAACGTGCTACCTTCACACACCCTTTGTGTATCTGTGTCCTGATCTCCTCTTCTTATAAGGATACCAGTCATACTGGATTAGGGCCCACACCAAAGACCTCATTTAACCTTAATTACCTCTTTAAAGACCTTATCTCCAAATACAGTCCACATGTTGAGGTACTGAGAGTTAGGACTTCAACATATGAACTCAGGGAGTGGAGTACACAATTCAGTTTATATCACCTGTTCTCCTCTGACATCACTGTGGTAGGGGAAGTGGATCCTGCCTCATTATTATTAGGTGGTGACAGAAATCCAGATTTCCCACTCAGCCTCCATTGATACCCACAGGGGGGCTCCTCATTACTAGTGGCAGGGGTGGGAGTTCCGGTTTCCCACTAGACCTCCACTGATACCTTTCTAATTTGGAGGGAAAGGAGTGCCTTATTACTGCACTCCATGTGGCTTCTACTGTTAGCACTGGGTTGAGGGGTGGGGAGGAAAGTCCTAACTCTCCAGGCAAGAGTGGAAGCATGGGTCTTTGCTGGCATGCTGGGGATAGTGCTGAAGGTTTTTCCTGTGGTGTTTTGACTAGAGCATGGCAGTAATTGTCTAAAAGTTTTCCTTCTTGCTAGGCTGCCCTCTTCCTTGTCTTTTGGCTAAAGACAGCAGGCTTTTGCTGGGACTTTTTTGTCTGTGCCCATTGGTGTATTGGGACTGCTAGCTTCTTTGGCTTTAAGTCTGGCACAAAGGAGGCACAAAGAAAATCAAGGGAACTCAGCACCAGTCTACCTTTTCTCTACCACTCAGTGTTCTTTTTCTCTTTTTTTATAACTAATGCCCAGGGTTTTTATTGTACTTAGCTGGACAAATAGAAAAAAGTACATCTATTCCATCTTCCTGGAGGTCCCTTCTCAATTTTCTTTTTCTTTTTTTGTAGGGGGAGACAGAATCTCACACTTTCTCCCAGGCTGGAGTGCAGTGGCACGATCTCGGCTCACTGCAACCTCCACCTCCTGGATTCAAGCGATTCTCCTGCCTCGGCCTCCCAAGTAGCTGGGACTACAGGCACGGGCCCCCACACCTGGCTAATTTTTGTATTTTTACTAGAGACGGGGTTTTGCCATGTTGGCCAGGCTGGTCTCGACCTCCTGACCTCAAGTGATCCACCCACCTCAGCCCCCCAAAGTGCTGGGATTACAGGCATGAGCCACCACGCCCAGCCTTTTCACAATGTTTAAAATACCAATTTTCCTGAAAAGTACCCATATATTGAGTGCAATTCCAATAAAAATGGCAATGCCACAAACATCCCCATTCATGTATTTTGGTGAATATGTATACACTTACATTTGGGTTAAAGGTAAGAATGGAACTGCTAGGTTATAGCAAATGCATATATTCAAATTCAATAGATCTTGCCAAATAGTTTTCCCAAGTGATTATATCAATTTATACACTCGCCAGTAGACTACGATATTAAGTTTCTTTGACCTTAAAATTCATTTTCTTATTTTGAAAGAAAACATTTCTGTGGGCTCTCGGTACTTTGCCCATTCAGCCTAATGGATAAGTAGGCCATAGTAGTATTTACCTTGGACAAATCAGCCAGACTCGTATTTTAAGTGAGAGAATGGCAATTGGGCATGAGAAATTTCAGAGTGGGAGTAGGAGTGAAGGGAGAGGGCTTAAAAAATTTACATAATCTCAAAATCTGAAACAAACCATTTCATGTCCAAAGTAACACACTTAGAAACAAACCATAATCCGGAATACAACCCCATCCATGTTCTCACACAATGAATTTCACAATGTCACAGAGTGAAAACACAAAACGCACAGGCATTCTTTCTCTAAAACCAATGCACACTTAACGCCTTCTGTGCTCCTGGAGCTACTATAGGTGCTGGCGCTACCTGGGAGCGCGAAAAACAAAAGCCCCTGTCCTCAGCTCGCACCTAGAATACCAACCGTGGACCATACGCTGGAGCTCGCCAACTTCTCCTCTCACACGCAGGTTTGAGGCTTTGAGGTCTGCATGCCCGTGCTCTGCCTTCTCCAGCCGAGACTCAAGATTCCACTCGCCTCCTCTAAACACGCAGGACGACCTGAAATCATAGCCCTTAATAGAGCAAGTCAACCAACGGTACAGATGGTCAAGCTCTTGCTCATGTGCCCTCCGAGCATAGGCTACAGAATGGCGGGCGCCGTGGACATGGTTATTCCGGGTGGACTACATTTCCCAGAAGTCACCGCGCTAGGGTCACCCTCGAGCTCTAGATCTTTTTCCGGTGTCCGAGCTGCTGTAGCCCCTACGTGGTGAGTAGATCGTCTCCACAGAAATCAGCGGAGGCTTCCACAGTCCCTGGTTGGAATGGAACCGGCGGTGAGGATGAGAGGCGCTGAAGACCAGAAGACCCAGGGCGTGAACGGGGCGTGTCATCCCTGGAGTTTCAGTAGAATTTCAGGCCTGTCTGCTTGAGCAGCAGAGGAGGAGTTTCTGTGTGCCTGTGAGAGACTGTGTGTGTGTGTGTGTGTGTGTGTGTGTGTGAGATGAATGAACAGGGTTGTGTACGTGTGTGTGCGTTAGACAAATGAACAGTGTTGTGTACCTGTGTGAATTGTCACTGTGACTCCAGGCTCTAGGCTCTGCAGATTCCTCAGCCCTATCGCCTCACAGACACTTGGGATGTGCAGCAGGTAAAAGAGAGAAGCCAGATTCATGGAGGCGTGAAGGATCCCAGCAAGAAAACACAGACTTGATCTTGAGACGAGATTTTTGAAATTGGTTGCGGCCTCAAGGCAGGCTCTGAGAAGACTCGATAAAGAGTTCTCAGGAATAGGCATCCCTCCTGGATATTTCCCCCTTGGAAGCGCCGAGGAGCCAGCTCTATGTTTGTAACCATAGCATTTCTAAAGCTCCAGCCCCAGGAACCTGCTGTGAATTAGAGACAGATTCCACCCTAGGCATCACTGATCTTGGCCTCTCTTGTATTGGGAAGGTCAACACTGTTCCAGTTTCTCTCCTACTCCCATCTGGTTGTGCTCGGTGAAGTAGGTGAGCAGGTATGATCATTGAGGGTATTTTCTAAGTTACTGTGCTATCCAAGAAACCCCAGCTGTCTCATGATTGCCTTCTCTTTTCCAGTGCTACCCTTCTGTTAAAAAAAAAAAAAAAAAAAAGATCCTGAAAGAGGAAAGAATTTTTGCTACACATCTGAAAGCTAAAGTCCAGGTGAGTTTATATTTCCTCATTACTTGTAAGATGCTCTTTAATTTTAAAGACATGAGACCCTTTCTTCTCTTTGGAAATGTCCTGCCTAACAGTGACGTATCTGTGAATATGCCATTACAGCCTCCTTTCAAGGCCCTTAAGCCCTTCTCTTCATAATTTATTTAACCTTTTGCCTACTGCGAGCTATTATGTTTCTAATTGTTGACTAAAAACTAGTCTATAATGAACACCATTTTGCAGAGATCTTTGCTTCCTTTTATAGCCATTCCCTGAGGATAAACCCTAGTTTCAAAATTTGAGTCAAATATCAGATATTTACCATGTGCTTGTACTTGTTAGGATACAATGACAAAAAGATATAGTTGCTATCCTCAAATGACTTGGTATCCAGTAAGGAAAATGAAATCGGAATAGGGATAAGAAAGATAGTTGATGTGAAAGGCCACTAGAGAAATTCAGATGACCTGTCTTGGGAGTTCACAGGGAAGAGGCATCTTTCTGGCTATAGCAGCATTGTCAGGATATGATCGAACTGTGAGAACTCAGTGAAAGAAAATGGATCTTATACCTTAGAGTTTTTATTCTAATGATGTTAAATGCAAAGTGACATTAAATGGAACACGATGTCTTAACAGCTGCTTGTAGGACACTGTGATTAGGAGGATAGATTCAGAAGTAAAATAAACCCATCTATCAGGAATGTATAATAGGAAGCAGCTTTGAGACTACCAGTAATGCATACGAAATATCAGAGTCTCCGATTTACATTGACATACATTTCTACAGGCAAACGAATCATAGGGTGGGTTCAGGTAATGGGAACTGATGAAAATAAAGTAAAAGCTTTCAATAAAACACAGCAGCAGTTTTTAGAGCAGCGCTGGTTCTCAAATGTAGGATGCATCAGAATCACCTGCAGGGCTTGTTCAAACAGTTTGCTGGGCCCCAGCCCCAGAGTTTCTAATTCGGTAGGTCTGAGGTAGAGCAGAGAATCTGCATTGGTAACAAGTTCCCAGGGACTATATTTAGAGGACCTTTGTTCTAGAGTATACTAAGTTTTCTCCTCCAGATCAAAAGATATTTAAAAGGTAAGGCAGGGAGGATTTTTTCCCACTTGTTCAGAGAAAAGATTGCTCTGTTAAAAATTCAAAAATCTATCTAACTGTGTCTCAAGACAAAAAGATATAGTTGCTATCCTCAAATGACTTGGTATCCCAGTAAGGAAGAATAAATCAAAATAGGAATAAGTAAGATAGTTGCCTTTTTAAAAAAAGTTTTAATTTTATGAAATATACTTTTAGGAATAGGCAGAAACCCAGGACTATAAAACAAATATTAAGTAAGTTAATATATGGGTTTATGTTTTCCATACTTTTTTCAATTTATTGATGTCTGTCCGTTTTTCTCTATATATTGATAAATACATATATTTTATAAATGTAATCATATTTACATTTGCATAATTGTATACATTTGTAACTCAATTCTTTTTTTTTTTTTTTTTTTTTTTAGACGGAGTCTCGCTCCGTCACCAGGCTGGTGTGCAGTGGCGCGATCTCGGCTCACTGCAACCTCCGCTTCCCAGGTTCGAGCAATTCTCCTGCCTCAGCCTCCCGAGTAGCTGGGATTACAGGCCCATGCCACCACGCCCAGCTAATTTTTCTATTTTTAGTAGAGACGAGGTTTCACCATGTTGGTCAGGCTGGTCTCGATCTCATGACCTCATGGATCCACCCGCCTCAGCCTCCCAAAGTGCTGGGATTACAGGCATGAGCCACTGTGCCCGGCCCGTAACCCAATTCTTAAACAGCTTTATTAACATATAATTCACATGCCACAAAATTCAGTCATTTAAAGTATACAGTTTAATGTATTTAATATATTCACAGAGTTGTGCAACCATCACCACTGTCAACATGAGAAAATTTCCATAACCTCAAAAAGAAATTCCATACCCACTAGCACTCACTCTGCATTTTCCCCAGCCATAGACAACCATTTATCTACTTTCTGTCTCTGAATTCACCTCTTCTGGACATTTCATATGAATAGAGTTATATAATAAGTGAAGTTTTGTGACTGGCTTCTTTCACTTAGCCTAGCGTTTTCAAAATCCATCTGGGTTGTAGCATATATCAGTACTTTGTTTCTTTTTATTGCTGAATAATATTCCATTGTATGAATATGCCACATTTTTGTTGTTTATTCATCAGTTAATGGACATTTAAGTTGTTTCTACTTTTAGCTATTATGAATAATGCTGCTGTGAACATTTGTGTACAAGTTTTTGTATAGACATATGTTTCTATTTCTCTTAGATATATACTTAGAAGTGGAATGGCTGGGTCATATGGTAACTCTTTTGAGGAACTGCCAGATTATTATCGAAAGTATCCCTTTACATTCCCCCCAGCGTAAGAGGGTTCCAGTTTCTCCACATTCTTAGCAACACCTGTTATTACCTTTCTTTTTATTATTGTCATCCTCATGAGTGTGAAGTGGGTATTGTGGTTTTGATTTGAATTTCTCTGATGACTCATGGTGTTGAGCATTTTTTCCTTTGTTTATTGGCCGTTTGTACATCTTTGGAGAAATGTCTATTCAAATTCTTTGCCCCCTTTTTAATTGCTTTTTTAAAAGTTGTAACCTAATTTTCTTCACTGACAATGTAACTTGAATGTTTTTATTCCCTTAAACAGCTTCCTAAACTTAGCATTAAATGGTTGCTTAATATTTCATTATATGGATGCCCTGTTACATATTTAATTAATCAGCTGTTGCTGAGCTCAGAATGGTGAGAATGCCTGCTTCTACATGCTGTTCTCCTTTCATAGAGTGATCAGCTCACTTCTTTCTATTCCTCTGGGCCACATGGGAACTTCAGTCTTTATAATTTCAGAGATAGTAACATCTGAGAACGTGGCAGCATCCTCTACTGTGTGGAGCACTGATCACTGCACTATTTCAGACGGACTTGTAAATGATTGTGATACTGAAAAGCTACAGGAGCAGACTCTTTATGATCAACTCTTTAAATTCAAAATATGATTTCTAGAGCTTTTTTATCCCTTAATGTGACCCTCTAGAGAGGCCCTGGAGTGTTTGAATTTATGAAGGATTTCTTTGAGATTCATTGATCATTCCATTCTGTTTTCCTTGAAGCATCATTTTCTTGGTCCCTCGGGTGGCTTTCATTTGGCCTTTCTTGTATGGAACCTCTCTGCCACAGGATTGTACTGGAATTTTTCAAAAGCCTCAGCATGCCAAAGTCCCATTTCTTTTTTCATATGCAGATATTTCCTGCATGTTGGAAACAATTGATTTTTTAACCAAAATGGCTTATTTCTAAGGTAGGTGCAATTCCTGAACTGGAGCAGGGAGTCCAGTCCTCATAGGTGGAGAGTGTAGTGACAAGAGGATTTATCCAAGTGACTTAGGGAAAACCAGTAAAAGGAAAACTGTTGTATATCAGTATTCAAAACTCAGAGCCTTGATATTCTAATTTGAGACAACTCAAAGACTTTAGGACTTGGGAGAAAACAAGGCCTCCTCACCGTACTCCAAATATCACTGTATTCATAACTTATTTTATTACATTCTCTAATATTAGATTGATTAGCTCTATTATCATTTTTTACTATAAAAGTAATACATTCTCATATAGTAGTTCAGAAAATACAGAAAAACCCAAAGTGAGGAAACAACAACTGTAAACATTTTACTCCAGATCTTTTTGGTTGGGTACGGTGGCTCATGCCTGTAATCTCAGCACTTTGGGAGGCCGAGGCAGAAGGATCACTTGAGCCCAGGAGTGTGCGACCAGCCTGGGCAACATAATGAGAGCTCATCTTTACTAAAAATAAATTAGCCGGGTCTGGTAGTATGCACCTGTAGTCCCAGCTACAGGTCCATGCCACCACCTGAGACGGGAGCATAGCTTGAACCCAGGAGGTCGAGGCTGCAGTGATCCGTGTTTGCACCACCACATTCCAGGCTGAGTGACAGAGTGAGTCCCTGTCTCACACACACACACACAATATATATATGTATATCTCCATCCCTCAAGGCATATGCATATATTCATATGTGTTATTTTACCCACCATAACAGAATAACAGTTTGTAATGTAATATTTTTACTCATTATCATCAAATAAAGTTCTGTCATCACTTTTTATTGAAGCATGTATCATATACAATAAGGTGCCCACATCTTAGCTATATATATAATCCAATGAATTTTTGTATTTGAAAGGATCAGTGTACTCACCAGCCAGATGAAGACACAGAAGATTTCTGTGCCCTGCTTTAGAGGATTTTTCTGTGTCCTGTCCTAGTTAGAATCCACTGTTCTCCCATAAGGAGTAAGTGCTATTCTGACTCCTGTCACTCAAGATAAGATTTGCGTGTTCTTGAACTTCATATAAATGGAATCTCTTGTATCTCTCTTTTTTCATCCAAACTGGTACTTCTGGAATTCACCCATGTTGTTTTGGAAATCAACAGGGCTTTTTTTCAATTGTTATATAATCTTCCTTTATATGACCACACCACAATTTTTTATTCATTCTCATGATGATAGGTTTGTAGGTTCCCCAAGTTTCCCTCGCTCTCTATGTTTCACAGAGCGCCTTGATCTCTCTGTGACCTGTTCAGCTGCATGTTTTCCCTGCAGGTTTGAACCCAAGCCAAGGCCTTGAACATTCCCAGGCACTAGTGAAGTTGTGTAGGTTATGGCCTGAAACACTGGAAGATCAGAATGTGTTGCACAACACACAGAAGCTAGCTGTGATCCTGAGCCAAATTTCTTAAGCCCTCTTATAAATTTCATAACCCAGCCCATTTATTGTGGACATACCTAAGTAGATGGGCCTTCATTAAAATTAAGAACATCTATTTATAATAAGACATGATTAAGAAAGTGAATAAGAAGACACAGGCAACTCTTTCCTCTCTCTCTCTCTCTGTCTCTCCCTCTCCCTCTCCCTCTCCCTCTCCCTTCCCTCTCCCTCTCCCTCTCCCTCCCTCCCTTCCCTTCCTCCCTCCCTCCCTCTCCTCCTCCACCCTCCTTTTTATGTCTGTATACACACACAAAAGACTTGTGTTCAAAATACATTTATAAATTCCTAGAAATCAATAGGAAAATGACAAATCAAATTAAAAAATGGGGAAAAGAGTTGAATGACCCAATAGTATATCAAAA
Source organism: Homo sapiens (assembly GCF_000001405.40). Classification (NCBI taxonomy): domain Eukaryota; kingdom Metazoa; phylum Chordata; class Mammalia; order Primates; family Hominidae; genus Homo; species Homo sapiens. Next base: position 43,895,665 of record NC_000019.10, on the reverse strand, counting down.
TAGATAATATCATATGAAAAGGTGTTCCCATCATTATCAGGAAAATGTAAATAAAAATCACAATGAGATACCACTACACATGCACCAGAATAGCTAAAGTTAAAATGTCTGACAACACGAAGTATTGGCAAGTTTGAGGAGCAACTGGACCTTATATACATTGCAGTCTGATAAACTAGGTAAACCACATCCTCCCTTAGGTATATACCCAAGAAAAACAAGAATATATGTCCACACAAAGACTTGTAAAGGGTGTTCATAGAAGTTTTATTCATAGTAGTCAAATACCAGAAACAACCTTATTTTGTCCTGCTGAACACTCAGCTGGAGTCACCCCAAAAGCAGTGGCAGGGGAGTTCCCTAAAGGGACTGCCCCAAACCATCCCAGGATGGGGCTGTTGGGATTCCAAAGAAAGAAACAGCAATACCAGGGTGACCAATTCAAAGTGTTTATTAGCAGAACTTATGTACATAGGGGAGCTGCAGTGTATCCTCACATTGGACACCAAGATAAGAGATGCTAAAGTTAGTGGGTGAAAGTTTGAGGAGAAAGAGGATTTGCATAGTGTTAAAGTATTACCCTCCCAAGATGTTTATTAACTACAAATGGGAAGGTAGTAATGTACAGAAGGAAAACACAGGAGAAAACACTTTAACCAAGTGATGAAGGTTAATGTCACCAGTAATAAAACATTGATATCATGCACCCTTGGACATGATGATGCAATGTGAAAGACACAGCATCATTACTGTGCCACTGCCAAGAATACATGCCTCATTTCAGTTATAAAAACACATCATACAAACCCAGCGGGGGGAAATTTGACAGAATAAATTATTGGTACTCTTCCAAATTGAAAGGACATGAAGATAGGTATGACAGGCAGATGTTAGGTGGCCCCATGATTCCCACCTCCTGGAGTCCACAGCCTTGTTTAGTCCCCTCCCCTGGAGTATGAGCAGAGGTGGTGACTTGCTTCTAATCAGTGGAAAATGGCAAAGGTCAGGAAATGTCACTCCTCTCATTAGGTTAATTTATATGGCAAAAGTCATGGGTCAAATGGTATTTCTGGTTCTAGCTCCTTGAGGAATCTCCCATTACTGGGTATATACCCAAAGGATTCTAAATCATTCTACTATAAAGACACATGTACACGTATGTTTATTGCAGCACTATTTACAATTGCAGACTTGGAACCAACCCAAATGCCCATCAGTGATAGACTGGATAAAGAAAATATGGCACATATACACCATGGAATACTATGCAACCATAAAAAAGAATGAAATCATGTCCTCTGCAAGGACATGGATGAAGCTGGAAGCCATCATTCTCAGCAAACTAATGCAGAAACTGAAAACCAAGCACCACATGTTCTCACTCATAAGTGGGGGTTGAACAATGAGAACACATGGCACAGGGAAAGGAACAACACACACTGGAGCCTGTCGGGGAGTTGGGGGGCAAGGGGAGGGAGAGCACTGGACAAATTACCTAATGCATGTGGGGCTTAAAACCTAAATGTCAGATTGATAGGTACAGCAAACCACCATGACACATATATACCTATGTAAAAAACCTACACATCTGCACCTGTATCCCAGAACTTAAAGTAAAATAAAAATGAATTAATTAATTTTGAAGAAAAAGAAACCAATAATCCAATTTAAAAATGGGCAAGGACTTGAATAGACTTTTTTCCAAAGATGACACGCAAATGGTTAAGTGGTACCTGAAAAGCACATCAGACAAATGCAAATGAAACCACAATGAGATGTTACCACAATACCTGTTAGGATGACTATTATAAAAAGAAAGTAGGTAAGTGGGCTGGGCGCGGTGGCTCACCCCTGTAATCCCAGCACTTTGGGAGGCCGAGGCGGGCGGATCACGAGGTCAGGAGATTGAGACCACGGTGAAACCCCGTCTCTACTAAAAATACAAAAATAATTAGCCGGGCACGGTGGCAGGCGCCTGTAGTCCCAGCTACTCGGGAGGCTGAGGCAGGAGAATGGCGTGAACCCGGGAGGCGGAGCTTGCAGTGAGCTGAGATCGCGCCACTGCACTCCAGCCTGGGTGACAGAGCAAGACTCCGTCTCAAAAAAAAAAAAGAAAAGAAAAGAAAATAGATAAGTGTTGGTGAGGATGTAGAGGAAAGGGAACACTTGTACACTGTTGATGGCAATATCAATTGGTATAGCCATTATGTAAAACAGTATGAAGGTTCCTTAAAATAATAAAAATAAACCTATCATATGAAAAAAAAAAGTGACGAGATGTCTCTACTGTGATTATGTTATACCATATAAGACTCATAGCAGATTGGACTTCTTTTGTGGGCTTGATGAAGTAAGTGGCAATGTTGGAGAAGCCCATCTTGCAAAGGAACTGCAGGTGGCCTGCAGAACCTGAGGGCAACCTCCAGCCAACAGTCAGCAAAAAGGTGAGGCCCTCAGTCGTATGGCCACAGGGAAATGAATTCTCCCTACAATCTGAATGAACCTGGAAATGAATTCTCCCCCAGTTGAACTCCAGAGGAGAACACAGCCCAGGTAACCCCTCGTTTGCAGCCTGTGAGACCAGCCTGAGGACAGCACCCAGCTAAACTCCAGGTCCATGGAAACTGTGAGATTTTATATATTTATGTTGTTTTAAGCTAAATTCGTGGTAATTGGTTATGGTAGCAACTGAAAATTAATGCAGTAAGAAAGTCTAAGGAGATCGGAAGAGACTAAAGAGAAATAACAGCTAAATGCAACGTAGATTAATGTGTGGGATCCTGGAAAAGAAAAAGGACATTAATGGGAAAACATATTTGAATAAGATGTGCAAATTTTTCGTATTGTACCAATGTTAATTTCCTGGTTTTGATAATTATCCTTTGGTTATGTAAGATAAACGCTAGAATGAAGGGTATATGAGAACCCTCTGTACTACTCTTGCAACTTTTCTCTAAGTCTAAAATAAGTGGAAATTAAAAGTTAAAACAAAAAAAAAGGAAAATTTTATCTATCCCAAGACCACAAAGTTATTTTTCTGTTTCTTCCTCCAGAATCTTTATTGTTTGTTTTCACACTTAGACCTATGATCCATCTTGAATTTATATCTGTGTATGTAGTGGGATGAAGTTCAAAATCATTTTTTTCATACAGATATCCAAGTGCACTGGCACCGTTTGTTAAAAACACTGGCCTTCTCTTAAGCTGCAGTCAGACTTTTACTGTAAAGCATGGGCCCATATATGTGCAGGAGTCTTTCTACTTTTCCGTTGGTCCTCTTTGTCAATCTTTGTGCCAGCACCTCCATTTTAATTCCTGTAGCTTTATATTATATCTTGATAATCTGGTAATATAAGTTGAAGAACAACTTTGTTCTTCAAAATCACTTTGTCTATTCCAGGTTCTTTGCATTGCTCTATAATTTTAGAATGAGTTAATTAATTTTCTCAAAACAAACAAAACGCCCTGCTGACATTTTGTTGGCAGTACATTGAATCAGTAGATAAATTTAGAGAGAATTATCTCAAAATTGAGTCTTACAGTTCATGAACATGGAATACATTTCCATTTATTGAATTCATCTTTAATTTCTTTCCTTAAGGTTTTGTTGTTTCCTGTCTAAAGGTCTTGCACATCTGTTAAATTTATTCCTGTTTTACATTTTTTATGTTTTTACAAACTGTTAAGGTTTTAAAAATTTTATTTTTCAGTAGCTTTGCTTTAATATAATTGTTTTATACTTTTACCCTTTATTCAGCAATAAATTATTTAATTTAAAGCTTGTGGAATTAAAAAATATTTTTATGTACATAATCATGTAATCTACACTATCTGCAAATAAAGATCATTTTACTTCCTTCCATTTACACCTTTTATTTTTTCCTTATAATATTGGATAGGTCTTCTACTACAAAATTGAAAAGACATGTAAGAGTAGACAACCTTACCTTGTTCCTGAAATCAGAAAGACAGTGGTCCATATTATGTATAATGATCCCTTTATGTACAATGGTAGTTGTAGTTTTTATTCTTTAGGTCCCCTTTATCAGATGAAAGAAGTTCCCCTCTAGTCCTGGTTTGCTGAGAATTTTTATCATGATTAATGTTGTATATTGTTAAATGGATTATTTCTAATGAAATAATTGAATGGTTTTCTCCTTTATTAGTTAACATTGAAAGATTACATTGATTTTTTAAAAATTAAACTTATACTTGTTTGAGGTTATGGTAAAAAATTAAATTAAATGGCCTTTGAATTTCTAAAATAAAGCTCTCTTGGTCAATATGTTACTGGTTTCTCTTTGCTAATATTTGGTTTAATATGCTTGCGTCTGTGTTCATGAAACAGATATATTGTAATTTTCCTTTTATGTAATATCCTCATCTGGTTTTGATATCACAGTTATTCTGGCCTTATGACATAGTTTGTTTTTTTCTATTTTCTAGAACAAGTTGAGTTTGATTGGCATTTTTAATTTCTTAAATGTTTGGGAGAATTTGCTACTGAATCCTCTTGGCCTGACATTATTTTTGTGAGAAGATCCTTAATACAGATTTAATTTCTTTAATAAATAAAACAATATTTAGATTTTCAATTTCTTATATCAGTTCAAATTGTGTTTTCAAGGAATTTTAAAATTTCATCTACATTTTCAAGTTTATTAGAAAGTTATAAAGTTGTTCATACAATTCTGATTTTAATGTATGTAGTAAAATAGGTAGTGTTATCTTCTTTTATATTCCTGATATTGGCAATTTTTTCTTGATCAGTGTAACTAGAAGTTTATTATTCTTATTAATCTCTTCAATGAAATAGCTTTGGCTTTATTGATTTTTCTTTATTGTATATCTGGGGTTTTTTGTGTTATTGGTTACTTTTGGTATGTTATACTTTCTATAGGTTTAATTTGCTTTTCCTTTTCAAGCTTCTTGATGTATATCACTGATTTTCAACCTTTCTGTTTTGACAAAACATATATTTAAAGCTTATATCTTCATAAGCATTGGTTTACCTGCGTCTCACAAGCTTTGATATATCTTACTTTCACTATCATTTAACTCAAAATATTTTCTAGCTTCCATTGATTTATTATTTGACCAGTAACTATTTAGAAGTATGCCTTTTACACAGGCACATCTCATTTTATTGCATGTTGCTTTATTGCACTTTGCAAATATTGCAATTTTTACAAATTGAGATTTGTGGTAACCCTGCATTCAGCAAGTATATTGTCTCTGTTTTTCAACAGCATGTGCTCATTCTGTGTCTCTTTGTCACATTTTGTAATTCTAGCAATATTTAAAACTTTTCCATTATTTTTATGGTGATCTGTGATCAGGGTCCTTGGTGTTACTGTTGTAATTGCTTTGGGACACCGTGAGCCACACCCATATAAGACGGTGAACTGAATGAATATATGTTATGTGTCTTCTGACTGCTCCACCGACCAGCTATTCCTGTCTCTCTTCCTCTCTTTGTTTTCCTGAAACACAACAATATTGAAATCAGGCCAGTTAGTAGCCCTACAATAGCCTCTAAGTGTTCAAATGAAAGGAAGAGTCCTCTGTTTCTCACTTTTAATCAAAAGCTAGAAGTGATTAAGCTTAGTGAGGAAGGCATGTCAAAAGCCAAGACGGGCCAAAAGCTTGACCTCTTGTGCCAAACAGTTAGCCTAGTTGTGAATGCAAAGGAAAAGTTCTTGAAGGAAATGAAAAGTGCTTCTCGAGTCATATGGAGATACTGCAATACAGAGAAAGATTAGTGGTCCACATAGAAGATCAAGCCAGCCACAAAATTCCCTTAAGCCAAAGCCAGAGCAAAGACCTAACTGTCTTCAATTTTGTGAAGTCTGAGAGACATGAGGAAGCTACAGAAGAAAGGTTGGATGCTAGCAGAGGTTGGTTCATGAGGTTTAAGGAAAAAAGTCATCTCCATAACATAACAGTGCAAGGTGAAGCAGCAAATGCTGATATATACGCTGCAGCCAGTTGTCCAGAAGATCTAGCTAAGATTATTGATGAAGGTGGCTACATTAAACAAAAGATTTTCCATGTAGACAAAACAGTCTTCTGTTGGAAGAAGATACCATCTAGGACTTTCATAGCTAGAGAGAAGTCAATGCCTGGCTTCAAAGGACAGGCTGACTCTCTTATTAGAGGCTAATGCAGCTGGTGACTATAAGTTGAAGGTGATACTCATTCACTATTCTGAAAATTCTAGCGCCCTTAAGAATTGTGCTAAATCTACTCTGCCTGTGCTCTAGAAATGGGACAACAAAGCCTGAATGACAGCACATCTGTTTATGGCATGGCTTACTCAATATTTTAAACCCACTGTTGAGACCCAATGCTCAGAAAGGAAAAAAAAGACTCCTTTCAAAATATTACTGCCGATTGACGTTCCACCTGGTCATCCAGGAGCTCTGTTGGGGATGTATGGAAAAGATTAATTTTGCTTTCATGCCTACTAACACAACATCCACCCTGCAGCCCATGGATCAAGGAATAATTTCAACTTTCAAGTTTCATTTTTTAAGAAATACATTTCATAAAACTCTAGCTGCCATAGATTGTGATTTCTCTAATGGATCTAGGCAAAGTGAATTGAAAAGCTTCTGGAATGGATTTAACATTCTAGATGCCATTAAGAACACTCCTGATTCATAGAAGGAGGTCAAAATGTTTAACAGGAGTTTGGAAGAAGTTGATTCCAACCCTCACAGATAACTTTGAGGGGTTCAAGACTTGAGTAGAGGAAGTAACTGCAGATGTGGCAAAAATAGCAAGAGAACTAGAATTAGACATGGAGCCTGAAGATGTGGCTGAATTTCTGCAATCTCATGATAAAACTTTAATGGATGAGGAGCTGCTTCTTACAGATGAGCAATTAAAGTGGTTTCTTGAGATGGAATCTACTCCTGGTGAAAATGCTGTGAATGTTGTTGAAATAAAAACAAACAATTTTGAATAGTACACAAGCTTAGTTGATAAAGCAGCACCAGGGTTGGAAAAGATTGACCCCAATTTTGAAAAAAGATCCCCTGTGGGTAAAATGCTATCAAACAGCATCACATGCTACAGAGAAATCTCTTGTGAAAGGAAGAGTCAATTGATGTGGCAAACTTCATTATTGCCTTTTTTTTTTTGAGACAGAGTCTCGCTCTGTCACCCAGGCTGGAGTGCAGTGGAGCGATCTCGGCTCACTGCAACCTCTGCCTCCTGGGTTCAAGCGCTTCTTCTGCCTCAGCCTGCCGAGCGAGTAGCTGGGACTACAGGTGCGTACCACCATGCCCAGCTAATGTTTGTATTTGTAGTAGAGACAGAGTTTCACCATGTTGGCTAGAATTGTCTCGATCTCTTGACCTTGTGATCCACCCACCTCAGCTTCTCAAAATGCTGGGATTACAGGCATGAGCCACCGCACCTGGCCCATTATTGTCTTCTTTTAAGAAACTGTCATAGCCATCCCACCCTTCAGCAACCCTGATCAGTCAGCAGCCATCAACATCAAGGCAATACCTTCCACCAGCAAAAAGATTATGACTCTCTGAAGGCTCAGATGACCATTAGCATTTTTTAGCAATGAAGTATATTTAAATTAAGGTATGCACCGTATTTTTTAGGGATAATGCTATTACACACTGAATAATACAGTATAAACATATCTTTTCTATGCACTGGGAAACCAAAAAATTCATGTGATTCACTTTACTGCAATGTTCACTTTAGCATGGTGGTCTGGGGCCAAGCCTGCAATATCTCCACAGTATGTCTGTATTTGGAAACATTTGAGAACTGCCTCTTTTTGAGTTCTAAGCTAATTGTAAAGGCTCAGAAAATATACATTGTTTTATGTTAATCCTTTGTAATTTATAGATACTTACTTTATAGCCCAGAATGTTATTCTGATAAATGTGATGTAATCATTTGAACAGAATGTGTAGTCTGCAGTTTGGTATAATGTTCATTTGGTTCAATTTGGTTAATCTTCTTCACACTTTTATGGCTTTGTGGATTTTTTTTTCTTTTTTTGGTGTTCCTATTAGTAGTTACCAATAGAGAGTGTTGAAATCTCTAACTTTAAAATTTGTCTGTCCTTTAATTCTGTTGACATTTATTTTATATTTTTTGAAACTATGTTATTAGGTACATACAAATATAGGACTACTGTTGTATTCTTGCTGAATTGCAGAATATGACCCTCTTTATTACTTACAATACTTCTTGCATTAAAATCTACTTTATTTGTTATTAGTATAGCTGTGTCTGTTTTCTTCGCAATACTGCTTGATAGATTTTTTCCATTTTTTTAAACACGTGTCTTTATATTTAGAGAACGTTTCTTGTAAGCAGCCTAATTGATCCTATTTTTCTTTTTAACCTAATCTTATAATATTAGTTTTGAATTGCAATGGTTAGTTCATTTGTATTTACTATAATTACTATAATTAGTATAAGTATAAATTATACTGTAGTAATATACTATAATTTATATTTACTGTAATATAAGCCTGCCATCTTGCTATATGTTTTCTGTTTCTTTATATTTTTAATTGCTCTTTTCCTGATTTTTTTGTATAAATTAAGTTTTTTTTTATTATTCCATTTCATCTCCTCTGTCAGTTTTTTTTGTTTTTTGTTTTTTGTTTTTTGGTTTTTTTTTTTTTTTTTTGGAGATGGAGTCTCGCTCTTGCCCAGGCTGGAGTGCAATGGCTCGATCTCGGCTCACTACAACCTCCACCTCCCAGGTTCAAGCAATTCTCCTGCCTCAGCCTCCCGAGTAGCTGGGATTACAGGCACCCACCATCATGCCTGGCTAATTTTTGTATTTTTAGAAGACACGAGGTTTTCTCATGTTGGCCAGGCTGGTCTCGAGCTCCTGACTTCAGGTGATCCACCCGCCTCGGCCTCCCAAAGTGCTGGGATTACAGGCATGAGCTACCATGCCTGGCCTCTTCTATCAGGTTTTTCAATTGTACATGTTTGTACATTCTTTTGTTTTATTTATTTATTTTTTGAGACAGGGTCTTACTCTGTTGCCCAGGTTGGAGGGCAGTGGCACAGTCTCGGCTCACTGCAACCTGCGCCTCCCAGGTTCAAGCAATTCTCCTTCCTCAGACTCCCAAGTAACTGGGATTACAGACACGCCACCAAGCCCAGCTAATTTTTGTATTTTTAGTAGAGACGGAGTTTCACCATGTTGGCCAGGCTGGTCTCAAACTCCTGACCTCAGGTGATCTGCCCATCTCAGCCTCCCAAAGTCCTGGGATTACAGGTGTGAGCCACCACTCCTGGCTGCCAAGATATTATAATATAATGTGCATCTTTAATAGAGTCCCCGTAGTGTAAGGGCATTTCAATAGTCATTAATAGAGGTTAATGTGTTAACTCCATTAACCTCCTTGCTCACCATTTTTGCTATTATTGTCATTCCTCCATCCTATATTACAAGCCCCATAAAACATTATTATTTTCGTTGCTTTAAATAATTCATTTGTTTAGTCATATCAGTCATGTCTTTACTCCATCTACAGCTGTTCATTGCTTGTTTGCATATTCATGCTTCCATCTGGGATTACTTTCCTTTAGCCTAATGCTTTCTTTTAGTATTTCTTATATTGTGGGTCTACTGATAAAGAATTATCTTAGCATTTGTTTCAACAAGTATTTATTTCACCTTTATTTCTGAAAAATTTTTTCTCCGGGTATAAAATTCAGAGTTCTCAGTTTTTTTCTTTCAGCACTTTAAAGATATAAATTCCATTCTTTAGGCTACTATAGTTTCTAGTGAGAAGTCAACCATTTTTCTTACTGTTTTCTTATAGCTGACAGCTTTTTTTTTTAAACAATGTGGTTTTAAATTATGTTTTTCAATGTTGTTTTTCAGCAGTTTGACTATGATATCTCTAGGTGTGAATTTCTTCATTTTATTTTGATTAGGTTTGACAACTTTTTTGATTTGTATATCAAGGTATTTCCTGAGATTTGGAATGTTTTTGTTTATTATTTCTTTAAATAATTTTTCTGTCCCATTCTCTCTTATTTTCTTCTAGATGTTCAGTGTCACATTTTCACTGTTTCTTGCATTTTTCTTTTCAATTGTGTTCTCTTTTTTTCTCTCTGCATAAGATTATTGTTAATTTGAGGCTCAGTGCAGTGCCTTATACCTGTAATTCCAGCTACTTGGGAAGCTGAGGTGTGAGGATCACTTGAGCCCAGCAGTTTGAGGCTGCAGTGAGTTATGCTCATACCACTGCACTACAGCCTGGGTGACAGAACCAGACCCCATCTCTAAAATAATAATAATAGACATAGAGGATTTTTTGAAAGAAAGATTATTGTAAATTTGACTTAATGTTGCATAATAAGCTCTTTTTTTGAGACGGAGTCTCACTCTGTCACCCAGGCTGGAGTGCAGTGGCACGATCTCAGCTCACTGCAACCTCCACTTCCCCAGTTCAAGTAATTCTTCTGCCTCAGCCTTCCAAGTAGCTGGGATTACAGGCGTATGCCACCACACCTGGCTAATTTTTGTATTTCCAGTAGTGACGGGATCTCACCATGTTGTCCAAGATGGTTTCAAACTCCTGACCTCAAATGATCCACCCGCCTTGACATCCCAAAGTACTGGGATTACAGGCATGAGCCACCGCAATAAGCTCTTAATTAATTTTGTAATTCTAAAATATTCATGTGATTATCTTTTCAGATCTGATACTCTATTGATTTACTCCATTTTGCAATCCATTTTGCTCATCTTTTCTTTTCTTTAGCATGTTAATCATATTTTCAAGCCCTTGTCTGCTACCTCCCATATCTGGATTCTTTGTGAGTCTGTTTCTGTTGAGATTTTTTTTTCTCCTGCTCATTAGTAACTTTTTCCTGTTTTTTTGTGTTTAACAGTTATCATGTGTTGGCATAATCTATTATATATTATAGAGACTCTGGATTACGTTATCTTCCTTTAATGAGTCTACTTCAGGGTTTTTCACCCTTGACACTATTGACATATTTGGCTAGCTAATTCTTTGTTTTAGGGACTTTCCTGTGCATCACACATTGTTTAGCAGCAAACCTGGTCTCTTTCCACTAGATACCTTAACACCTCTGCCTACATTATGACAACCAAATGTGTCTCCAGACATTGCCAAACGTTCTCTTAAGAACAGATTCACTGCCTGTTCAGAACCAGTGATCTACACAATAGTTTTTAATATCTACCTTATTTTCCATTATGTGAATACACAGTCATTTATTTAATTAACTACCTGTCTATGTCTCTTTAGATTTTTCTCCAGCTTTTTTCATTACAACTAATATGTATCATCACATTCTTTTATACATCTTCGAGCACATTTTATAATTATTTCTTTTGGACAGAGTCTCAGAAATGGCCTTTCGTGGTTAAGTTCTTATGCAGAGATTTGCTTACCTGTATTAATGCCCTTGATTTTCACAAGTCTACAGGACACCATGAGAATGCACTTTGCCCTACAGCCTCACTAATATGTGGTACATCATCAACCTTTTAAATGTGACAACTAAATACCTGTAAAATGACAGTATCTTATTGTTTAGAAACATCTCTTTAGTAAAGTTACGTATCTTTTGGCAGGTGATGCCTTGATTACCTAGCTTTGGCTTCTCTGAACTCTGCTTCTCTGATAGAGGAAACCTGAAGAGAACTAGCATTTCTGAAACCATGGCCCGGGTGAGTTGATGTCTCTTTTGCTTTTCTGACTTATTGTGATTTTTTAATTCATGTAATATTTTCATTTTTTTAATCCTGAAACCTCCTATCTCAGAAAGCTCTCTCTTGGAACCTATTTCACATTCCTCCCATTCCAGTGATGGATGATGTCCTCCTCATTTGCCCTCCTTTTTTGAACTGATTTTCACTTATTTTCAAATAATTCATCCATCTTCTGTGTGTTCAGTCTTCTCTCAAGAGCAGTGTTAGAGCAGTGAAAGAGTGAAGTACCTTGAAATAGTTGAGCTGCCGTTGTCAGGTTCATGGTTTCGTGGCATAGGAACAATGGTCCTATTTGACTACAGGAGTGGAAACTTTCTCCACAGCTCCCTTATCTCCACAGTTAGATAAGGGAAAACTTGGTTATGAGTGGTCTCAGTCTGTTTGAGATGAGATCTCAACTTTGAAACGCATTTAGGTTTGAGTGAAGATGGGATTATCACTTACCTAGAGAGAGATTAGGGATCTAGCTAAGGGATCACTGAGAAATGAAAACAATTCCAGGGTCCCATTTTGTAGTGGAAGAGAAATTGACAGTCCTGAGGGAATCAAGGTTGTTCTGGATCATTCTGCATTACTGTGTTCCAACTCAGGAACAGATCTATAAAGAGTTGTAGAAAGGAAAATCAACTAGAATGATATGTGGTAGATGATATTGAACTATGGGGAAGAGGTTGGAATTTGTGTCCAACATACATGCCATATTAGTATAATTCTTTATACAATAATATTATTTTTAATAATAGTGCCTTAATACCTTAAGAAAGATGAATCTAATAAGAGGGTGCTTGTCACTTGATTCTTTTTTTTTTCTTTGAGATGGAGTCTCACTCTGTCACCCAGGATAGAGTACAGTGGCGTTATCTTGGCTCACTGCAACCTCTGCTGCCCAGGTTCAAGCGATTCTCCTGCCTCAGCCTCCCAAGTAGCCAGGATTACAGGCACCTGCCACCATGCCCAGCAAATTTTTGTATGTTTAGTAGAGATGGGGTTTCACCATGTTGGCCAGGCTGGTCTTGAATTCCTAACTTCAAGTGATCTGCCCACCTCAGCCTTTCAAAGTGCTGGGATTACAGTCATGAGCCACAATGCCCAGCCTCTTTTTAATTTTTTTTTTTTTTTTTTAGAGATGGGGTCTTGCTCTCTTGCCCAAGCTGGAGTGCAGTTTTGTTATCAAGGTTTACCGCAGCCTCAAACTCCTGGGCTCAAGTGATCCTCCCACCTCAGCCTCCCAAAGTGCTGAGATTACAGGCATAAGCCACCATACTTGGCCATTTTTTCATTCTTTTAACTGAATTTTGAAGAGCAGAAGTTTTTAATTTTTCAAAGTGATAATACCATTTTACATTCCCACCAACAGTGTATGAGAGTTCCATTTCTGGATGAAATCCAGTTTATCAGCTTTTTCTTTTCTTTACAGATTGTACTTTTTCTTTAGGGATTGTACTGTTGGTGTTGTATCTAAGAAATCTTTGCCTCACCCCAAGCTTATGTAGATTTTTATACTGTGTTTTCTCATAGAAGCTCTATAGTTTTATGTTTTATGTTTATCTCCATGTGCCATTTTAAGTTAATCTTGGCATATGGTACAAGGTATGGATAATTTATTTTGCATATAGATATCCAGTTGTTCCTACACCATTTTTTTAAAAGACGGTCCTTTATCCACTGAATTGCCTTTAGTCACTTGTTTAAAGCCAGTTGTCTAGATACGTGTAGGTCTATTTCTCAACTCTGTTCCATTGACTTATTTGTCTACGTTTATGCAAACACCACATACTCTTTATTATTGTAGTATTACGTTAAGCTTTCCAATTAGTAGGGTTGATCCTCCAACTGTGCTCTTCTTCAATGTTGTCTAGGTTATTCTAGATCCTTTGTGTTTTCATCTGAATTTTAGAATCACCTTGTCTATTTTTACAAAAGCTCTGCTGGGATTTTTTTTTTTTTTTTTTTTTTGAGACAGAGTTTCACTCTTGTTGCCCAGGCTGGAGTGCAATGATGTGATCTTGGCTCACTGCAACCTCCACCTCCCAGGTTCAAGCAATTCTCTTGCCTCAGCCTCCTGAGAAGCTGGGATTACAGGCATGCGCTACCACACCTGGCTAATTTTGTATGTTTTAGTAGAGACAGGGTTTCTCCATGTTGGTCAGGCTGGTCTCGAACTCCCAACCTCAGGTGATCCGCCTGCCTCACCCTCCGAAAGTGCTGGGATTACAGGGGTGAGCCATCGCACCTGGCCTCTGCTGGGATTTTGACTGAGATTTTGTTGAATCTGTGGATCTGTTTGCAAAGGTAAGAGTCATCTGACTGATGAACATATTATAGCTTTCTATTTGTTTAGATCTTTTAAGTTTTTTCTCAGTAATTATTTGTAGTTATGAGAGTATTAGTATTGTCATCTTTTGTTAGATTGATTCCTAAGTATTTTATATTTTTCATTTGATATTCAGTATTTTTAATTTTAATTTCCACCAATTGTTGCTAATTAAAATGCCATTTATGTTTAACATATTGAGCTTGTATCTTCTCAGCTTGCTAACTCACTTGATAGTTTTAATGAATTTTTATTAGATTCTATTAGATTTTCTATATAGACAATCATGTTATCTGTGAATAAAGAGATTTTTACTTCTTTTTCAATCTAGATGCTTTTTATTTCTTCTTCTTGCCTGAGTTGCACTGGCTAGAACCGCTAGTACAATGTTGAATAGAAGTGGTGAGAGTAGATATCCTTGCTATATTCCTGATTTGGGGAGGAAAGCATTCAGCCTTTCACTATCAAATGTGATGTTAGCTATGGGTTTTTTATAGATGTCATTCATTGGGTTAAGGATGTTCCCTTCTTTTCTTGTTTCACCAAGGATATCAGCAGTGGATGTTGGCTTTTGTCAGATGCCTTTTCTGCATCTATTGATATGTTCATACGGTTTTTCTTTTGTAGTTTGTGAATATGGTGCATTACCTTGATTGATTTTTAAATGTGAGACAGGCTTGGATTGAGCCTTGGTCATAATAGAGTTCCCTTTCTTATATACTGTTAGATTTGATGTGCTAAAACTTTGTTTGGAATCGTTGCATCTGTGTCCATGATGGATATTGGTTTGTACTTTTCTTGTTCTCAGTGGAATCCAGTGGGCTTTGCTTAGGTTCCCGCTCCCTGTGCCACAGCCTAGAAATTGTCTCCTTACAGTAAACTAGTGTGACTGTAGGTTTCACCTCATTTGTTACTTGTCTTTCAGGTATCATTGCGCAATGTTTTCTGTCTTGAAAACCATGGTTTAATATATTTTGTTCAGATTTTCAGTTGTTTCATACAAGAAGGTAAATTCAATCCCTGTTATTCCGTGTTGGCTGGAAAAGATTTTATAATACAATTGGGGGAGGGGGTAGTTATCAATTCATGGTTTTTCATATTCCTCGAAGAGAAAAGCTGTAACAACTTGTATTTATTAATATTATATGGCTTAGGTACGTAGAAGGTATTGTGCTTATATATACTATTTAATTTGGAAAGTTTGGTGACTTCATTTATTTTTATATATTTGGATTTTTCTCTAATATTACTAAGAAAATTTTGTGTGCTCCAACAGGATTCCTTAAGATTGTGTGGGCACTCTACTTAAGACATGCTAATTTATTTACTCTTATCTAACCATGTCATCATCTTGTAACTCTAGACTACTTCTTTTTACATATTGCCCCTTTATTGCAATTTAATGTTCCATCTTGAAAAGTCTTCTTTACTTTTACAAATAATACACAGGTTTGTCATTTCAGGTGCCATTGACATTCAGCGATGTTGCCATAGACTTCTCTCAGGAGGAGTGGGAATATTTAAACTCGGATCAGAGGGATTTGTACAGAGATGTGATGTTGGAGAATTATACTAACTTGGTCTCATTGGGTAAGAATATCTGCACAAAATGATGTACAATATGCTCTCTAGAATATCAGCCTTCTCTGTTGTATATTTTATGGTCTATGCCAAGAAACCAGCTACATTTCTGCTCCATATTCTCAAAGTTTGTTAGGTGGAAATGGGCATATTTGAAGTTTGTTAGGTGGAATGGGCACCCCCATTCAGCACCTGAATCTTCACTATTCTTCACTTGCCTTTATGCCTGCCTCTGCCCTGTCCTATAATTACTTCTTTTTCTAAATGACTAGAGGTTTGAATTCTGGTATTTTTCTGCAAAGACACTATCAGCAAAAACAAATTTTAAATTATATGTGTGTTCAGAATGTCTGTAAATACTTTAATTGCTAATCTTCCTACATAAAAAACCATGGTTTTCTCTTTACCACAAAAGAGCCTCCATAATTTTTATAGTAGTAGAATGAATTAAGATTATTCTCTTTTTTACTGTTATTTTTGTAGTTCTAGCAGTTGGCCTGTTGGCTTCCAGTGATCTGATAGATTCCATGCAGAAGGGGCAGTCTTTGTTCAGTTTTTGGAAGATAGGTGACCATTCTCTCCTCCCATCTGGGACTTTAATTACACCTATGTTAGACCTTTTGAGCATATCCCACAACTTTTTCATGTCCTTATCTGCTTTTCTCCTCTCTTTCCCCTCTATTTTTCATATGATGGAGTTTGAATGTTTCCTGTTGACCTGTATTCCAGCTCACTTATTCTGTTTTCTAAAGAGGGGTTTTTCATGTCAGATATTGTCTTTTTCAGTTCCAGAAATTCAATTTAATTCTCTTTTATAACTTCCAAATACTTGTTGAAATCTTCATTCTTTTATTTGCTTTCCTTTTATTACTAAATTTTCATCTGTTTTCTTGGAACATTTTAATCATAGTTAATTTTTTAATTCTTTTATGCCTCATTTTTTGTATCATCTGGGGGTCTGCTTCTTTATTGTTTCTTTCTTTTAATCTTGTTATTTGTCATTTGTTAATGCATCTTCAAGTTACTAGTAGTTGTGATTGTATGCTGGGCATTGCATATAAAATAACTGAAGAGGTTTCAGATGATGCTATCTTCCACCAGAGGGTATTTATGTTTTCCTCTGTTAGTCTGATAGAATGCAGGCTGATGACAGTAATACAACCAGGAATTAAATGGGTCACTGCTGGTTTTCAGTTTGATAATGCTCAGCTACCTCTTTGTAAACGCTGTTCTTTTAACTCCTGCTGTACTTAGAATCAGGGAGTTTTTTCAGGGGAAAAGTAGTTGTAGAGCCTTAGGGCCAACTTACCACTCCTGGCTGGTGGAAACAGGAACTATCCCCTAACTACCCTTGGTGACTTTCAGGTATTGTTCTGCCTACCCCTATATGGTGGTGCTTTCCTTTGCCTCATTAGTTTGCTCACATGTAAATTCATATCAGTACTCAGCCAGAGCCTCCAGGGTAGTTCCATCAGAGTGAACAGGCAACCTACAAAATGGGAGAAAATTTTCGCAACCTACTCATCTGACAAAGGGCTAATATCCAGAATCTACAATGAACTCAAACAAATTTACAAGAAAAAAACAAACAACCCCATCAAAAAGTGGGCGAAGGACATGAACAGACACTTCTCAAAAGAAGACATTTATGCAGCCAAAACCACATGAAAAAATGCTCACCATCACTGGCCATCAGAGAAATGCAAATCAAAACCACAATGAGATACCATCTCACACCAGTTAGAATGGCAATCATTAAAAAGTCAGGAAACAACAGGTGCTGGAGAGGATGTGGAGAAATAGGAACACTTTTACACTGTTGGTGGGACTGTAAACTAGTTCAACCATTGTGGAAGTCAGTGTGGCGATTCCTCAGGGATCTAGAACTAGAAATACCATTTGACCCAGCCATCCCATTACTGGGTATATACCCAAAGGACTATAAATCATGCTGCTATAAAGACACATGCACACGTATGTTTATTGCGGCATTATTCACAATAGCAAAGACTTGGAACCAACCCAAATGTCCAACAATGATAGACTGGATTAAGAAAATGTGGCACATATACACCATGGAATACTATGCAGCCATAAAAATGATGAGTTCATGTCCTTTGTAGGGACATGGATGAAATTGGAAACCATCATTCTCAGTAAACCATCGCAAGAACAAAAAACCAAACACCGCATATTCTCAGTCATAGGTGGGAATTGAACAATGAGATCACATGGACACAGGAAGGGGAACATCACACTCTGGGGACTGTTGTGGGGTGGGGGGAGGGGGGAGGGATAGCATTGGGAGATATACCTAATGCTAGATGACGAGTTAGTGGGTGCAGCACACCAGCATGGCACATGTATACGTATGTAACTAACCTGCACAATGTGCACATGTACCCTAAAACTTAAAGTATAATAATAAAAAATAAATAAATAAATAAATAAAAATAAAGTAAAAGGGGAAATCTGATCCCTCTTAATGTTTCATAACTAAAAGCACAAGTTATTTTCTGTTATCTTTAAAAGCTTCTTTGCATTTTAGTACAAGAGGTTCCAGATTCGCCTTGTATCTTCCCTCCCTGAACTAGGAATTAGCTATTTCTCCAAGGCACCCTAGTTCACATTAATGGGAAATAGTATATAGAGACCGAAGCCTGGCCAACAGGGAGCTAACTAATTGTGACCAGCTGTTTGTGGGGAAAAATATTTTAAATTTTTTTTCTATTTTTTTCATGGAAATTGGTCTGTTTAGATTTTCCATCTCTTCTGGAGTCTATTTGTTGTTATTGTTTTACTTTCATTTTGAAATAATTTTAGAGTTATAGACAAGTTACAAATGTGGTACCACAGGTTCCTATAATGATAACATCTTACATAATCATGGTACATTTATGCAAACTAGCAAGTTAACATTGTTAACAAAACTATAGGCAAACTATTAGCAAAACTATAGATTTTATTCAGTGTACCAGTTTTTCCACTGTCCTTTTTTCTATTCCGTGATTCAATCCAGGATATCACATTGCATTTAGCCATCATGTGTTTTAGTTTCCTCCTACCTGTGACAGTTTCTTTGTCTTTCCTTGTCCTTTCTGGCCTTGATACTTTTTGAAGAGTACTAGTCAGGTATTTTGAAAAGTGCCGGACAATTTGGGTTTGTTGAATTTTTTATGATTAAACTGGGATTATCGGCTTTGGGGAAGAATACCAGAGAAGTAGCTTTCTCATCATATTGTATCAGAAATACATGATATCAGCATGATTTATTGCTGAGGTATTAACCTTATAAATTTGTTTAAGGTGATGTCCGTCATTTTTCTTCACTGTAAAGTTATTATTTTTCCCTTTTCATATTCTGTTTGCTAGAAGCCAGCCAGTAAGTCTAGCTGGTGTCACTTTTGATAAATTTTATTTTCAGGAAGATTCATCATTTCATGTACATTTGAAATATATTAGCACAGTTGTATGATTTTTTTAACATTCTTTATTTCTTTATTGATGGTCATTTCCCCCTTGTCATTATATTTGGATTTTCCCTCCTATCTTTTATTCCTTAGGTATAAAGGAAATAATGGTTTGTATGTGTTAATTCTACTGTTTTATTTAAATTTTGCTTGTATTATATTTTTCTTTTCTGCAGTCCATCATTCTTTTCCTAATGTCTCCCTAATTTTTATTTATATTTATTTATTTATTTTTGAGACAGAATCTCACTCTGTCGCCCAGGCTAGAGTACAGTGGCGCAATCTCAGCTCACTGCAACCTCTGCCTCCTGGGTTCAAATGATTCTTGTGCCTCAGCTTCCCAAGGAGCTAGGACTATAGGTGTGTGCCACCACACCTGGCTAATTTTTGTAATTTTAGATTTCCTATTGTTGGCCAGGTTGGTCTTGAACTCTTGGCCTCAAACAATCTGCCTGCTTCGGCCTCCCAAAGTGCTGGGATTACAGGCATGAGCCATTGAGCCTGGCTGTTTTCCCTAATTTTTAAATGAAATGCTTCATTTATTCATTTTAATTCTTTTATTTTTAATTAGATGTAAGCATGTTAATCTTTGAGTTTGCCTTGGTGCATTATAACTGAAAGCCATAGATTCTGATATGTAGTATCTCCATTATCACTGTCTTCAAGAAATTCTACAGTTTCAGTTTGTATTTTGTCTTTGACCTAAGAGTAGTTGTTGAGTACTTTCTGTTTATAAATAGGAAGTGTTTTGGCTGTTTGATATTGCTACTTATCCTTTATTGCATTGGCTCAGAGGATAACATCTGTATTATTTTGACTTTTTAAATTTATACTTTTTTCACAGAATTCCACTTGTTTTCAATACTTGACCCATTTAGCATATTAGATTTCAAAGGCTGCTCCCTCACACAGATTATCAATCTTCAGCCTACGTCCAATATATTCTTTGTTGCAAACTACTAGGCACTCAGTTTCCTAGACTCTTGCCCCATTTTTTACTTTATTTTTCCCAATATCCCCAGGTTTATTTGCTTTGACTTTGATAAGCCTTTCAATATATTAATTCGTGCAATTCCTGAAAAATTACTGAGATGCATTTCTGTAGAATTCAAGAATGATCCACCTTGGCTTTAAATGAATAGAAGGTAGAATTTGGGAAAGGCATTGAAGAAACACAACAGATTGAAAATGTGTAGAATGAAAAGAAGTAAAACCTTCAACCTTACAGGCATTATTTGTAGATTTAAAAAAAAAATTATTTAAAACATTACAGTAAAAATTAATGCAACACGTGATTACTTTGATTGAGATAGAAACAGAAAAGCATGGCTATGCAAAGGAAAGAATGAACACCAGTGGTAGAGGCATGTATATTTTTAAGGGGACAGGTTATTGCAGAATGGCCACATATCAGCCTTTTCCACTTATATTCTTGACTGAGCTATTTTGGAAGTGCATTTTTCTCACCTGTAAAGTAAATGTGAGGTAAAAGATTAATAAGGAGTGAGAGATTGGAGTCAGGGAGAGATACCTGATAATTTTTACATAATTTTCAGAAATGAAATGGTTAGTTTACTCAGCTCTCTTTTCCAATGACCTTTATTTTCATCCAGTTTACATTTTTAACTCAACATTTCATTCTACAATGAATTATGTAATACTTACCAATGGTAGGGACTTGTTTTTCAATGGGAGTTGAAAGAAGATTTGCACCTATGCTATGTTTTAGGGTAACAAAATAAGTAGTAAAACAAATGAGATTTAGTAAATATGTAATTGAGAGAAGGAGTATAAAGGCAAATAATTGGGAAATGGAATCTAGACTTAAAAATATGAATTTACTTAAAGTTAGCCAATTATTTAAAGAAGCCACTTAAGAGGATTTCTGAAAGGTGGAACATCTATGTAACACCCCAGGAGATGGGAAAGATTTGTGGTGTGTTCTCACAGCTGAAAAGATGCAATGTGGTACAATATAGGGAGCAGATATCAAGGGCTTGAAATGAATTTGTGTGGATAAGACAGGGCCTTTTATTCATGGTTATGTGTTTGGTTTTCATTCTAAGATAAAGCCAAACCACTGACAATTATATAGAGAGCAATGTGATAATGTTAGGAATAGAGATATTCAGGACATACTCCTGTGCATTCTGATCCACTCAGTCTGAGTGGATATCTAAAAGATAGTGTATGTAAAATGCTCCTATGGTAATTCTGATTTGCAACTAAATATGAGAACTAGTGACTTTGTCTTTGCCTACTCATAAATCTTACATCCTCCTGTGCACTTTCATAATTTTCTGAGCCCTTCTTGCCTTTTAAAAATTGCATGGCAGTACTTTAGAATTTTCTAAACTCTTTTATTACTAACAGATACACTTTTTAGTTTATCACTATTTTTAATATAGATGTCCTCTCCCTACCCCTATTATTGGAAAATAGCATTTGTTTGTTTTTTCATTTTCTTCCAGACTTTAATTTCACAACTGAAAGCAACAAGTTATCTTCAGAAAAAAGAAATTATGAAGTAAATGCGTACCATCAGGAGACATGGAAAAGAAATAAAACCTTCAACCTTATGAGGTTTATTTTCAGAACTGACCCACAGTACACAATTGAATTTGGGAGACAACAGAGACCTAAAGTGGGATGTTTTAGTCAAATGATATTCAAAAAACATAAATCCCTTCCTCTACATAAGAGAAATAACACAAGAGAGAAATCATATGAGTGTAAGGAATATAAGAAGGGCTTTAGAAAATATTTGCACCTTACTGAACATCTGAGAGACCATACTGGTGTGATACCCTATGAATGTAATGAATGTGGAAAAGCATTTGTAGTTTTCCAGCATTTTATTAGACATCGAAAAATCCACACTGATTTGAAACCCTATGAATGCAATGGATGTGAGAAGGCCTTTAGGTTTTATTCACAGCTTATTCAGCATCAGATAATTCATACTGGTATGAAACCCTATGAATGTAAGCAATGCGGGAAGGCTTTTAGACGTCATTCTCACCTTACAGAACATCAGAAAATTCATGTTGGCTTGAAACCCTTTGAATGTAAGGAATGTGGGGAAACGTTTAGATTATATCGACATATGTGTCTGCATCAGAAAATTCATCATGGTGTGAAACCCTACAAATGTAAAGAATGTGGAAAGGCTTTTGGTCATCGTTCAAGTCTTTACCAACATAAGAAAATTCATTCTGGTGAGAAACCATATAAATGTGAACAATGTGAAAAGGCCTTTGTTCGCAGCTATCTACTTGTTGAACATCAAAGAAGTCATACTGGTGAGAAACCTCATGAATGCATGGAATGTGGAAAGGCTTTTGGTAAGGGCTCAAGCCTTCTTAAACATAAGAGAATTCATAGTAGTGAGAAACTCTATGATTGTAAGGATTGTGGAAAGGCCTTTTGTAGAGGCTCTCAACTTACACAGCATCAGAGAATTCATACTGGTGAGAAGCCACATGAATGTAAAGAATGTGGGAAGACTTTTAAGCTTCATTCATATCTTATTCAACATCAGATAATTCATACTGATTTGAAGCCATATGAATGTAAGCAATGTGGGAAAGCCTTCAGTCGTGTTGGAGACCTTAAGACACATCAATCAATTCATGCTGGGGAGAAACCCTATGAATGTAAGGAATGTGGAAAAACCTTTAGACTTAATTCTCAACTAATTTATCATCAGACAATTCATACTGGTTTGAAACCCTATGTATGTAAAGAATGTAAGAAGGCCTTTCGTTCTATCTCAGGTCTTTCTCAACATAAGAGAATTCATACTGGTGAAAAACCCTATGAATGTAAAGAATGTGATAAGGCCTTTAATCGCAGTGATCGACTTACTCAACATGAGACAATTCATACTGGTGTGAAACCACAGAAATGCAAAGAATGTGGTAAGGCCTTTAGTCATTGCTATCAACTTAGTCAACATCAAAGATTTCACCATGGTGAGAGACTCTTAATGTAATGAGAGGGAAAGCCTTTAGCCATGGCACATTTTTACTGTTGTCACTATTATGATGCTATAGTGAAGATTAAACTAGTTAATATAGAATATAAATACTTGGAAAGGCATCTGGCACATCGTATTTGCTTACTAAATACATTATTTTTATGATAATTGTTAGAATTACTAAAAATAAATCTTATAGAAGGAAGACCCTATGAGTGTGATATTTTGAAAATGCTCTATCATCACTTCATATAATTTATTCTGGACAAAATCCTGTAGAATATATTAAATGAGAAATTTTTAAATTCAGAATTCATACCCCTGAAGATTAATGCTGGAATAAATAATGTGTATTTATTGAATAATGAAAGGATAGCTGTTGAAAATTAGAGAGTGGTTTAAAGAAATTTTTTCACAAATCCTATAATACAGATAACACATATTTTGCATCCTCTACAATTAAAATAAATTAGAAATGAACAGTTAGGTAGCCAAAAGACAGATATTAACTTGGAAAAGTTTTCCCTAAGTTTATGAAAATGTTAAGATTTACATCCTTACAGAAAAGGTAGCTGTTTACAGTGGTGCAGTGAAGGCTTGTTTGCCCTTCACCTAGTTTCAGTACATCTGATGTCTCTCTTTTTTATGTGTATACTAACACATATATACACACAAATACATATATACCATGCATGTCTTATGTCTATGTATATACACAGATGCATATATATATATATCATACTTATTACACATGAATATATGTATATATTACATATATCACTTTTCCTGTTTTTTGAGTGAATGTTTTAGGTATCATTCACCTCTAAAAAAAAGGCAACATACAACTGCTAGGATCAAAGATAATCTTCTAGATGTCTACTACACCATTGTCACAAAAAAATTAACAGTAACCCTATAATGTCTTAAAATATTCACTCCATTTGCAAATTTCTCCAATTTTTAAAATAATGTCTTTTAGCACTGTCTTTTTCACAAGCCAAGAACCAAACTAATCTCATATATTTTATATGATTATGGCTTATTAAGTCTCTTTTAGTCAAGAGCCTACCCTTCATCATTTTGTGACATAGACTTTTTGAAGACTTTAGATTTGACCTAAATAGTGTTGCACATGCTGTGTTTGTCTTATTGTTTCTGGAGGTGTGATTAACTTGTTTCTTTGTCCTCTATATTTACTGTGACCTGGAGGTTATGATTAGAGGCTTGATTGGGTTTCAGATTAAACATTTTCAAAAGACTACTTCATAGATAGTATCATGTACTTAATATTGTAAAGTATCAGGTGGCCTACAAGTGAAACTATGTTTTATCCCTTGATTCATGTATTGACCACCAGCTCCTTCCATTGTTATGGGTGAATTTTTTCTTTGCAATTAAATAAGTAATCCATGGAAAGTCATGTTGGAAATTTGAACAGTCTTCTGTATTCTATTTTTAGAGATGGGGTATTGCTATGTTGCCCAGGCTGGAATTCAGTGGCTATTCACAGATGTTATATAGCACACTACAGCCTTGAACTCCTGAGCTCAGGCAATCCTCCTGCCTCAACCTCTGGAGTAGCTGGGACTATAGGCACACAGTGCTACACCCAGTTGCTTAAAGAAATTAAGATGAAAATCCTCATCTTTTATATTTACCCATATATTTACTATTTCCCATGCTGTTTATTTCTTTCCAGAGATCTGAATTTTTCTCTGGTATCATTTCCCTACAGTTTGAGGAACTTAACTTAGCATTTCTTGGAGTGAACGTCTGCTGGTGATGAATTTTCATAGTTTCTTTTACTGAAATGCCTTTATTTTTTAAGGATTTCTTCTGGCTATAGAATTCTGGGTTGGCAGTTTTTTGGAGATATATGAATATATGTGTGTGTATATGCACACACACAAAGAATACACACACATATATATACTCATAAAGAGATATATATTGTTTCATATATGTATATATAAATCACCGACTTCTGGTCTTCAAGTCTCCATAGTTTACAAGAAGAAGTCATTTGAATTGTTTTTTCTCTTATGTAATGTGTCCTTTTTCTCTGGGTGCTTTCCAGATTTTCTTATTACTTTTGGTTTTCAGCTGTTTGAGTATGAGGTGCCTAGGTATGGTTTTCTTTGTGTTAATTCTGCTTGGGGTACTCTGAGCCTCTGAAATTTGCACACATGTGCCTTTCACCAAATTCCAGAAATTCTTGGCCATTATATCTTCAAATATTTTTTCTGCATTTACTCTACTCATACGTTAAATCTTTTGGTACTGTCCCACAGGTCACTGTCTTTGTTATTTATCTTCAGTATTTTTTTTCTGTTCTTCAGCTTGGACAACTTCTGTTACTCTGTTTTCAAATTCACTTATTCTTTTTCTCTGTCATTTCAGTTCTGCTGCTAAGCCTATCTATCAAATTGTTTAATTTCAGATATTACATTTTTCAGTTCTAGAATTTTCCTTTAGTACTTTTATAGTTCCTATTTCTTTACTAAGATTGCCTATTTCTTCATTGCATGCATCTTTTCACAAGGCTTTTCAGTCCTGTTAAAATCCTCTATATATTGATTCATGCTAGAAAAATATATAAAATCATTATTATGAACTTATACAGTGAAAAGTTTTCATTTCAATGAATGTTCCTATTATTTTCACTAGGTCACGAAAAAAAAGCTTTCCTTTCCTTGGAGTTTCAGATTTTGCTTATTCATATGCAATGTGATACTGGTGAGAAAAAAAATCACTGTCTTCTTTTTCCTTTATTATTAAATATTTGGAAAACTTTCTTTAAAGAAAATCTTGAACTGGAGTTCAAAGTACGAGAAATCTTTGTAAATGTCTTACACCATTAAACAGATGAGCATTGGGAAAGAACATAAGATTAATTGTTCTCTATTTCTTTTTTGTTTTGTTTTGTTATGTTTTTTTGAGACGGAGTCTCACTCTATCACCTAGGCTGGAGTGCAGTGGCGCGATCTCGGCTCACTGCAAGCTCCGCCTCCCAGGTTCATGCCATTCTCCTCAGCCTCCCGAGTAGCTGGGACTACAGGTGCCCACCACCACACCTGGCTAATTTTTTGTAGTTTTAGTAGAGACGGGGTTTCACCGTGTTAGCCAGGATGGGCTTGATCTGCTGACCTCATGATCGCCCCCCTCAGCCTCCCAAAATGCTGGGATTACAGGCGTCAGCCACCAAGCCTGACCTCTATTTCTTTTAACAGTTCCATGAAGTAGTCGTGATTCATAATATTTACATGTATATACTTCATAGGTATATTCTTTATACAGTAGAGCAAAGCAGTTAGGGAGACATCAGTCTCTTGCATTAAAATTCCAAGGAATTCAGATTTTTAACCTAATACAGCTGGTGTATCATCTATTGTGATAGAAATATTTTTTGATACCTAACAGAAATTTTTCTTTGACAGATATAAAAGACAAAAATATCTATGTCATGACTCTGGTTTTGTAGGCTGCGAATTGACAGCTTTTTTTATTTGGGGATCTTTTGAGACAAAATGTACCCACAGTATCAATTGGGCTAAATTATCTTATATTGCACAACTCATATATGGCTAAAGAAGAGTACTTGAAGCTTTTGCTAACTTTGAATTAATTGATCCATGATATTGTTAGAAATATCTTGTATTCTATGAGCAGTTTTTAGGTGACTTAATTTTTTTTTACTTTTTATAAGATCATTTTAGTCTTTCTCAGAATATGCTAACAAGATTTTTGCAACCAAACTAATAATTTATCTTATCTCTATATCCAACATTTCTTTTTTGTGCAAGAATCAGAGCCATTTTATAGCTCAAAAAGGTTATAAACTCAGATTCTGTTTAAAAATTGTTTAAATATTTTGGTTGGACATTTAATTCTAATTTCAGGCAACTAACTTCATCTATTCCATTTTGCTTCTCAAGAGAAAACGTCTCATCAAATTTACTATGTATTTGCTGAAAATGTTTCACAATATTTTTCTCTTTAACAATTTAATTTGTTATGTAATAAACAGCTTTTTTTTTTTGCTCTCTCACAGCAAATTGCAATTGACATTCATCATGAAATTCATAGTATATTATCTTCCAGGCTCATTTTTTACAATTCTGACCATAGTACTGGTCTCCACTCAATTCTGTGTAATATGCCTTCATTTATTTTAAATTTTAAATTTTGTCCATACTTACTTTTCAACCTAGAATAATAATTTAATTATAAAGTACTAAGTATTTCCATTTAATTACTAATAATTATTTCCTTAGTATCACTGTAACTCTTCTTCTTTTTGAAGTATTCAAATAAATACATCAAGGCAGGGCACAATGGCTCACACCTGTAATCTCAGCATTTGGAAGGCTGAGGCAGGCGGATCACTTGAGGCCAGGAGTTCTTGGCCCGGCCAACATGGCAAAACCCCGACGTTACTAGAAATACAAAAATTAGCCTGGTGCAGTGATGCATGCCTGTAATCCCAGCTCCTCAGGAGGCCGAAGCACAAGAATTGCTTGAACTTGGGAGGCGGAGGTTGCAGTGAGCCGAAATGGTGCCACTGCCCTCCAACCTGGGCAACAGAGTGAGCTCTTGTCAAAAACAAAAAATAAAACAAAAAAAAAAACCCAGAGCTAATACTTTCCATGAATGTTTCCACGTAAGGACTCATCCCCAACTCATCAAAAATTCAGAGTATCTGCAACAGGAAGACACTTACAGAACATTTCCATCATTCCTAAAAGTTCTCTCTTGCTTCTTATCTTTCATTCTCCTAAGGCTACTGTTGTTCTGATTTCTATTACAATTAATGTGTTTTACCTTATCTTGATCTTCATGTAAATGGAATCATACATTATGAATACTACTATTCCTTAATTCTTTCATTCAATAGAAAAATTTGAGATTCTGCTATGTTATTCCTTAGATTAGTAGTTTATAGCTTTTTACTATTTAGTAATATTCAAGGTATGAATATACCATAGTTTATTCATCTGTTCTTCTATTGATGGATTTTTGAATAGTTTGCAGGAATTTTTTTATTATAAAATCTCTCCAAATAGATTTTTTAAGATAAAAAATTATTTCCCTCATTGATTTGCATAGGTGACTCTTATAAATCAATTGGTTGTATATATTTGGAATTATTTCTGGAGCCTGTCTTCTGTTACACTGATATATTTAACTTTCCTTATACAAATACTACACTCTATGAAATAGCTTTATATTAAGCTTTGAAACAAGGTAAGCTAAATATCCCAAAGTTTTGAAGATGGCCGAATAGGAACAGCTCCGGTCTACCGCTCCCAGCGTGAGCGTCGCAGAAGACGGTGATTTCTGCATTTCCATCTGAGGTACCGGGTTCATCCCACTAGGGAGTGCCAGACAGTGGGCGCAGGTCAGTGGGTGCGCGCACCGTGCGGGAGCAGAAGCAGGGCGAGGCAATGCCTCACTTGGGAAGTGCAAGGGGTCAGGGAGTTCCCTTTCCAAGTCAAAGAACGGAGTGACGGATGGCACCTGGAAAATCGGGTCACTCCCACCCGAATACTGCGCTTTTCCGGCGGGCTTAAAAAAACGGCGCACCACGAGATTATATCCCGCACCTGGCTCGGAGGGTCCTACACCCACGGAGTCTCGCTGATTGCTAGCACAGCAGTCTGAGATCAAACTGCAAGGCGGCAGCGAGGCTGGGGGAGGGGCGCCTGCCATTGCCCAGGCTTGATTAGGTAAACAAAGCAGCCGGGAAGTTCGAACTGGGTGGAGCCCACCACAGCTCAAGGAGGCCTGCCTGCATCTGTAGGCTCCACCTCTGGGGGCAGGGCACAGACAAACAAAAAGATAGCAGTAACCTCTGCAAACTTAAAATGTCCCTGTCTGACAGCTTTGAAGAGAGCAGTGGTTCTCCCAGCACGCAGCTGGAGATCTGAGAACGGGCAGACTGCCTCCTCAAGTGGGTCCCTGACCCCTGACCCCCAAGCAGCCTAACTGGGAGGCACCCCCCAGCAGGGGCACACTGACACCTCACATGGCAGGGTATTCCAACAGACCTGCAGCTGAGGGTCCTGTCTGTTAGAAGGAAAACTAACAAACAGAAAGGACATCCACACCAAAAACCCATCTGTACATGACCATCATCAAAGACCAAAAGTAGATAAAACCACAAAGATGGGGAAAAAACAGAACAGAAAAACTGGAAACTCTAAAAAGCAGAGCGCCTCTCCTCCTCCAAAGGAATGCAGTTCCTCACCAGCAACGGAACAAAGCTGGATGGAGAACGACTTTGACGAGCTGAGAGAAGAAGGCTTCAGACGATCAAATTACTCTGAGCTACGGGAGGACATTCAAACCAAAGGCAAAGAAGTTGAAAACTTTGAAAAAAATTTAAAAGAATGTATAACTAGAATAACCAATACAGAGAAGTGCTTAAAGGAGCTGATGGAGCTGAAAACCAAGGCTCGAGAACTACGTGAAGAATGCAGAAGCCTCAGGAGCCGATGCGATCAACTGGAAGAAAGGGTATCAGCAATGGAAGATGAAATGAATGAAATGAAGCGAGAAGGGAAGTTTAGAGAAAAAAGAATAAAAAGAAATGAGCAAAGCCTCCAAGAAATATGGGACTATGTGAAAAGACCAAATCTACGTCTGATTGGTGTACCTGAAAGTGACGGGGAGAATGGAACCAAGTTGGAAAACACTCTGCAGGATATTATCCAGGAGAACTTCCCCAATCTAGCAAGGCAGGCCAACGTTCAGATTCAGGAAATACAGAGAACACCACAGAGATACTCCTCGAGAAGAGCAACTCCAAGACACATAATTGTCAGATTCACCAAAGTTGAAATGAAGGAAAAAATGTTAAGGGCAGCCAGAGAGAAAGGTCGGGTTACCCTCAAAGGGAAGCCCATCAGACTAACAGCGGATCTCTCAGCAGAAACCCTACAAACCAGAAGAGAGTGGGGGCCAATATTCAACATTCTTAAAGAAAAGAATTTTCAACCCAGAATTTCATATCCAGCCAAACTAAGCTTCATAAGCGAAGGAGAAATAAAATACTTTACATACAAGCAAATGCTGAGAGATTTTGTCACCACCAGGCCTGCCCTAAAAGAGCTCCTGAAGGAAGCGATAAACATGGAAAGGAACAACCGGTACCAGCCGCTGCAAAATCATGCCAAAATGTAAAGACTATCAAGACTAGGAAGAAACTGCATCAACTAACGAGCAAAATAACCAGCTAACATCATAATGACAGGATCAAATTCACACATAACAATATTAACTTTAAATGTAAATGGACTAAATGCTCCAATTAAAAGACACAGACTGGCAAATTGGATAAAGAGTCAAGACCCATCACTGTGCTGTATTCAGGAAACCCATCTCACGTGCAGAGACACATATAGGCTCAAAATAAAAGGATGGAGGAAGATCTACCAAGCAAATGGAAAACAAAAAAAGGCAGGGGTTGCAATCCTAGTCTCTGATAAAGCAGACTTTAAACCAACAAAGATCAAAAGAGACAAAGAAGGCCGTTAAAAAATGGTAAAGGGATTGATTCAACAAGAAGAGCTAACTATCCTAAATATATATGCACCCAATACAGGAGCACCAAGATTCATATAGCAAGTCCTGAGTGACCTACAAAGAGACTTAGACTCCCACACATTAATAATGGGAGACTTTAACACCCCACTGTCAACATTAGACAGATCAACGAGACAGAAAGTCAACAAGGATACCCAGGAATTGAACTCAGCTCTGCACCAAGCAGACCTAATAGACATCTACAGAACTCTCCACCCCAAATCAACAGAATATACATTTTTTTCAGCACCACACCACACCTATTCCAAAATTGACCACATACTTGGAAGTAAAGCTCTCCTCAGCAAATGTAAAAGAACAGAAATTATAACAAACTATCTCTCAGACCACAGTGCAATCAAACTAGAACTCAGGATTAAGAATCTCACTCAAAACCGCTCAACTACATGGAAACTGAACAACCTGCTCCTGAATGACTACTGGGTACATAACGAAATGAAGGCAGAAATAAAGATGTTCTTTGAAACCAAAGTTTTTCCTCTTCAAGACTGCTCTTGGCAATTCTAGACCTTTTTATTTCTATGTGCATTTTAGAATTAGCTTGGAAAGATTTACAAAATGTTTGCTGGGATTTTTGTTAGGATTGCATTGAATCTTCATATCAATTTGGGAAGAATAAACATCTTAACAATGTGGAGTATTTCAATCCATGAACATGGTATATTTCTCTATATATTTAGGTTTTGTTCAATTTCACCTAGCAGTATTCTGCCTTCAAAAACACATTATGGGGCATAAACTCCCAACTTTCTGCCACTGCATAGCTATTGCCATCATTCATAAATCACACATGCACATTAACCAAAAGTAAATACTAGCAAAGCAAATACAGTCTGCCCTCTGTATTTGTGGATTGTGCATCTGCAGATTCAACCAACTGAGGACCAAAAAAATAGCAATAAGACAATAAAAAATGCAAAATTTTAAAAATACAGTATAACAACTACAGTTGACCCTTGAAAGTCCAGAGGTTAGGAGTGCCAACCCCCTGTACAGTCAGAAATCGAGAGGTAACTTTTGACTCCACCAATTAGTAACTTCTACTAATAACCTACTATTGAGCATTACCAATAACATAAACAGTCAATTAACACAATTTTGTATGCTATATGTATTACACACTGTATTCGTAAAATGAAGCTAGAGAAAGAAAAAAAAATTTTTTTTGAGAAAGAGTCTCGCTCTGTCACCCAGGCTGGAGTGCAATGGCGTGATCTCAGCTCACTGAAACCTCTGCCTCTGGAGTTTAAGCGATTTTTGTGCCTCAGCCTCCCTAGTAGCTGGGACTACAGGCAGACACCACCACGCCCAGCTAATTTTTTGTATTTTTAGTAGAGACGGGGTTTTGCCATGTTAGCCAGGCTGGTCTTGAACTCCTGACCTCAGGTGATCTGCCTGCCTCGGCCTCCCAAAGTGCTGGCCGAGAAAGAAAAATATTTTAAAGAAAATCATAAAGAGAAAATACATTTACAGTACCATACTGTATTTATCAATAACATATTTACATAATCTGTTTATAAGATGAATCATCTGTCTGAAATGGCAGGCAACTGCAGCCACAGACCTCAGTCTATGGTACGTGACAAGCAATTCAACTTTTTCTTGTAATGTAATAACTTTTCACGGCTTCCTGGGAGCACTTCGAATATCACAAGCAGTGCTTTGTATGGGCACCATGCTGTTATTCATCGTTTACAGTATTGCACTGCACATGATGAAAAATATATGAGAACTGCAAGAGATCACTTTTTACTGCAATATGCAATTTACTGGAGAGATAAACTGCTCCCACAGAAATGACTAGTATCACATAGTGTTTTAAGTGAATACTTGCAACACTTGCATCCACTGCAATAACAACTGGAGGTGGCTATGATATTATTATAATAGAACAGTATGTTCTACGGTTAATTTTATGCAGTTATAATTTAATACTGCATCTTTACAATTAATTACATTTCTCCAACTGCAAACGGTGCCATGTATGGTCTGTAAGTGTTTGTGTGTGTGAGATTTAATATATTTTAACTTTTTAAAAATTTTGTCATTTGTTAAAACAGCATCTATATACCTAAAGATTGTTACATACATTCAAGAATTATTATTTATGCAGTATACAGATAATTCTTGATACACAGAGCAAGGTATTCCCAATACCCTTGCTCTGACTTAGTGATATGTCTCTCTTCCCCCTCCACCTCCAGAAGTAGAGAAATACTTCTAAAGATATATAATACTTCAAAAAATTATTTCTAGCAATTTTTTCCTAATTAGCACCTAAGCATCTATTCATTTGGATGATTACAATTAAAATTAAATTGTTATGAAATACTTTATGGGGTTAAAAACCTATTATTTTACTTATAGAAACTTAAAAATTGACAAATGTACATATTTATGTGGTACATAGTGATGTTTATGTATATATATACACACACATACATATAAAATGCATAGTGATTAGATCAGAGTAATTAGCATAGCCATCATTTCATATATTTCATTTCTTTGTATTGGGAATATTCAATATCCTCCTTCTAACTATTTGAAACTATATATTACTGTTAACTATAGGCATCCCACAGTAGTATAGAATACTAGAATTTATTTTTCCTATCTAGCTGTGATTTTTTCATCCTTCAACAAATCTGTTCATATTCTC
Source organism: Homo sapiens (assembly GCF_000001405.40). Classification (NCBI taxonomy): domain Eukaryota; kingdom Metazoa; phylum Chordata; class Mammalia; order Primates; family Hominidae; genus Homo; species Homo sapiens. The sequence goes on along the minus strand of NC_000019.10, from coordinate 43,862,302 downwards.
CCCTTCTCAACCTATAGTATCCTCTGTTCTACTTTTTACTTCTGTGAGATCAACTTTTTTGGTTTCCACATATGAATGAGAACATGTGGCAGTTAACTTTCTGTTCTTGGCTTATTTCACTTAACATAATGTCCTACACTTCCATCCATGTTACTGTGAATGACAGGATTTCATTCTTTTTATGGCTTAGTACTCCACTGTGTATATATACCACATTTTCTTTATCCATTCATTTGTTGTTGGACACCCAGGTTGATTTCATGTCTTAGCTATTATACATAGTGCTGCAATAAATATGGGGATGTAGATGTCTCTTGGATATACGGATATCCTGTCCTTTGATAAATGTCTGGGTGGGATTGCTGGACCATATGATTACTTCTATTCGTAGGTTTTTTTGAGGAGCCTTCATACTGTTCTCCACAGTGGCCATACAAGTTTACATTCCCATCAACAGTATATAAGAGTTCCCTTTTCTCCACAGTTTTGCCAGCACTTGCTAATTTTTTTGTCATTTTGATAATAACCATCCTAAGTGGGATGAGATGACACTTCATTTTGGTTTTGATTTGCATTTACCTGATGATAAGGCTGGGAATTTTTCATATATTTGTCATCCATTTCTGTGTCTTCTTTTGAGAAATGCCTGTTCAAAAAATTTGCCCATTTTTTTAACCAAAAATTTTTTTGCTGTTGAAATGTATATTCTGGATATTAATCCCCTGTTAGATAAATAGTTTGCAAACATTTTCCCCAATTCTCTAGGTTGTCTTTTCACTCTGATGATTGTTTCCTCTGCTGTGCAGAAGCCTTTTTAGTTTGATATAATTTCATTCGTTTATTTTTGCTTTTGTTGCCTGTGGTCTTACTTAAAAAAAAAAAAAATTCATTAAAATTTTTCCCAGACCAGTGTCCTGAAACATTTCCCCTATGTTTTCTTCTAGTAGTTTTGTGGTTTGGGGTCTTACATTTGGTATTTGATCCATTTTGAGTTTATTTTTGTATAGCATGAAAGATGGGTATCTAGTTTCATTCTTTTGCATATGGTTATTCCGTTTTCCCAGCAACATTTATTAAAGAGAATGTCCTTTCTCCAATGAGTGTTCTTCATACCTTTGACAAAAATCAGTTGACTGTGTATATATGGATTAATTTCTGGGTTCTCTATTCTGTTCCATTGGTCTATGTGTGTTTTTATGCCAGCACCATGCTGTTTGGGTTACTGCAGCTTTGTTTTGTATTTTGAAGTTTCATGGTATGATGCCTCCAGCTTTGTTCTTTTTGCTCAAGATTGCTTTGACTATTCGAGGTCTTTTGTGGTTCCATACAAATTGTGAGATTTTTTTCTGTTGTTGTGAAGAATGCCATGGGAATTTTGATAGGGATTTCATTGAATCTGTAGATTCCTTTTGGCAGTATGGTTATTTTAACAATATTAATTCTTCCAATCCATGAGCATAAGGTGTTTTTACATTTACTTGTATCCTCTTCAATTTTTTTCATCAGCATTTTGTAGTTTTCCTTGTAGAGATCTTTTACCTCGTTGGTTAAGCTTCTTCCTAGGTTTTTGTTGTTGTTGTTGTTTTTGCAGCTTTAGAAAATGAGATTGCCTTTTTGAGTTCTTTTTCAGCTAGTTTGTTTTTCGTGTGTAGAAATGATACTGATTTTTGCATGTTGACTTTGTATCCTGCAACTTTAGTGAATTTGTTTATCTGTTCTAAGAGTTTTTTGGTAGAGTCTTTAGGTTTTTCTATATAGAAAATTATGTAGTCTGCAAACAAGAACTATTTAACTTCCTTCCTTCCAGTTTGGATGCCCGCTATTTTTCTCTTGCCTAATAGCTCTAACTAGGACTTCCAGTATTATGTTGAATAAGAGTGCTGAGAGTGGGCATCCTTGTTTTGTTCCAGATCTTAGAGGAAAATCATTCAGCTTTTCTGCATTCAGTATGATGACAGCTTTGGGTTTGTCATATATGGTCTTTATTGTGTTGAGGAACTTTCCTTCTATACCTAATTTATTGAGAGTTTTTATCATGAAGGAATGTTGAATTTTATCAGTTGCATTTTCTGCATCTATTGAGGTGATCATATGGTTTTTGTCTTTCATTCTGTTGATGTGATATATCATGTTTATTGATTTGCATATGTTGAGCCATTTTTGCATTCCTGGAATAAATCCCACTTGATCATAGTGTATTGTCTTTTTGATGTATTGTATTCTATTTGCTAGTATTTTGCTGAGGTTTTTGCATTTCTGTTCATCAAGGATATTGGCCTGTAGTTTTCTTTTGTTGCATTCTTATTTGACTTTGGTATCAGGGTTATGCTGGTCTCATAAAATGATTTAGGAAGAGTTCCCTCTGCTTCAATTTCTTGGAAATATTTTCAGAAAAATTGGTATTAATTCTTTAAAGATTTGGTAGAATTCAGTAATTAAAACCATCCATTCTTGGACTTTTTTTTATTGGGAGTCATTTTATTACTGATTTAATCTCATTATCTGTCATTAGTCTTTTCAGGTTTTCTATTTCTTCTTGGTTCAATCTTAGTAGGTTGCATATGTCCAGTAATTTATCCATTTCCTCTAGTTTTAAAATTGTATTGGCATATATTTTTCATAGTATTGTCTAATGATCCTTTTTTCTGTGGTATCCATTGTAATGTCTCATTTTTCATTTCCAATTTTATTTATTTGAGTCTTCTCTCTTTTCTTATTTAGTCTGGCTAATTGCTGATTTTATTGTTTCAAAAAAACAATTATTTGTTTCATTGCTCTATTGTATTTTTGACTCTCAATTTTATTTTTGCTCTGATTTTTATTATTTCTCTCCTACTAATTGGGCTTGTTCTTCTTTTCTAGATCCTTGAGATGCATAATTAGGTTGTTTATTGGAAATTTTCTATTTTTGACATAGGTATTTATTATGCTGATGAAAAAAGTGTGTATTCTGCACCCATTGGGCAGAATGTTCCATAAATATGTTAGGTATATTTCATCTATGGTGCAGTTGAAATCCAATATTTCTTTGTTAATTTTCTGTCTAGATAATCTCTCCAATGCAGAGAGTAGAGTGTGGAAGTCCCAAACTATTACTGTATTTCGCTTTATCTCTCTCTTTAGATCTAATAATATTGGCTTTATAAATCTGAGTGTTCCAGTGTTGGGTGCATATATACTTACAATTGTTATATTTTCTTCCTTAATTTATCCCTTTATTATTATATAATGTTCTTCTTTGTCTGTTCTTACAGCTTTTGACCTAAAATTTGTTTTGTCTAATATACATATAGCTATTCCTGCTCACTTTTGGTTTCTATTTGCATGGAATACCTTTTTCCATCTCTTCACTTTTAGCCTATTTGTGTCTTTATAGGTGAGGTGAGTTTCTTATAGGCAGCATATAGTTAGGTCTTGTTTTTTTTTTTTTTAATCCATTTAGCCAGTTTATATCTTTTAAATATGGAATTTAATCTGTTTACATGCAAGGTTATTATGAATAGGTGAGGGCATACTCCTGTTATTTTATTGATTATTTTCTGGTTGTTTTATATATTCTTTGTTCCTTACTTCTTCTCTTATTATTTTTGCTTGGGTGGTATTCTGCAGTGATAAGGTTTGATTCCTTTCTCTTCTTGTGCATTGGCTCTACCAGTGAGTTTTATAGTTTTGCATGTTTTCAAGATGGTGTTTATAGGTTTCCAGCTATTATTTCTTTTAATTTCTGCCATCTATGAATAAATCAGCTATTATTTCATTAAATATGTTTCCCTCAACTTTCTCCTTCTGGAATGCCCATAATGTGAATATTTGTTCACTGAATAGTGTGCCACAAATCCTGTAAGGTTTTTTCATTCTTTTTTCTTTTTTTGTCTGCCTATGTTATTTCAAACAGCCTGTCTTCAAGTTCAGAAATTCTTTCTTCTGCTTGGCCTAGTCTGTTTTTGAAGCACTTGACTGTATTTTTTATTTTATTCATTGAATTCTTCAGCTCTAAATTTTGTTTGGTTCTTTTTTATGATGTTTCTCTCTTTGTTGAATTTCTCATTCAAATCGTAAATTGTTGCCCTGATTTTGTTGAATTATCTATCCGTGTTCTCTTGTACCTTGTTGAATTTTCTTATAATCATTATTTTGAACTTTTGTTCTGGCATTTCATATATTTCCTTATGATTGGGGTCTATTATTAAAGAATTATTGTGTTTCTTTGGAGGTGTTACGTTTTCTTGCATTTTCATGTTTGATGTTTCCCTATGTTGATTTCTAGTCATCTAGTGAAACTCACATCTTCCAATATTTTGGAGTAGGTTTTATAGGGAAAGACTTATCTGCTTGGACTCAAGCACATTACATTTATTGTGCACTTTATTTCTATTATTGTTACATTAGAATATATAATTAAATTATTATACAACTCATTATTTTGTAGAATCAGTGGGAGCCCTGAGCTTGATTTCCTGCAAATAGGCAGTCCCATCTGGGGGTGATGGGAGACACTGACAGATCATCAGGCATTAGATTCTCATAAGGAATGCACAACCTAGAACTCTTGCATGCACAGTTCACAATAGGGTTCATGCTACTATGGCAATCTAATGCCTCCACTGATCTGACAGAAGGGGGACCTTAGTCAGTAATGTGAGTGATGAGGAGTGGCTGTAAATACAAATGAACTTTGCTCGCTCTCCTACTGCTCACCTCCTGCTGTGTGGCCCAGTTCCTAACAGACCAGTATGAGTCTGTGGCCCGGGGGTTGGGGACCCCTGCTTTAAAGCAAGAAAAAGAGGGCCAGGCATAGCAGCTCATGCGTGTAATCCCAACACTTTGGGAGGCTGAGGCAGGAGGATCACTTGAACCTAGGAGTTTGAGACTAGTCCAGGCAACATAGGGAGACCCTGTCTCTACAAAAAGTTTAAAAACCAGCCAGCCATGGTGGCCTGTGCCTGCAGTCCCAGCTACTCAGGAGGCTGAGGTGGAAGGACCAAAGGAACCCAGGAGTTTCAGGCTGCAGTGAGCTATGATCATACCCCTGCACTCCAGCCTGGGCAATAGAGAAAGACCCTATTCAAAAAAATATATAAATAAAGCCAGAGAAAGAAAATACATAAAAAGAACACGATAAAATTAACATTTTAGATAATATGATAGTAAGCCAAGAAAACACCAAAAAATCATCAGATAAATTATTAGAACTAATATAAGAATTCAGAAAAGGTATGGACTCAGGGCTTTTGCCCATGCCTTTTGGATGCCACTTATAGTCTTGGCAAGCCAGATCTGGAGGTCTGTGGGAATCCCTTATACAGAACTTACAGGCAGTGCCTTAACCATGCTGCATGTTTTCACTCATATAATACCCTCCACAGTGCTACGACATGGTTATGCTATTGTTATATCTCTATTACAGATACTAAAGATTAAGTGACTTGAGATTAAGACATTAAGTAAACTACTAGTAAGTGGTGGAGGTTTAGTCTCTGAGACAATGCCCTCAACCTCTGCATTATTTTGTGTGGTGTGAGTTCCAGAATCAAAGAATAAGGGTTGATTCCTTCACACTACATTCAAATTACCAGAAGTCAATTAAATCCAGGAAGTCATATTATTCCAAATTGCATCCTTATAAATATTAGCTTCCTCAGTGCATTTAACTCTACTTTAGTCCTCACATATTTTCCTTCCCTAAATATGAGAAACTCATACTATTCAGAGCCTTGAGTTTTATTCTCTAAAGGAGGCAGCAGTACTCCACCTCTATTTAGAGTCTAAATATGAATCAATCCATTTTCACTTTTATTCCTTCAACAAATATTTGAGCATCTTCTCTGAGCCATACATTTCTCTAGATATTGGAGATACAATGATAGCAAGAGAAGCATATCCCCTGATCCTGTGGAACTTATGTCCAAGAGTGTAGACAATCAACATGGGGACAAATAATGTCACTTTCTTTGACACATTATTTAAAATCAAAGAATGCCTGGCCGGGCGTGGTGGCTCACGCCTGTAATCCCAGTACTTTGGGAGGCTGAGGTAGGTGATCACTTGAGGTCAGGAGTTCGAGACCAGCCTGAGCAACATAGTGAAACCCCATTTCTACTAAAAATACAAACATTAGCTGGACGTGGTGGCACATGCTTGTAATCTCAGCTACTCAGGAGGCTGAGGCAGGAAAATTGCTTGAACTCGGGAAACAGAGGTTGCAGTGAGCCAAGATCATGCCACTACACTCCGACACGGGTGACAGAGCAAGACTCCCTCTCAAAAAATAAAATAAATAAATACATAAATAAAATCAAAGAATGTCACTTAGTGTTTGGTGAAATGAGGAAATTTTTAAAAATAATCTGAAAGAGTGTGACTGACAGAAGGGTGGGGCTAGTCAAGTGGGTGGTCAAGAAAGACCTGTTCAATCAGGTGGCATTTGGGCAGAGACCTGAATTACAAGAAGCCTGTGAAGAATAAACTATTCTCAATGACATCATTAATTATTGCTCAGTTGCCCCCCACAGTGGAATGTGTTGACTCACAGTCATGCCAGTAATGTTGGTATGAATCTGGTGGCTTAGAATATTTGCCCACAATTCTTCCCTTACTCTCCACCCTTGGCAGAGCTCATCCCTGCCCCATTGGTGTTGGGCTTGGCCATGTGTCTAGTCAACAGAATTTGGGTGGATTACAATGGATATAGATACTTTAAATATGCTTTGGCTCAGCCTCTTGTGTTTCTGCCATCTACTATGAAAAGAACATGCCTAGGAACCTGCTGGCCAAGAATAGGGAGACACCAAAAACAGAAGGGTAGAATAAAATCCTTTCAACCACGTGAATTATTTCCAAGTCACCTCTTCAAAGAAAGCAAGTGGAAGGGGTTTTCCACCAGAATGAATGAGTAGAAAACAAGAAATTCAGTAGAGGAGAGAGGTGAAGAGAATCCCAGTGGTGATGGTGGTAGAGGCCACAATATCTCTTGTGCACCAGGCAGAGATCTGGGCAAACAGTCCGGAATGAACCATATTTTTTAAATGTGGCCAAGGACACTGCAGACCCTTCCTCCACAGTAAACACTTGGGTATAGTGAAAATAAATTGAACCAAAATTTTTATTGATGAAATCCATAATGACACTGGTATATGACTAACACTGAATTATGAGATAGTAAAGGAATACTTTCAAATCTTGAATGTCTACTCTAAGGCAATGTACTCTGCTATTTACATGGACTATCTGCTCAAGAACACAGAAGAGGCTGGAAAGTGTAGTTGTCTCTGAAAAGGGTGATTTTAAAGCTTCAGAAAAGGTGAGAGATAAGATTTTTATTTCTTTTGAATTTAGTGCTATGTATGTGTGCTGTAAAAATGAACTGAGGCCAGGTACAGTGGCTCACACCTGTAATCCCAGCACTTTGGGAGGTGGAGGCAGGCAGATCACTTGAGGCCAGGTGTTCAAGACCAGCCTGGCCTACGTGGCGAAACCCTGTCTCTACTAAAAATACAAAAATTAGCTGGGCACGGTGGTACACGCCTGTAGTCCCAGCTACTCGGGAGGCTGAGGCAGGAGAATCGCTTGAACCCGGGAGGCAGAGGTTGCAGTGAGATCACACCACTGTACTCCAGCCTGGGTGACAGAGAGAGACTCTGTCTCAAATTTTAAAAAATGAATTGAGTAAATATGTTCACCCAAATTCCAATTACACCTTGGTTTCATTTCCACATTGTAAATCTTGGCCTTCTCAGTCTTCAGGTTAACTAACAGAATTCTAGAAATTAAGAGTAGGCTCCTCTGAGTCTGGAAGAAAAAATACTTAACAAGGTTAGACCAAAAATATTTTCCCTGTCCCCTACATCTACAAACAATCAGATAATATTCTATATCATAAAAAATTCCTAGTAAATGTTCTAACAATATAGACTTTATATTTCAGAATTTCTGCTTTTAAAAATTAACATTAATCTCAAAAAGGTGAAATTATGTTTGTGGTCTTAATATATACATTAAATTATCTGTATTATGAAATTTATACATATTTGTAATTTTACTTTTTAAAATAAAGGATCACTTGTTATGTCTCATACATAAAAAGCTAATGAAACTTAAGAGTCTGATTTTTTATTTAACTAAAACCTTTGAGAGTCTATGGCTAATTTAAAGTAATACCAATGATTATTTCAGGAATTACATATAACCCATTTTAGCAACTAAAAGCAGATGTACGCTGCTGGCCAATGGGAAATGTTTCCTTGCTCCTGTCACGGGAGATGCTCTCCCTTATTATTTTCTGTGGATGTTGTCATGTCTGTTTGTAATATCTGGAAACCTGCCAGCCATCATGGTGCCAGCCAACACTGGGGAGTGCAGAGTGGAAAATGGAAGAGAAACTGAGCCTCTGAAAATTTAATTTTGCGGCCGGGCGCAGTGGCTCACGCCTGTAATCCCAGCACTTTGGGAGGCCAAGGCGGGCGGATCACGAGGTCAGGAGATCAGACCATCCTGGCTGACACGGTGAAACCCCGTCTCTACTAAAAATACAAAAAAAATTAGCCGGGCGCGGTGGCGGGCCCCTGTACTCCCAGCTGCTCGGGAGGCCGAGGCAGGAGAATGGCGTGAACCCAGGAGGTGGAGCTTGCAGTGAGCCGAGATAGTGCCACTGCAGTCCGGCCTGGGTGAAAGAGCGAGACTCTGTCTCAAAAAGAAAAAGAAAAAAAAAAAAAGAAATTTAATTTTGCTGATGAATCAAAAATATCTGGAGCCCACTGTCCCTCTGAAAGCATGTTATATCATTCAATATACTTCCTCATTGTTCTAGCCAATGTGGTATTTTTTTTTTTTGAGATGGAGTCTCGCTCTGTCACCAGGCTGGAGTGCAGTGGCACGTTCTTGGCTCACTGCAAGCTCCGCCTCCTGGGTTCACGCCATTCTCCTGCCTCAGCCTCCCGAGTAGCTGTGACTAAAGGCGCACGCCACCACGCCTGGCTAATGTTTTTGGGTTTTATTTATTTATTTATTTTTTTTTTAATTTTTAGTAGAGACGGGGTTTCACTGTGTTAGCCAGGATGGTCTCAGTCTCCTGACCTTGTGATCCACCCGCCTTGGCCTCCCGAAGTGCTGGGATTACAGGCGTGAGCCACCGCGCCTGGCCCCAGTGTGGTATTTTAATTTCTGCTGAGTGTATCCTAACTGAATCAAACAACTAAGGGTCATGGTTCATACTGGGAACTGGAGATGCAGAGATAAAGCTGATTCCATCACAGTCATCAAAACCAGCTCACTGGTGGGGAATACACACACACACACACACACACACACACACACACACACACACACAGAGAGAATGTCATGGCCTAGGTGTTAATTGTTGTCCTGCAAACTGAACAGAGGCTCTGTAAAAAACAGACACATCGAATGCATCCAATGCCCGGAGCAAGGAGCGAAGAGAAATTGCAAGAATATACAAATAGGCAGCAATCAGAAAATGGAAAATTAAACCACAATTATCAACAATCAAATGCCACTATATTACCTATGAGAGTAATGAAAATATTCTTTAAACTGATGATGTCAAGTATTTTCAAAGATGTGGAGAAAGCAGAACATTGATATACTGCTGGTGAGAGTATAAGACGGTTCATTTGTTTGGAAAACTGTTCAGAAGAATTTAAACTTACTAAAAAGTTGAACAGATGTGTATCCATGACCACACCCCAGCAATTCCACTCCCAGTATATACAGAAAGAAATGTGTACACGTGTGCTCCAAAAGACATGTACAAGTATGATCATAACAGCCCTATAAGGAAGTTCTGACTTCCCAACACATTATTCTTAAGAGCACATAATGAAGGATTTTAGGGGCCATGCTGGGATGCGTCTTTTATGCGGATCTTGGCTAGTACTACATGGCTATGAAGGCTCCTTAAAGGAACTGTGCTAACACTCAATAAATCTGTTATGTCTGAAGTAGGAATTAAAAGACAAAAAAAAATGCAACAGATGGAACTAGAAAAGTGGTCAAGGATCAAACAAAATAACCTAATAGGATCATACAATATTAAAAAACAGGCTATTGCAATACCAAAACAAACAAAAATACAATAAAAAAGAAAACTATTATATAATCTCACTCATGAGATGCAAAAATACTAAATAAAATGGCAAAATGAAATCAAGCAATGCATCAGAAGGATACTATGACTAACCTGGAATATCCAGGAATGGGAAAAAGTCAGTGAATCTATCAGAATAAATTATCACATGAACAAATTAAATACTATAGAAGTGCAGAAAAAGATAGTGAAACGGCATTTAATAAAACTCAGGAGGCACCACTACTTAGCTACAACAAAGATTTTCACTCATAACTGAGACCATGATGCTGCCATTCCATCATAGCTAACAACCAGACATGGTGACTGAAATTCTCTTTTGGTTATAGCAGCAGTTCCCAATGCAATTTCACCCACCTACAAAGATAATAGGTCATGGGAATAAGTATTTCAACAGTGAAGTTTGCCATACACCAGTTTAAACAAAGTTCAACCATTTTCTTCACTAGAATACTCCTTAGTCTTTTTTTATTTTTATTTTTTTGAGACGGAGTCTCGCTCTGTCGCCCAGGCTGGAGTGCAGTGGCGCAATCTCGGCTCACTGCAAGCTCTGCCTCCCGGGTTCACGCCATTCTCCTGCCTCAGCCTCCCCGAGTAGCTGGGACCACAGGCGCCCGCCACCACGCCCGGCTAATTTTTTCTATTTTTAGTAGAGACGGGGTTTCACCGTGTTAGCCAGGATGGTCTTGATCTCCTGACCTCGTGATCCGCCCGCCTCGGCTTCCCAAAGTTCTGGGATTACAGGCATGAGCCACCGCGCCCGGCCGTCTTTTTTTTTTTTTCACTTCTCTTTAGTCTTTTGATAAGCTGGTGAGGTGCTTTTGCTTGTTCCTTAGGAGGGGATTTAGTAGATGCTACTTTATAAGCTTCTTTAACTGTAAAATCCTCCTTCATTGTCAAGTACTAGTAAGCACTGGTGATTCCTTGAGATATAATTTCAGAAATGTTGGGATAAGGCACCATGTCTACATTTCTTGGTTAACAGGCAAATGTGGCACCCAGAGGGAGTGGCATAATAGCCAGTTACCAATAATATATCCTGTTAAAACTCCCAAAGTACTCTGCTTTGTGTTACAGTTGATTATTAAGAGTGCAACTGTTGGCTTTTTATGCCTTTGAAAAAGTGCAATCATGTAGAATGATGATCACTAGATGGTGAATGACTGACTGAACAGTGATATTACGAATCCCCTATGTGCACAAAATAGAGAGGTCAGGTGTAGACCTATGACAAGGAACCACAGACATTTAGTTATCAATGCATTAGTTCTGATGGAACTGACATTATTTTCAAAAAGAAATAATTTTTAAAAGGGTCGATTTCTAACTGTGTGAGTATATAAACACACACTCTATTTCTTCATAACTAACCTGCCTTGATGCTAGCACTAAATCATGACAGGCACCTGGTTGAAAGTGGTTGCAAGAAGCCATCAATTTTAAGATGCATTGTGATTTCCAAATAGTAAAATATAGCCAGGCGCAGTGTCTCACACCTGTAATCCCAACACTTTGGGAGGCTGAGGCAGGTGCAGGAGTTCAAGATCAGCCTGGACCAACATGGCAAAACCCCATCTCTACTAAAAATACAAGAATTAGCCAGTATGGTGGTGCACACCTGTGTATCCAGCTACTTGGGAGGCTGAGGCACGAGAATCACTTGAACCCGAGAGGTGCAGGTTGCAGTGAGCCGAAATCACACCACTGCACTCCAGCCTTGGTGACAGAAAGAGAGATCCTGTCCCAAAAAAAAAAAAAAGTAAAATACATACCATATGATCACACATTTCCAAAGATCATTGATCAAGGCTGACCAATCCTATTAGGTATATAATGGATCTTTATAACAGACAACTCCAGTAGTTACCATAAGTGATCAAACTTGGCACTGGTGATACTGGGGGAAATGGATACTATCTGCTTCTGAGGTATTGCAAGATGAAGTACACATCACCATCTATGAAGTGTTCTGGTAAAAAATGTTTAAGCCTCTATTTCCAACTTCATGTTACGAGAAATGTGAAGGAGAGGCCCATATCAAATTTCACCATGAGGAATGAAACTAATGTGTGACATTCTATAAAACAGCTTTCCTAAACTCTTCAAAAGTCTGGATTTTTTCAAGTCTCATTTTTTTAGCTCAGCTTAAGGGATAAACTCTGAATTAAAATCCCCTCAAATTCTTTATACTGTACTAGATCTTATCCAGAATGAACTATCTGAAATTCAAATGGATGAGTGGTTATGGGAAGCTTTTCTGAATTCATTCCTCAAAACGGTTGTGCCTCTCCTAAGAATTCACCAGTAGTAATACTAATAATAAAGACAATATGAACAATAGCTAATATGTATTAAGCATAGGCTACATACCAGATACTCTTCCAAGGATATGATGCATACTAAATCCATCTAATCTCTGTAACAGCATTATTAGTTACCATCAGCATTTGAAACATCATGTCCAGAAGAGATAAGCATTTTGCTCACCATCCTACAGGTAGTATGGAGGTGAAATGGTGATGACAGTATGGTATTTGCCATGGATAAGGGTTTTCCTACATTTGTTACATTAACAGAGTTACTCTCTAGGATGAACTTACTGAAGTTTAACAAAGACTGAATAGTGTTGGAAGGCTTCTGCACATTTAACATATCTGGTATAAATTATCTTATGCTGTTACAGGCATTAGAAAATTTTGATTCCCTCATTTGCCAAATCTTGCTATAGTATGAATATTCTGCTATTCTAATCAGAGAGGTGCAAGTGAAGAATTTCTTATTTAAATTGTCACTTGTCTCATGTCTTGAAAAGTGTGAGTCTTGTCTCAAATTATTTCTGGGAAAGAACAAACTTTGTTTTCAATTCTCAATCATTTATGGACTGATAATTTTGTAAAACAGAATGTTATGGAAATGTCAAATTGCTATAAAAGTTCCAAATATTTACTCACTTTCCACGTTTATCTCACAATTGACAGATGACAATTTTATGACTGCACCAGTCTCTGGATAATAATTTGGGTAGCATTTGTCTAAAGGCCTTCCTATAATTCTAATTCAAATGATTTCTCATTTGGATGAATTCTCTGATGTACTCTAAGATATTTACTGTGTCTATAAGCCTTCCCAAATTCCTTATGTGCATAGGATTACACAGCAGTATGAATTCTCTGATGTGCAGCAAGAACTGAATTAAGTTTAGGTCCTTCCCACATTCCTCCTATTTAAACTCTTTTTAACAAATACCAATTATTTGATGTTAATCAGACCTTATGTCATGAATGAAGATCTTCACACATTCCTTACATTTAAATGATTTTACATCAGTATAAATTGATATCCAATAAGACTGTACAGAAGTCTAAAGGCCTTTTCATATTAATTATATTCAAAATATTTCTCACTAGTATGAATTGCTGGATAGCAAGATAATTGCCCATAAACAGAAATGAATGGCTTTTGCACAACCCTTACATTCACAAGGTTTCTCAAGAGTAAGAGTTCTTATTATGATAAGTTGTCTATACACACACACAAAATATTCTTTTACAACTTTCAATCATAAGGTTTCATCAGTATCAATTTTCTCATTTGAGTAAGTTGTCCACAGAAAGGCTTCCCCACATTCGTTATATTTGTAGGGTTTATCATTACTATGAGTTCTCTCATGAACAAGTTTTGAGCCACAAGTAAAGGTCTTCCCGAATTCCTTACGTTGATAAAGCTTCTCACCAGTATGAAATCTCTGATGAACACTAAGTTGATAGCCACTACCAAAGGCCTTCCCACAGTCTTTACATTCATAAGACTTCTCATTAGTATGGACTCTCTCATGCTTAACTAGGCTTGAACCCCAACTGAAGGCCTTCCCACATTCCTTACATTTGAAAGGTTTCTCACCGGTATGAATTTTCTGATGTTGAGTAAGGTGATAGCCACGACTAAAAGCCTTCCCACATTCTTTACATTCATAGGGTTTCTCCCCTGTATGGATTCTTTCATGTTGAACAAGGCTTGATCCACAATTAAAAGCCTTCCCACATTCCTTACATTCATAGGGTTTCTCACCAGTGTGAAATACCTGATGTCGAGTAAGTTGATACCCACTACAAAAGGTCTTTCCGCATTCTTTACATTCATGGGATTTCTCACCAGTATGAACTCTCTCATGTTTAACAAGGCTTGAACCCCAACTAAAGGCCTTCCCACATTCCTTACATTCAAAAGGTTTCTCACCAGTATGGATTTTCTGATGTTGAGAAAGGTGATAGCCACGACTAAAGGCCTTTCCACATTCTTTACATTCATAAGGTTTCTCACCAGTATGAATTCTTTCATGTTGAATAAGACTTGATCCGCAATTAAAAGCCTTCCCACATTCCTTGCATTCATAGGGTTTCTCACCAGTATGAAATATCTGATGTCGAGTAAGTTGATAGCCCCAACAAAAAGCCTTTCCACATATTTTACATTCATAAGGTTTCTTACCAGTATGGATTTTCTGATGCTGAGTAAGCTGATAGCCACGACTGAAGGCCTTCCCACATTCTTTACATTTATAAGGTTTCTCACCTGTATGAATTATCTCATGTTTAGCAAGGCTTGAGCCCCAAAAAAAGGCCTTCCCACATTCCTTACATTTATAAGATTTCACACCAGTATGAATTTTCTGATGTTGGGTAAGGTGATAGCCACGACTAAAGGCCTTCCCACATTCTTTACATTCATAGGGTTTCTCACCAGTGTGAATTCTCTCATGTTTAACAAGGCTTGATCCCCAGCTAAAGGTCTTCCCACATTCCTTACACTCATAGGGTTTCTCACCAGTATGAAATCTCTGATGCACATTGAGTTGATAGGCACTTAAATAATTCTTCCCACATTCTTTACATTCAAAGTGTTTTTCAGCTGTATGAGTTCTCTCATGTTGAACAAGTTTTGAGCCATGACTGCAAGCCTTCCCACATTCCTTACAAACATAGGATTTCTCTGTATTATGAATTCTTTGATGTGGAGTAAGAGATTTACTTTTTCTGTAAGAAGGTATTTTTTCATAGCTGATTATCATTTGACTGAAGTATCCCTCTTGATGTCCTTTTAGTCCCTCGAATATGCTTTTGCACTTCCAATTATTTCTGAAGATGGATGCCTCAAGGCCAAGGGTTTTACTTTTGTCCTTCATCTCCCACTGGGAAAAATTTATTTCAAAAATATCATTTTCTGAAAATATTTTTTTGGTCTCATACGTTTTTGACTCCAAATCTGAAAGAAAACAAGAAAACCACACATTTTATTTCCTTCACTAGGGAAAAAAAAAAAAAAACTACAGTAGAAATAAAAGACAAATTAGGAGACTTACTGAACTCACTCCTTGGCATTAAGGCACTCCCTTGTTAAATAACAAACTCAGCCTTGATTTTGCAGCTCTTGTGATCTGAATGTTCTGATTTTATAGTTTTCTGGAGGATTCCACAGAGGTCGCTTCAACAAGTCCCTCATTTTCCCACGCTGATGTTCCCTCAAACCAAATGTCAGCTTCCATCAATCAAGCCCTTATGTGCCCAGTTGTGGTCATCCAATGTATCTTAATGGGAATCAAATTCTTATCATAATGAGCTTTGGCTGATTTTGTTTTGTCTAACAACTCTTTTGTCTAACAACTCAATGGTCGCAACTCTGCCATTTTATCAAGGCAGCCATGGGCAATATGTAAACATATAAACAAATGGGCAAGACTATGTTCCAATACAACTTTATTTGCAAAAACAGGTGGATTTGGCCTCCAGAGCCAGAGTTTTCCAACCCCTGAGATAAAGCAAACATTGCTTTCATAAATGTTCACAATTGTAAAAATATAAAGTTCAATTAAATTTTACATTTACTTAGATTTATTAGCCAGAATTTTTATAAAAGGATTGATTTTTATAACTTCATATAATGCTGCAATTATGTGACTCTATAGATTTTACCTTATTTAAAAATTTTAAATGTCTATCAATTTTAAAAATCAACAGTAATTGTATTGCTATTTAAGGATCACTTTAAATTATAAGATCTCCAATTCACTTAGACAAAATGATCTTGAGAGTTACTAATAAATAATTTCTGGTTGCATAAAAAGTTCCTAAGAAGATATTCATAAAAGAGGAAGAACAAATATTTTGAGTTATTTTTCAATTAAGTTTACTTATTTCTTGACCATTGTTAAACATATTTTCACTCAACTAAGCTCAAACTACCCTGTCAAAAATCAATGTGATACACACATCATCTTATAACACATTAATACTGTTAATTATATTTTAAAATTGAAAATAAAGCTTTAAATTATAGTGTCATTCAGCATGGTATATTGACAATATTAGCAGGTTTAAATGCATATGGGAAATGCTATGTCATATAATGTATGAAAAAAGTGACATAAGTATGATATGATAGAAAAGACTGCTAGCTAAGGGAAAATGATGATCTTGGAGTAAACTGTCCACTCTATATGAGGAAATTAAAGTATTATTCTTTTTCTTCAATACATGAAGAAAATAAATCTGCATAATTTTGCCACACTTCTGTGTATGCTTCAAATTTTAAGAGTCAAATAATTTTCATGCTTTTAGCTACCTTATACTACACATCTAAACTATTTTTAAATAGAACAGAATTTTTTATTTAAATAAAAATTAAAATCTTGCTACCTTCTCATTATTTTAAATATTGTGTTGATGTTCTGATTAATTAGTCACAACTATTGTTCTTGTCAAAAGCTCCTCTGACAACTCTTTTTGTTAATGCCTTTTCCAATTCAGAATAATGAAACAGATTGTAACAGATTATGTCTTTCACATAAAATCTGCCTTTCAGGTTTCCTAAAAGGCCACTGAGCAAGCACAAAGATTTGCTCTTTCGCTTACAAAAGATACTAGAAACAATCAGGTTTCTTTGACATAATCCAGAATTTACTTAGCCCAAAACTACTATGACTGTGTTTTTGTTTATATAACCCCAGGTATATTAAAAACCAAAAGCTGACAATAAAAAGAGAAGTTTGGCCTTTCTAGGCTAATAAGTTACTTGTTATTAAAAGGTACCTGTCCCAGCAATAATGTACTTGTCAAGTTGGAGAAGATGTATATTCATATTCATGTACCCACAGGTTATGACTTTCTATAAATTAATTTTAAGAAAGATTGTGTACCTAGGTTTAAATACCCTTGTCAATTTGGAACAATCGTAATACTCTTTCATTGTCCATAATGTGTTTTGACTTCAAGGTAGTCACTTACTTTATCCTTATAAATTAATTAGGTTTTATACCTCAATAGAGGATTTAATTTTTTTCCATTATGAAGTTGTTGTTTATTATATTAAATTAACCAGAGCCATTGAGCCTTAACAACTACAAGAAGGTTTTTCCAAACTCAAATCTACTGACATTTGGGCCCAAATCATTCTTGGTTGTGCGGGGTTTTCATGTGCCTTGCCTGTTGATGACTGTATAACATTTTGGTTGAGCTATTAAATGATGGATGATTATTGTGATGTGAATGTGGGAAGTAAGTTTAATCATATATAGTTGGTCACAGGTCTAAACTGCACTATTGCTGTTTCATTTAACAATGTCTTGCTGCTTTTTATGCATTAACATTTGGGTGTAAAGATTCTGTGGATAACCAAAACAAAGCCACAGTATTTAAGCTGACCAACCTAATATTCCAACTGAATATGGAGGTGACCAATTATGAACTAAAAGGAGTACAGTTTTGTACAACATAGCATCAGTAGTTTAGCGAATTTTAATTTCTATGTAAGGCTTAGATTTTAATTTAACATTATAGATTTAGATTTAACATTTTAGTTACTTACTACTTATGTTTTATGTAAGGTTTTACAGTGTCAGTAAATAAATATGGGTTTAACTTCTTAAATGTCAAGAAAAATCATTGAGGACCCAAAAGACTTTTAGTTTATGTAGTTATATATTTTGATATTTGTCATGTTAAAAATTTAAACAGAGAAATTTTAAGATATTTACTAATTCACTTAAAATAACAATAAACCATTAACTGTTAACATAAATGATTTGTTATAAAAATAATCTTTTCTAAAACAAAACAAAAGATGTTTTAAATTTTTTCAAATCTTTTAAATGGATGGTTTAATAAAAGACACCTGGATTCTCATATCTGCTTCTGCATTCAATCTATGGCAATATGTTATTTAGGTTGAAATATATGAAGAAAATCATATATATGAAGTATATGAAGAAAATCTAGCCTCTCATGGTACATAGTTGGAAAATGGCAGAATATTTTACTAGTCCATGCAGATAACTGTGGATATTTTTCTTTGACACCACCCTAAAACTTAAGAAATGGTAGTGTCTGGCAGGTTAAGTACAATGTGGAATATAAAATCATATCTGTGAACTTTTCATACTATGTTACATTGCACTTTGAATAATCTTTTATCCATGTGTAATTTTGTAACATCATACACTGGTCATTTGGAAAATACTGATTCAAAGAGTTATGCAGATCTTTGAAATGTTGACGTAGTTCACTATACAACATCAAAAAATCACATGTTAATATTACCACCCATCTCATAAAAAATCTTAATGTATTAGGAAGCTATAAAGCTCAAAATTATGAATAAACATTTTACAAAATTCTAATTTTAACATGACAGATTGAATTATATCATTGGCAACAAATATTAGTTATTTTTGAAGTGACAGGCTCACTTGCAAGAAAATGTTTTCCTACTGCCCAAGTCTGAACAAACAAAGTTTTTCATTCTTTGGTGAAAAATATGGTGTTTTGTCAAAAAAGCAGTTGGTTTAACTCACAATTTTTTTGGGGGTGGGGACGTAGTCTCACTTTGTCACCAGGCTGGAATGCAGTGGCACGATCTTGGCTCACTGCAACCTCCGCCTCTCGGGTTCAAGCGATTCTCCTGCCTCAGCCTCCCGAGTAGCTGGGACTACAGGCGCGTGCCACCATGCTCAGCTAATTTTTGTATTTTTAGTAGAGATGGGGTTTCACCATGTTGGCCAGGATGGTCTCGATCTCTTAACCTTGTGATCTGTCCGCCTTGGCCTCCCAAAATGCTGGGATTACGGGCATCAGCCACAGAGCCTGGCCTTTAACTCACAACTTAAACAACTGTACAAGTGGTTTTCTTCAAGGCAACCATCATACTTTGGTATACAGCAGAAGACCTTAATGGATACTTCCCATTTCATTACATAGAATATTTTTTAAATGTATATATAATCAAGGGTTGAGATTTAATAAAATGAATACTGCTTCTTCAAGATGTTCTTAAGTGAAAATGGGTTTTTTCTTAACACATTTTCTTTGTGTGTGGAGGTAAAGAATATGATGATTACTAGTACTATTTGGTGCCTCTGCCTTTGCTCATGCTAAAGCAGAGAAGATTCACCATGGCTTCTACACCACCAGTGGAAGTGTCACCACAGTGAAAAAGGCAAACCTCTCAGTATTGTTATGAGAATATTTTTCACTTTGTGAAAGGTTTGGCCCACTGAAAGGTTCTTGGGAACTCCCAGGGGTCTTCAGTCCACAGTTTGAGAACCACTGCCCTACCTAGAGTAAGAATTATGTCCAGGACTAAGGATAAAACCAAACTGTACCTGCCTTCAAAAATCAACTCTTAAAAAGATCATTGTGATCTGCTATTAATTTAACTGCTTGCCTGAACAGTTTAACTATTAGGAAGATAATAAAATCCCCAAGTCACTACAACATGGCATCTACAATGGCCAGTATACAATGAGAAATTGTAAGACCGGTAAAGAAGCAGGAAAATTTGACACAAGATTTAGAGAAAATACAGTCAATAAAAGCAGACCCACAAAACCAAATGTAAATTCTATAACTATAAAATGTAGGTGGAATGAAATCTTTATTGGATAGGCTTAACAATAATTGGACACTATCAAAGAAAAAAAAAACAGTGACTTCAAGACAGGTAAATAGGTATTACCAAACTGAAGTACAAAGAGTAAAAAGACTGGGGGTTGCACCTCCGTGACTGGTGGCACCATATAAGTGGTCTAACACACATATAATTGGAGTCTTAGGAGGAGGAAAAGTACTAAAGAAGCAGAAAAAAGTATTTGAAGATACAATGGTTGAAATTTCTCCAAATTCAATAAAAAAATCAACCCACTGATCAAAGGTAAGGGAAAGTGAAGCATGATAAATGTAAAGGAACCATATCTAGAACTTTATAGTCAGATTATTACAGACCAAAAATAAAGAAAAAACTTAATAACAGAGAATAAAGTATATATAAAATGAACAATAAGAATCATAGCTGTCTAATCATTATATACAATAGAGTTCAGAAGATAATGGAACATTTTTGAAGCTAACTAAAAGAAAAAATATATCAGTTGGGAAATTCATATCTGGTAAAAATATCCTTCAAAAATAAGAAAGATGAAGGCTGGGTGCAGTGGCTCATGCCTGTAATCCCAGCACTTTGGGAGGCCAAGGCAGGTGGATCACCTGAGGTCAGGAAATCAAAACCAGCCTGGCCAACACAGTGAAACCTTGTGTCTACTAAAAATACAAAAACTAGTCAGGCATAGTGGCACACGACTGTAATCCCAGCTATTTTGGAGGCTGAGGCACGAGAATTGCTTGAACCTGGGAGGCAGAGGCTGCGGTGAGCTGAAATCATGGCACTGCACTCCAGCCTGGGTGACACAGTGAGACTGTCTCAAAAAAAAAAAAAAAAAAGATAAAATTAGCTGCTAGTAGCCATATAACACAAGAAATGCTAAAGGAAGCTTTTCAGGCTGAATGAAGTTTACAGATTAGTAAAATTCTTACATTATACAACAAAGTAGTATGTTATTAATTTCAAGTAGACCATGCTAAATTAAGGATGCATATTGTAATCCCAAAAGTAAATACAAATAATACAGCAAAAGATAACAGATGAGATAAAATGGAATACTAAAAAATACTTGATGAATCCAAGAAGGTGGAAACAAAAGAAAGAACTAGTGAAACAAAAAATAGCAAGATAGTAAACTGAAATCTAACCATATCAATAGTGACATTAAATGAATATGTAGGAGTGATGTCACACAAAATGATGAAATAGGAAGCTCTAAGGGCTGGTACCTCCATCAAAGCAACAATTGAGCTGGAAAGACAGATTGTCATTGGCCAGGTGCGGTGGGCCACACCTGTAATCCTAGCATTTTGGGAGGCCGAGGTGGGTGGATCACGAGGTCAGGAGATTGAGACCATCCTGGCTAACACGGTGAAACCTCATCTCTACTAAAAAATAAAAAAAAAAAAGGAGAAAAAAAATTAGCCGGGCGTGGTGGCAGGCGCCTGTAGTCCCAGCTACTCAGGAGGCTGAGGCAGGAGAATGGTGTGAACCTGGGAGGCAGAGCTTGCAGTGAGCCGAGATCACACCACTGCACTCCAGCCTGGGTGACAGAGCAAGACTCCATCTCAAAAAAAAAAAAGAGAGAGAGAGATTGGCATCCACAAACTCTTAATTCTGGAATCTTATCAGGCACTTCCATAACAACAAGGGGAGTGCTGGATGAATAAAGAGGCTACTATTCTTAGGTGAAAGAGTGGCTCGTGCAAGCCACCATCCCCCATTTCTCAGTCCAGCCAATGCTATGGGATGACAGGCCTATGTGCCTGGAATGCTGTGTACCAACTAATCACTTCCTTCACTCCTCAGCTCCACCACAGCTGTGGGGAGAGCAGCCTGTATTCCTGGAACAGCCGGTTGGGACCTGGGTGGGCAGCGTGACCTTGTCTTCCAAAAAATTCAGGGTTGTGCAGTTTGGTGGGTTTTGTGTTACCTTGAGGGACCAGCACAGATAACTGCCTTGATTTTAGCCCCATCAGCCACAGCAGCTTTCCCCAGAAGTATCTATTGGAAGATTTAAAGGGCTAATGGACCTTTTTTTCCTCCCCTTTTTACAGCCAGATATTTAAGTAAATCTTTGTCTGGTACTAACTGACTGTAGAGATGATGGAACAGAAATTTCAGTGACCACATACAATAAGGAATATACAATTTGCAAAAAGAGTTTGAAAAAATCTGACAGCTCCAGCCCTCAACAAGCAGAAATCAGCTATGCCTGAGGAATGGGAAAATTGAATCTCCAGAGGTACCACATTATAATACTCAAAATGCCCAGTTTTAACAAAAAAAATTACAAAGCATACAGTGAAACAGGAAAATATGGGGCCCGTTCAAAGGAAAAAAAAGAATCTGACAGAAACCATTCCTGAGGAAGCCCAGACATTAAATGAACTATCCAAATATGCTCAATGAGCTACAGAAACCATGGACCAAGAGCTAAAGGAAATCAGGAAAAGAATGTATGAACAAAATGAAAATATCAATAAAAGGATAGAAATTATAAAAAAAAGGAACCAAACAAATTCTGGAGTAAAGTAACTGAAATGAAAATTTCAATAGTGGATTCAGCAGAAGAAAGACTCAGCAAACTTGAAAATGAGTCATTTGAAATTATTGCACTAGAGAAGCAAAAAGAAAAAGGAATAATGAACAGTGAAGAGAGCCTGAGGGATCAATGGGATACCATCAAGCACACCAACATACACATCATATGAGTCCCAGAAAAAGAAGAGAGACAAAAGTAGAGAAAAAAATTTGAAGAAAAAATGTCTGAAAACTTCCAAAATCTGACAAAAGGCAGGAATACACACATCCAAGAGGCTCAACAACTTCAGACATGATAAAGAGATTCATATCTAGACACATTATTGTCAAATTATGGAAACCCAAAGACAAAAAGACTTCAGAACACAGGAAGAAAGCAGCAGCCTACCACATACAAGAATCTGCAACAAGATTAACAGCTAATTTCTCATCAGAAACCACAGAGAACAGAAAGTAACAGGATGGTATATTGAAAAGTCCAAAAGAAAAAAAAAACTGTCAACCAAGAATTCTATACCAGCAAAAACTGTCCTTTAAGAATAAAGGTGAAATTAAGGCATTTCCAGAAAAAACAAAAGCTGAAGGAGGTGATTACCAGTAGACCTACTCTAGAAGAAATGTTAGACAAGAGTGTTTCAGACTAAAGTGAAAGGACACTAAACAGTAATTAGAAGCCATAAGGAGAAATAAAGAACATTGGTAAAGGTAACTACATGAGTAAATATAAAAGTTAGTATTATTGTACTTTTGATTTATTGATTTAAAAGACAAATGCATAAAATAATAACTATAAATCTGTGTGAAAGTAACCAGGCACTTCAAAGCAATAGCTGATTGTAAAACTAGACAAGGGAAATTTCATACAAGATGAACCTCTAACACCTTGTTTATCAGAAAACCAGGAGGTACTCAAAGAGTGACGGAGATGTGCCAAAAAGCCATATCATGAAAGGATTCCCACTGACTAAATCTGGACAAGCTCCAACACTTTGAGCTTCAAAATAAATAACAGAAAAAAAACAGAATATAGCCCATTGACTAGAAAGCGAACATATGAATAAATGGAAAGTTTAAAGAGGAACACAATATTTATTTATTTATTGAGGTAGGGTCTTGTGTGTCACCCAGGCTGGAGTGTGGTGACACAATCTCAGCTCACTGCAGCCTCAACCTCTTAGGTTCAAGCAATCCAGCCACCTCAGCCTCCCCAGTTGCTGGGACTAAAGGAGCGCACCACCACAGCCCAGCAAATATTTTTGTATTTTTTGTAGAGATGGGGTTTTGCCATGCTGCCCATGCTGGTCTCGAACTCCTGGCCTCAAGTGATCCAACCGTCTCAGCTTCCCAAAGTGCTGGGATTACAGGTGTGAGCCACCACTGTGCCCAGTTCCACAATATTTAATAGTTTCAAAGTTCCTCCCCACAAAATAGTTGTGGAAGGGAAAAAGGGCAACTGCACAAGGAGGAAGCCAGCAGACGCTACCTTAATCAAGTACTCAGAGTGAATAACATGAGTAATGATAAATTAATCATACCACCCAACAAAATGCAGGGAGAAGAACGCAGCATCAATTCTGTGATAATCCTGCCAAAGATCCATATTCTAAATCTAATCATGAAGAAATAGCAGACAAACCCACATTCAGGAACACTATACAAAATAGCTGGCCTGTAATCTTCAAAAGCATCACAGACATATACGCAAGTCAAGGAAAGACATGTGAACTGTTTCAGACTGAAAGAGACTAAACAATCCAAATTCCACAAACAAGAACAACAAAACAATGTATTATCTGGCCCCTTCCTATCTCCCTGGCCTAATTTCTTAGTACATGTTCCTTTAATAACTCTACTCTAGAGTTCTGGTAAAGTTCCTTTCCAACAACAGGGTCTTTGCATTTGCTGTTCACTGTGACTGATCTGTTCCTCCGCCAGATATTCACATAGAGATCCCAGGCTCCACATCTCTGTTCAAGAAAGCGTTCCCCGACTGTCTTACCTAAATTAGCCCTGTCAGTCCTCATCATTTTCTATTCCCTTATGCTGTTTACCTTTTCCAAAGAATTTGCTTCATTACATACTATTTATCTATTTATAAATTTACTTATTTGATGTTTCTGCTTTACTACAAAGTAAACTGCACGAAAATGGGCAAGTTATCAAAGCTTGTTCATGATTCAATTGACAGTGCTCAGCACAAGGCTGGCCAGGAGTAGATATTCAATATAATATTTGCAGAATTTATGAAATCTGGTTTCTTTGCCATAGTTATGAAATAAATGTTCTATAATGCAAATCCAGCCCCTTGGCCATTAAAGGAGAGAGGTGATTGCAGGGAGGGCCCGAGAATGGTGTAAAGCTCACTGAGGGATGGGGAAGATCAACGTGTTTAACAAACCCATTTCTAACCCAGCAAGTATAAAAGCATGCCCTTGGGAAGGGGGAGAAGAAATTCACCTGGTTTCTTCAAAGATAGCCCTGTAATTTCCAGTGCAGAAAACTGATGATGCAAAGAGGAGACTCTAAATTATTTCAGGCAGATGACCTTACCCAGTGACACCAAGTTACTATAGTTCTCCAACATTACATCCACGTACAAGTCCCTCTGAGCAGGGTCCAGGCATTCCCACTCCTCCTGAGAGAAGTCGATGGCCACATCCCTGAATGTCACCAACCCCTAAAACCAAAAACCCATGTATTACTTGTGAAATTAAAGAAAACATTTCCAAGAGGAAAAAAGAGGGTACAAAGGATGAACTACAAAGAGGGGGAGAAATATAACAATCGAGTAGGCTGAAAGCCTCTGATATAGGTAGGAAAAAGCAAGAAAATCTGTGACTAAAGCAGGATGTCAACATGTTCTACGAGAATCTTGTTATAGCAGAAAAAACTTCCCGGATACTGTGAGATAACTCAGCTATCCAGATCTGTCTGGTAATATATTTTAAAAATCTCAGTTTCTTCTCTGTTATATAAAAAGTGCCTGCGTATACATCATGCAGATTTACAATGTGCTATGTGCCTTCCTCATAAATTCTTTGTAAAAGTGAATTGCTCACCATCTTTCCCCTTTAAGAAATAAAAACAAGGCCAGGTGCAATGGTTCATGCCCGTAATCCCAAGCACTTTGGGAGGCTGAGGCAGGCAAATCACTTGAGGTCAGGAGTTCGAGACCAGCCTGGCCAACATGTGAAACCCCATCTCTACTAACAATACAAAAATTAGCCAGGTGTGGTGGCAGATGCCTGTAATCCCAGCTACTTGGGAGGCTAAGGCAGGAGAATCGCTTGAACCTGGGAGGGAGAAGTTGCAGTGAGCCGAGATTGTGCCACTGCACTCCAGCCTGGGTGACAGAGCAAGATTCTGTCTCAAAAAGAAAGAAAGAAATAGGAAAACATGAAAACTTTTTTCCAAATGTACTACAAAATCTTTATTTTATAAAAATGATTCCCATTAAATTAGGGACTATCAAGACTCAAATACATCACTGTTAGATTACATCATAAGCATTTTTTCTTATGATGAATAAACAGTATTTTTATTTGTTGCAATTCATTTTATCCTCCAATATATGAGCTTAGTCACTCAATTATATCTGTACATTTAGGCTGAACAAAATTTCTGTAGATTTTCTTGATCGTGGAAATATATTATCATCTAGACCTTAGGCATCATCTTATCTGTTACTATCAACTACCCCTCGCTTAGTACTTCACTTGTCCCTGAGTTAGAGAGTACTGATACAAGACACATGAGGATACTGATATAGGATATTGCACATGACACAAATGTCACTCATGGCCTACACATCCTGGTTGACGACAAAATGACTTCAAAGTCAACTGGTTCAAAATCCACTGGTGGTGGAGTCCTTTGGTGACTCCAAAGACCACTGGTCTTCATCTCTTAGGAAATTCCTGGGAAGAACCACTTAACTCCCCTCTCTCTAATCTGAAGCGCCTCCCAACACATGCAGCTTCACATAAACTGAGGTTGAGACCAAGCAACCCCAAAGTCCTTATCTCTGTGGAAAACTTGGGTCTATGGAGAAGTTCTATAGGTCTAAGGAAAATTAATGAAAAGATTCACACGCCCTAAAAATCACAGTATTTCATGGAGAGAAAAATACCAACTTACATCAGTCATGGTTCTGGAATTGCAAGAACTAATTAATGCTCCATGGGATTCCTCTATTGGTGAAGCACAGAATCCAGAAAAGCCAGAACTGGGGAGGGAAAACGAAGCGTTAAACCAGGTGTGCCTCAGTGATCCCATCCTGACTTACACTAATAGAAGATCTTATCTTCTCCATGCCTGCTTCTGCTACACACCCCACGCACCATTTATGGAATTCAAACTTTCACCTAAACCCCAAAGGTCTTCAGCAGGGAGGTTTCTGGCAGTGTCTGGTTCTGAGGATGTGAATCTGGACCTGGGATTCGACAATTCAGTCCTGCCCAGGAAATCAGATCATCCTCCTTCCATTCCTACCTCTCAGGAATACCTGTCATGGTCCAAGCTAGAACGTCCTTCATGGGCTCAGGACTGAAGGAAGTTGGTCAAAACATGGGAGCTGGACAGGCTGTATAAGGAATTCATCAGGAACCCAAAAAGCTGACTTTCTAATGCATATATCAGAATATTCATGACGCAGAACATCATGCAATGAGTACATGCTAACTTAGGGAAATAATCAAGATATACTCAATAGAAAAAGGAGGTTATGAGACTTATGATTACATTTATAAAATACATATATATCAATACAGAAAGACTGACAATCACATCAATAGATGAAAAAATGTTTAGAAAGTTATACATCTCAAGAAAGAAACAGGCCAGGTGAGGTGGCTCAGGCCTATGATCCCAGCACTTTGGGAGGCTGAGGTGGGTGGATTATGAGGTCAGGAGATCGAGACCATCCTGGCTAACACGGTGAAACCCCGTCTCTACAAAAATACAAAAAATTAGCCAGGCGTGGTGGCAGGCGCCTGTAGTCCCAGCTACTCAGGAGGCTGAGGCAGGAGAATGGCGTGAACCCGGGAGGCAGAGCTGGCAGTGAGCCGAGATCGCGCTGCTGCACTCCAGCCTGGGTGACAGAGCAAGACTCCATCTCGAAAAAAATAAATAAATAAAATAAAAAATAAAAAATAAAATTATATATCTATATATATTAATAACATTTATCTTTTCATTATGATCATAATGTTTTCTGTTTAGGTAATCCACACAATCATTGTAACCATGGCCATACATTACATGAACTGTATAATTTCTACATATGCCTATGTCTTGCCTAGAAAAAAAAAGGATGAAATTCCCCAAGTTATGCCATGTATATATTAATGGAATAATACTAATGGAATAATATTAATGAAATGATATTAATATATTCATGGCCTAAGTTGAGGAATTTCATCCTTTTTTTTCATTTTTTGAGGGGAGGTTTTATTTATTTTTTTGTTCCCCTTCCATTAATGAGGTTTTGATTCTACTTTTCTTATCTTGACTGATGGATTTATTTTGTATCTGAACCTGTCTTAGACATGGTACTCTCCAGATAACTGAATCCAGATAACTGAATCACCTGATCCTATTAGGCTCACTTTGCAACCAACATTAGTAGAATAAAAACTATAAAGTATAAACCTTACAGAATAAATTCCATTTGCCTCCAAATGCTTGATCATGGTTCAACGGTATTGCTTATAACTGCCTTCCTATGAGTTCCTAAAGCAGGTCCCCTGGATTGCCTACTGGCCTTTGTTGCTGACTGCTGGCTGCCTTATGCTTACCCCAAGGCATATTTGGTCTCCAAGGTAACAACTATGTCTTCCAAACACTGTATTACCCGCTAAGTACAAGTATCACAGGGTCAGGCATTTGGGGCAAATTCTTTACCCAAAACTTCACTTCTAGAAATGTATCCTTAAGAAATAGGTAAAGAAGGGCCAGGCACGGCGGCTCATGCCTGTAATCCCAGCACTTTGAGAAGCCGAGGTGGGTGGATCACGAGGTCAGGAGATCGAGACCATCCTAACATGGTGAAACCCCGTCTCTACTAAAACTACAAAAAAAATTAGCTGGGTGTGGTGGCGGGCACCTGTAGTCCCAGCTACTCAGGAGGCTGAGGCAGGAGAATAGCGTGAACCCAGGAGGCGGAGCTTGCAGTGAGCCAAGATCGCACCACTGCACTCCAGCCTGGGCGACAGAGCGAGACTCCATCTGAAAAAAAAAAAAAAAAAGAAATAGGTAAAGAAGAAAGAAACACACAAGATGAATACACAAGGGTACTCAACCAAAAATAATTTCTGGTAACCAAAAATGAGAAACTACGTAATAGTAAGCAAAAGGTTTAATAAATTATGGCCCACCATATCCTCATTAGTTATGATGGTGTTGGTTCATATTAATTGATGAAGAAAGACATGCATGATCAATTCCTTAGGCAGGCCGGTTTGTAACTAACATAATGTGGGAGGCATATTCTATTGAAATTAAGATAAAAGTTCTGGTGTGAGAGCTTTAGGATGTGAATTTGAGCTTGATAGTTATCCATTTCTCAATACCTCTGTTTCCTCATCAGTAAGACGGGTGAGAACAGTGTCTACCATAGAAGAGTAAGTAAGAAATCCATACAAAATACTGAATGGTATATGATAATTGTTTATAAGTTGTCTTTTTTTTTTTTTTTTTTTTTCAGAGACAGGGTCTTGCTCTGTTGCCTAGGCTGGAGTGTAGTGACACAAACACAGCTCACTGCAGCCTCAACCTCCTGGGCTCAAGTGATCCTCCTACCTCAGCCTCCATCCCCAGTAGCTAGAACCACAGGTGCACGCCACCTTGCCCGACTAATGATTCTTCTTTAAAATTGTTTGTAAAGAAAGGGTCTCACTGTGTTGTCCAGGCTGGTCTCGAACTCCTGAGCTCAAGGAATCCTCCTGCCTTGACCTCCCAAAGTGCTGGGATTACAGGTGCAAGCCACCAGGCTTGGCCACATTTTCATCATTATTATTGAAAATGAAGAATGTTACTGTCCCTTATCCTGTTATGCCAAAGAAACTTAAGGCTACTCTATTTTGCTCACAGTAAAATGTGTCTTTCTCAGACCTGCTTTCTTATAACGTGAACTCAAATTTCACAGGTCAACCTTGAGTCTGCTATTCTTCCTAAATAACAATGTGAGCAAAACAGGTTCTCAGAAACATATAGAGGAAAATACCCCTTCCTCCCAGAAGTTACATAGAGATTCAGCATCATTAAGCTGCATCAGAAAATACAACCTGATTAGGTATAAAGCTGAGAACTTAACCAAAGGCTCAGTCTTCTGTACAAATTGGTGGTTTACTTAAACATTTACAACAAGAACCTTCTTATTCTACCTCCTGGTATTTACACCTGTCCTTGGAAATATTATCTGTAAAATGTATTTTTTGTAAGATGGCTGTATATTGGAGATTATTGCCATTGTCTGTAGAGGTAACCTTTAAAATAATCTAATTCTAAAACTCTTTTTTGCCTGGTAATTCATTTTTAAATGACATTTCTATAATCCCAGAAGTTGTAAATATTTGAAGGTTTTCAAATAAGGGAATCACTAGTACTTCCCTCTTCTCCCTAAATATTCAAGATTAACATAAAACCTAGAACTGGGTTGGATTTTTTTTTCAAACTAAGAACTAAAGAGTCTTCAATTCATTTACATCACCAATTACTATAATTTTATTCTGCAGAAAAAAAGAAAAAAAAAACAGACCCATAGGCTCAAAGGAAAAAGGATTTAAATAAAAATATTCCAAAGTGCTGGGTGTGGTGGCTCACGCCTGTAATTCCAGCACTTTGGAAGGCCAAAGGAGGCGGATTGCTTGAGCTCAGGAGTTCAAGACCAGCCTGGGCAACATGGTGAAACCCCATCTCTATCAAAAACATGAAAAATTAGCTGGGCATGGTGGCACACACCTGTGGTCCCAGCTACCTTCCCTCTGAGGTGGGAGGATCGCTTGAGCCTGGGAGGTGGAGGTTGCAGTGAGCTGACATTGCACCACTGCACTCCAACCTGGGTGACAGAATGAGAAACTATCTCAAAAAAGAAAAAGAAAAAAAACACCAAAACATTAAAAATGATTAACTCTAGAGGATGCAATTTTTAGCTTCCTTCTCTATATGTCTCCTGGACCGCTGAGTTTTTTTTTTGGACCAAGCCTGCATTAATTCCATAATTGGAACTATAAAGACATTTCCAAATGTAAAAAACTGAGTGACAGGAGGAATATATTCCAGTCATTAAGAAAACTGAACAAACGGGGCCAACACTGAAAATCAGTGGGCCTGAAACAATTTACACCTACCAGCTCTCGAACATCCTGTAGCTGTTATTCAATGTAATGAGACACATTCACTGTCAAGATTCTCCTGTAAATCAACACAAATGAGATAAACCACCTTCAAAGTCTGAGGAAGAAAATAAATGTGCATAAACAAAACAGTATTTGGTATAGAGTAGATACTCTGTAAGTACGGCTGCACCTTTCCACTTCTTCAGTGAATGACCAATTAAAGTAACATTTTAATGTAATTCTTGAAATATGTCTTCCAAAACCGTGTCTTATCAGATGGGATTGACACATAACACAATATTCTTGAGCACTTTTGTTCATAACTATAATGATTGCTTAAAATTATATCATTTATATTTTTCCTTCCTTTGACTCTTTATAAACTTAATTTTTATTAGGTGCATATCATTCCATCACTAGACATACTGCAATTTACTTGACTATTTCCATTCTATTGGACACTAATTTTTTTTTTTTTTTTTTTTTTTTTTTAGATGGAGTCTTGCTCTGTCACTCAGGCTGGAGTGCAGTGGTGCAATCTTGGCTCACTGCAACCTCTGTCTCCCAGGTTCAACCAATTCTCCTGCCTCAGCCTATTGAATAGCTGGGTCTACAGGTGCACGCCACCACGCCCGGCTAATTTTTGTAATTTTAGTACAGATGGGATTTCACCATATTGGTCAGGTTGGTCTCGAACTCCTGACCTCAAGTGATCCACCCGCCTCGGCCTCCCAAAGCGTTGGGATTACAGGCATAAGCCACTGAGCCCAGCTGGACACTAATATTTTTCAAGCTCTTTCCCGGCAATTACAGTCTTTTTTCCAGAACAATGGAGCTAGATCTTTTTGGGTCATGGTCACTTTTGATAATCTCATGAAATTATAGACACTTTGCCCACTTAAAAAAACACATTTACACATATTTACAAAAATTTAGTCTCAATTTCAAGGGATTTTGGTCACCTGGAAGCTCGTCAATGGAACAAGAAGACCTCAGGTTAAGACTTCCTGTCGTAAGGCTGGGCACAGTGGCTCACGCCTGTAATCCTAGCACTTGAGGAGCCCGAGGCAGGCAGATCACTTGAGTCCAGGAGTTAGAGACCAGGCTGGGCAACATAGCAAAACCCCCTCTCTATAAAAAATACAACAAAAACTGGTCAGGCTTTGTGGCACGTACCTGTAGTCCCAGGTACTCGGGAGCCTGAGGTGGGAGGATCGCTTGAGCCTAGGAGGCCAAGGCTACAGTGAGCCATGATCATGCCACTGCACTCCAGCCTAGGCAAAAGGCCAAGAACCTGTTTAAACAAACAAACAAAAAAAGTGTTCCTGTCCTAGATCATTTGAGCATGTGGTCACTTTTTCGTGTCTGTGTGTGAGACAGTCTTGCTCTGTTACCCAGGCTGGAGTGCAGTGGCGCGATCTCGGCACACTACAACCTCCGCCTGCTGGGTTCAAGCAATTCTCCTGCCTCAGCCTCCCGAGTAGCTGGGACTACAGCCACCCGCCACCATGCCCGGCTAATTTTTTGTATTTTTAGTAGAGACGGGGTTTCACCATGCTGGCCAGGCTGGTCTCGAACTTCTGACCTTGTGATCCACCCGCCTCGGACTCCCAAAGTGCTGGGATTACAGGTGTGAGCCACCGTGCCCAGCCCCCACTTTTTTAGTTAATTTGCAAGCACCCGTCACAATCAACTTCATACTTCTGTTACTCTAATCTATAAAAAGTTTATGGGAAATAATCTAGAAGAGCCCAATAATAGCAACTCAATATTCAGTAAGCCCATATCATGGGGATGACACTGCTCTACGAAGCTTTACATATAATATCTCATCTTACATCATATCAACTCCATTAGGTAGGTACTATCCTGTCCCTATTTTATAGATGTGGCACAGAGGGCCTGAATCAATTGTCTAAGCACACACAGCTACCAACAGGCAGAGCCAGGA
Source organism: Homo sapiens (assembly GCF_000001405.40). Lineage (NCBI taxonomy): Eukaryota > Metazoa > Chordata > Mammalia > Primates > Hominidae > Homo > Homo sapiens. Next base: position 43,829,442 of record NC_000019.10, on the reverse strand, counting down.
TTTGAATTCAGATACTTTGGATCCAGAGCCTTAATTTTTTTGTTGTTGCTGTTTTTTCGAGATGGAGTCTCTCTCTGTCACCCAGGCTGGAGTGCAGTGGTGCAATCTTGGCTCACTGCAACCTCCACCGCCCGGGTTCACGCCATTCTCCTGCCTCAGCCTCCCGAGTAGCTGGGACTACAGGCGCCTACCACTACGCCCAGCTAATTTTTTGTATTTTTAGTGGAGACGGGGTTTCACCGTGTTAGCCAGGATGTTCTCGATCTCCTGACTTCATGATCCACCTCCCTCAGCCTCCCAAAGTGCTGGGATTACAGGCGTGAGCCACTGTGCCCGACCCCAGGGCCTTATTTTTAACTACAACATAGTACGGCTTCTTACATGCCACAGAAAGCTGGACTTCAAACAAGTCATGCTTGGAAATGTTACAGATTTCTATCTAAAGATTATCTGAAAGTCCCCACTCTTGTTGGTGCAAATTACAAATCCCTATGTTCAAAGCTCAATCATATTTCCACCCCTAAAAGCCTCACAAAGCAGACAACATTGTCATTTACTGCCAGAAACATTCCCTTACTTAAAATCCCTTATACCTTGCCTTTCTTTAAGCATCATGACTATGGGCCAGGCATGGTGGCTCACACCTGCAGTCCCAGCACTTTGGGACGCCAAGGCCAGAGGAACACCTGAGCCCAGGACTTCAAGGTTGCACTGAGCTATGACTATACTACTGCACTCAGCCTGGGCAACAGAGTGAGACCTTGTCTCTAAAAAAAGTTAAAAAAAAATTTTAATTATGACTACAGAAAAGATAAAAAATAATGTTTATATAACACCACCTAATTACTAATCTCTTCAAATAATCATAGTATAAAATAATGCTCTAATAGCAATCTACAAGAGGTGCCTTTCTATAACTCTTCAGTGCATCATAATGCACTGAAGTATTTGAACAATTTGCCATATGAACAGGTGGGTAAGAATTGTGGAGAAGAACAATAGGGGGCCACTGGGAGGAAATATGTACCAGCATGGCGGGTCATGTAACTGGGAAAACCCAGTCAAGATATTTCAGGCCAAGGAAAGAAAATGTTCTCATGACCTAGAAGCAAAGGTAATTGTATGTGTATGTATTTAAAAAGTATGTATAAAAAACCTCACCTGAACCTTGATTTCTAAACATGCAAAAATCCTTTTCTCCTCTTCAAACTCCTTCTTAGAAATCTGGCAACCTGGCAGCACTGGGGGAAAAAACAGTAACATGAGACATCAGCATTTCTAGCGCGTCACAGACTTAATTAAAAAAGAAAAAGAAGAGCAAAACACCCTCTGGGGCCACTTCTGCCTTCATCCACACAAAACCAAACGGAATGAAAAGGGAGGCTAGAGTCTGTCTCTGTGTTGAGGGCAATTCTTGGGGACAGAGGTCTGCTTGCAATGGCTCTGAAACATGTAGCTCACCACCAAAGAGCTCCTAGAGGCCCCTCTTCTAGGAATCCCACCTCTAGAACTTCCCCATCAGGTCTTGACAAGATCCTGTCCCGCGGACACTTCCAGATCTAAAATTCTCATCCTTCTTGCTTGAAACGTTCATTATGGGGCTTAGCATAGACTTCTTTCTTGCGGTCATTTAATTGTGGCAGGCCCGAAGACAGGCTAAAGGGAACCTAGAGCATTTGGTCAAAGCAAATCACATTTACAAATACGGCCACGCACCCTGTCAGCCCGTCACACATTCACAACTGCACCCACCTCCGTGGGGACACGCCCCGTCCCTGCCACGCCGTCTGAGACACACTGTCCCTCGGCTGCTCGCGTGCACACAGGCTTGAGGATCCGGACACGACACGCTCTGTCCGTGACCCAGCCCTCCCCACCTCCAGCACCCCCGATGCCACCCCCACCCTCACTGCCGGTTCCAGTCGGGCCCCAGTAAAGCCAGCCGAGCCCTCCCAGCTTCACCCGGGCTGATTACTTCTACAGACACGACCAACTCACCATGCAGAGTCCAAGAACCTTAAGGACACCGGAAAAGGACCCAGAGACCTGTGGTTAGTTTGGACCCAGAGGCTGATGGGAAACAAGAGCCTGGAAATGCTCGCAGGCTGGGAGAGGAGCTTCTGGCAGGCAAGCTCGCCCCGCCCCTAAAAGGCCTGTGCCCCGGAGACTTCTGGGAAATGTAGTCCACAGCGGCAGAGTCTCCGGAAGTTGAAACCTGGACAGCAGGGATGCTCCCAGCATGCAACTTGGCTTCACCTGTCAAAGGCGCTTTTTTCGAAGACGCCCGGGAGCTCTTGCTTTTGCTTGAGGGTCTTTGGTGTTGACTGAGAGCGAATTAAAAGGTTCTCAGCTTTCGCTAAGGAACGCATTCTGGAGTCTAGAACAGGCGAAGATGGGACTGGGGTGTCTGGGGACTTAGACGTGAGCGAGCAAGGGAATCCGGGGTAAGTTCGCTGGAAATGACCTGCGCGACACTACCAGTTTACCTGGGTATGAGCGCCTGGAACAGTGTCTGGCAATTGAACAGATGGGTGTGTCTTGCTGTGAGGGAGTTTCTTAGTTCGATTCGGTGTCTGGGACCCTGCGTGGACCTGTTTATGTTCATGGGATGTTTTCTAAATTTATGCCTGTGTGAGTCTGTTTTATTAGGTGTGAGATGAACTGTGTTACAGATTTTATATGCCGCTGTTGAAAGACAACAATAAGTGGTAGTGAGTGGATATTGTGACCGTGGAGACTTATGGCAGTGCAAAGGCGGCCATAAACAATGCACAAGCAATCCAGCATGGCTGTGTTCCAATAAAACTTGATGGATTATAAAATTTGAATCTCATTTTTTATAGAGTATGAAACCATTTATTCTGAAGCACACACTCATACTCCAAAAACAATACTATATATTCCCTCTCTCTCTCTCCTGTGTGTTTGCGTGTGTGTGTGTGTGGGTGTGTGAGAGAGAGAAAGGTTTTAAAGGAGACAACTAACTGATTCTGAGGTTAGGGCAAAAAGATTGGGGCTGTGGTTGGTGTGGTAAGAACCTTTGGATATAAATACTTTTTTAAAAAAGAATTGTCTAAAAATATTAAAGCGAAATTTTATATTAAAACTAACAGAAAGAAAAGGAAGTTACTTTTTAGGGGCTCTTTCTGGTCACTGATATCACCTCTCTCATCCTCTGCCATCTCTCACCTCCTGGTCTCTCTTGCTTATCAAGAGAAGACTAGAGCTCTTGGATCCCAGCTTTTCCCCTGCCTCAGCTGAGGCCACTACCCTGGTTGACTCCCATGGTGACATGGATGCCTCATCCAGTATCGTGGGTCTGAGTCCTCATCTGCAGGGTCCTTGAGCTTTCCTCGGCACCCATCCCCGTTTCCCATCTGGGACTTCATTATCATCAGCATCTGCTCCACCTCCAAAACCACTGGTGGAAGCAGCCTCCTCTCTTCCCATGTTACTTGCTCAATGACTCCCACAAGTACTACTCTGAATATTTTGGGGGTCTGATTTTTTTTTAATTTTTTATTTCCATAGGTTTTTGGGAAACAGGTGGTGTTTGGTTACATGAGTAACTTCTTCAGTGGTGATTTGTGAGATTTTGGTGCACCCATCACCTGAACAGTGTACATGGCACCCAATTTTTAGTCTTTTATCCCTCACCCCCTTTCCACCCTTTCCCCCAAGTCCCCAAAGTCCACTGTGTCATTCTTAGGCCTTTGCATCCTCACACCTTAGCTCCCACTTATGAGTGAGAATATACGATGTTTGATTTTCCATTCCTGAGTTGCTTCACTTAGAATAATAGTCTCCAGGCCGGGCATGGTGGTTCACACCTGTAATCCCAGCACTTTGGGAGGCTGAGGCAGCTGGATCACCTGAAGTCAAGAATTCAAGACCAGCCTGGCCAACATGATGAAACCCTGTCTCTACTAAAAATACGAAAATTAGCCGGGCACGCTGGTGGGTGTCTATAATCCTAGCCATTCAGGAGGCTGAGGCAGGAGAATTGCCTGAACCTGGGAGGTGGAGGTTGCAGTAAGCCAAGATAGCGCCATTGCACTACAGCCTGGGCAACAAGAGGGAAACTCCATCTTAAAAAAAAAAGGAAAAATAAATAAATCCAGGCAAATGCATTAATTCATTCCTTTTTATGGCTGAGTAGTATTCAACTGTATATATCTACCACAGTTTCTTTATCCACTCATTGATTCATGGACATTTGGGTTGTTAAGCATTTTTGCAATTGTGAATTCTGCTGCTGTAAATATGTGTGTACCAGTATCTTTTTTGTATAATGACTTATTTTCCTCTAGATACCCAGTAGTGGGATTGCTGGATCAAATGGTAGTTCTACTTTTAGTTCTTTAAGGAATCTCCACACTGTTTTCCATAGCGGTTTTACTAGTTTACATTCCCACCAGCAGTGTAGAAGTGTTCCCTGTTCACCGCATCCACGGCAACATCTATTTTTTTTTCCATTATAGACATTCTTTCAGGAGTAAGATGGTATTGTACTGTGGTTTTGATTTGCATTTCCCTGATCATTAGTGATGTTGAGCATTTTTTCTTATGTTTGTTGGCCATTTGTATATTTTCTTTTGAGAATTGTGTATTCATGTCCTTAGCGCACTTTTTGATGGGATTGTTTGTTTTTCTTGCTAATTTGAGTTCTTTGTAGATTCTGGATATTAGTCCTTTGTCAGATGTACAGATTGTGAAATTTTTCTCCCGCTCTGTGGGTTGTCTGTTTACTTTGCTGACTGTTCCTTTAGCCACGCAGAAGCTCTTTAGTTTAATTAAGTCCCAGGCCCTTTGTTTTTATTGCGTTTGCTTTTGGGTTCTTGGTCACAAAATCCTTGCCTAAGCCAATGTCTAGAAGGCTTTTTCCAATGTTATCTTCTAGAATTTTTACAGTTTCAGGTCTTAGATTTAAGTCCTTAACCATCTTCAGTTGATTTTTGTATAAGGTGAGAGATGAAGATCCAGTTTCATTCTCCTACATGTGGCTAGCCAATTATCCCAGTGCCATTTGTTGAATAGGGCGTCCTTTCTCCACTTTATGTTTTTGTTTGCTTTGTTGAAGATCAGTTGACTGTATTTGGGTTTATTTACGGGTTCTCTATTCTGTTCCATTGGTCGATGTGCCTATTTTTATACCAGTACTATGCTGTTTTGGTGACTATGACCTTATAGTTTGAAATCAGGTAATGGGATGCCTCCATTGCTTTGTCTTGCTTTGGCTATGCGGGCTCTTTTTTGGTTCCATATGAATTTTAGGGTTGTTTTTTCTAGTTATGTGAAGAATGATGGCAGTATTTTGATGGGAATTGCTTTGAATTTGTAGGTTGCTTTTGGCAGTATGATCATTTTTACAATCTTGATTCTACCCATCCATGAGCATGGGATGTGTTTCCATTTGTTTGTGTCATCTATGATTTCTTTTAGCAGTGTTTTGAAGTTTCCTCGTAGAGGTCTTTCACCTCCTTGGTTAGGTATATTCCTAAGTATTTTATCTTATTTTATTTTTGCAGATGTTGTAAAAGTTGTTGAGTTCTGGATTTGATTCTCAGCTTGGTCGCTGTTGGTGCATAGAAGAGCTACTAATTTGTGTACGTCGGAAACTTTGCCGAATTGGACTACATTTCTAGAAATGGATTCCTGAATTAAAAGAGATGCTTCTCTTAAATATTTATGTAAAGTTACTCTCAGAAAGGTTGTAAGTGGATTCCTCCCACCAAAAGTATTGTGAATGAATATCTTCTTAAAATTTACAATTGTTTTGACCATTTCCCAGTCCTTAAACCAATGATAACATTTTATTTTCTTTTTCTTTTTTCTTTTCTTTCTTTCTTTTTTTTTTTTTTTTTTGAGACAGAGTTTTGCTCTAGTTGCCCAGGCTGGAGCAATGGCACGATCTTGGCTCACCGCAACCTCCACCTCCCAGGTTCAAGCGATTCTCCTCCCTCAGCCTTCCCAAGTAGCTGGGACTACAGACATGCGCCACCAAGCCCAGCTAATTTTGTATTTTTAGTAGATATGGGGCTTCTCCATGTGGGTCAGGCTGGTCTTGAACTCCCAACCTCAGGTGATCCGCCCACCTCAGCCTCCCAAAGTGCTGGGATTACAGGCGTGAGCCACTGCGCCCGGCCTTTATTTTCATAATATTTCCATGTCTTTTATTTCTCATAAGCTTACATATGCATTCAAGTATTTATTGGTCATTTTCAATTTTTCCTTCTAAGAGTCTATATTCTTTACCTATTTCTACACATTTTTGTATTCATCTATATGTTGATTTGTTTTAAATTTATTATCTGTTTGTTGTATCTGAAATATTTTCCCTTAGTTTATTTGCTACTTAAATTTGAGGGAGGCAGGGAAGTTTACTGAAACATACTTTATATTTTCTATAATTTATTAACTATTTACTTCATAATTTGTGTTTTGGCTGTCAAGCCTACAGACCAAAATTATAATAACATCAATTTGTAATTTGATAAGCACTCTGGTAGTCTATTTTTAAGTTATACATGTCGTGAACATTATTTGTTTTAATGTGTGAGGGATGGAAGTTACTTTATTTTTCCAGGTGGTTAACTAGTTAACACAGATTATTGCTTTTCTGTAATACTTTTACTGAGATATAATTCATATACTCTAAAACTCACCCATTTAAAGTGTACAATTCAGTAGATTCTTTTTTATTTCTTTGAGACAGAGTTTTGCTCTTGTTGCCCAGGTTGGAGTTCAATGGCGTGATCTCAGCTCACTGAGATTATTGCTTTTCTGTAATACTTTTACTGAGATATAATTCATATACTCTAAAACTCACCCATTTAAAGTGTACAATTCAGTAGATTCTTTTTTATTTCTTTGAGACAGAGTTTTGCTCTTGTTGCCCAGGTTGGAGTTCAATGGCGTGATCTCAGCTCACTGCAACCTCCGCCTCCTGGGTTCAAGCGACTCTCCTGCCTCAGCCTCCCGATTAGCTGGGATTACAGGCACCTGCCATCACGCCTGGCTAATTTTTGTATTTTTTAGTAAAGACAGGGGTTTCACCATGTTGGCCATGCTGGTCTTGAACTCCTGACCTCAGGTGATCTGCCCACCTCAGTCTCCCAAAGTGCTGGGATTACAGGTGTGAGCCACCGTGCCTGGCCGAATTCAGTAGTTTCTAGTTTATTCAAAGAGCTATGCAACCATCATCACAATCAATTTTAGAACATTTTCATTGCCCAAAAAGACACCAATACCCACTAGCAATCATCATTTTCAGCCACTCCATGGGCTACAGGGATCTTTTCTGTTATTGCACTTGTTCTATATTCATATTTCATGTAATAAACATGCATTGCTTTTGTAATTACAAAGTAAAAAGAAAAACGTTTTAAAAAAAACTTATGTTGGGATTTTAAATTGATCCAACTGATTTCACTTTTTCTGATGCCACAATCAATTTCTTATTGTTTTACTTTTAATCACTCAAGTAATTCCATGTTCTAATGCTTTTCGGACCAGATCGGGAGCATTCAGAGTGGTATAGCTGTAGAGATGTTCTAATGCTTTTCAGTGAGGAGATAAAACAGAAATGAGGGAGGTCTATTAAGCTAAAGTAGTTCAGTATTTCAAGAAAGAGTACGTCGCTGAGATAGTAGAAGGCAGCCAAAAATCTTTCAAAATAAGTAATAAAAATATTTATTTGGATTTAGCAACATTCAGTTAATTGTTGCAGTTTTTAAATATTCAAATAACTGATGATAAATAATGTCAGAAATGAAAGTGTCCCCCTACTCATTCCCTATCTACAGAAATGACCAAAGTTAATATTTTCAGGTATTCTTCCAGATTTTTCTGTACACTGAATGTATGTATAAAGACACAGCTATTTTATACAGAAATGGGATCATGCTATCCATATAATTCTGCCATTTGCCCTTTCCACTTCAACACATTCTTCTACTTCATTTCATGTCAGTTATAGATTTAATTCATTCCTTTTAACGTTGAATTATTACCTAACCCAGCACTGTTCAATGTAGCTTTCTGTGATGTTAGAAATGTTTATATCCCTCTTGTCCAATACAGTAGCCACTAGCTGTCTTGGCTAATGAGCCTTTGAAACATGGCTAGTGTAAGAAACTGAATTTCGAATTTTATTTAATTTTAATAGATTTAATTTTAAATAGCCACAAATAGCTATCATATTGGCTAGCACAGACTAACAGTGTCTCAAAAAACGAACATTGAGGTTCTTCAGTATTACAATGTGAATTCTTCAGTATTACAAACACGGCTTTGGTAAGCATTACTGTACCCACATCTTTGTCTTTCATGCCAGCATTTTTGTAGGCTAGATTCTTGTATGTAAAAATGCTGGTTGCTTAGGGGTTTGCTTTCACACTTCGTGAATGCTACTACACAAAACTGTAAAAGAGCTGTAGTCATTTCCACCCACTACGTGTGAAAGCTCTCATTTCCCCACATTCTCAACAATATTGTGTACCATCTACATTTTTAGTTTTTGAAATTTGATAACTGAAAACGAAGTATGCCATCTGTTTCCGTTATCAGTTTATTGCTCTCACCTCCGCACGCACTCTTCAATATACGCTCCCTGCTAAAGGGATTCCCCCGAAGGGTTCCTGCGCCTACGCACTCGGAGCACAGGTTACAACTTCCAGAAACCCTTGGGACGCGCCGTCCCAAACTTGGGTTTCTGGCGTCTCCTGCGTTTCCGGCCCGGGACTACAATTCCCACAGGTCACTGGGCCGAATGAGCGTGCGCTCCTGATCCGCTTTGCGCATCCCAGTGATTCTTGGGTTCCGCGTGTAGTTTCGGAAGGAGACATCGAAGCAGGGCGAGGCGCAGAGGGCGTTGCGGACTCATGCCCCAGTCGGCAGTGCGGGTAAGGGTGGGAGAAGCAATGAGGCGAATGCGAGCAGCCGAAGAAGGCGACAGTGTGGCTGGGTATGAAGACTTGAGGGAGGGGGTGGGGCAAAACGAGGTCAGGCGTCTCCCTGGCCGCGTGTGATGGACCGTCCGTGGTGGTGACAGACATGGTGTAGGGGGTGTGTGCAATATTATGTGCGTGATAGAGCCAAGGATGTGCCCTACCGTGCGAATGGTGACGTTGCGTCTGTATGAGAGTGCACGTGCCACGGCTGGGATGTCTTGTGACACAGGGAATGGGGTGTGTGTGCATCTGTGCACATGAAATGGCCAGGGTATGTCTTCGTGACTGCATGTGTGCTCATGACACAGCAGGTGTGTTTCTCTTTGTATGACAGACTGTGTGTATGTGTCAAAAAGAAGAAAGTGCTTGGTGTATGACAGGACTGGAATGAATCTGTGACTGTGACACAAGTGTGTGGGTTTGTGTGTAGAGTGACAGCTGGAGTGTGCCCTAGACAATCGAGCTTTCCTACAGGAATGGTGAAGTCTTTTCCTTCTCTAGCTACACAGTATTGTCCAATAATTGAAGTTTTTAGGACCCAGAAGTTGCTAATTTGGGCCTTCTGAACTGGAATTGGGTCAGGAACTGGATCAGTGGGCACCAACTCTCTAGCTTCCCAAGGCCATCAGTCTCCCATAGTGGTTCCCTCACATACATAACAGAAAGTAACATTGAGGAAATGAGCTACACTTTCCGCTAGCTGGAGAAACAAGTTCTTTTGTCCTTTTTGGAAGCTCTGGTGTTGGCAGATTCGGCTCATCATAAAAAGTTTGAAACACTGGTTTGGGAGAGTGCCTGTGTACCTCCCCTCAAACTAAAAAGGCAACTTGGGGGTTTAGCCCTGACCCATCGATCTCCAGGGTTACACGTTCTCCTTTTTTCCAACGGGGGTCTAGGGGATTAGTGGGTCATGAGTTAGAGGCCTGTGAAAATTGTGCCTATTGACCATGTGTTATTTAAGCTACTTAGAAAAAGGACAGAAAAGACCCGGTTCACCTTCAGAAAAAGGAAGCCAATCCCTCCTGTGCTACCGGTCACTGTAACCCGCTAGAACTAATAATCACTAATCTCCTAGACCCCTCGGGAGGCTGAGGCAGGAGACTCGCTTGAACCCTGGGGGTGGAGATTGCAGTGAGCTGAGATCATGCCACTACGCTCCAACCTGGGCAACAAGAGCAAACTCCATCTCAAAAAAAAAAAAAAAAAAAGAAGAAGAAGAAGAAGGGAAAAATGAAAAGAATGAAGGCTATGTCCAACTTGAAGTTAGAACACAGAATAATAGAATAAATACAAAGAAAGTTGGTTGAGGTCAACAATAAGCACAAGTTAAAGAAATAGAAAACACTGATGCAATAGAGGCTAAATGCCAACAACTGCTTATTTGAAGTGATCCATTTCTGAGATAATTAAAAAATAGATTATTTCAAAAGATGAATAAAAAAGAGAACAGGCACAAATAATATTAAGAAAGAAAAAGACTACACAAGAATAGAAAATATTTTTTGAATTAGAATAAATTTGAAAACAGATGAAATGGTCAATTTCCTAGAAAGCTATAACTTAAAGAATTGACAAGAAGAGACAGAAACTTTTAATAATAGACAATTAGTCATTAATGATACAGCATCAGTAGTTTAGAATTTAAACTCTAATCATCACCAGGCTCAGATAATTGCATGCAAGAGTTGAATTAAGAAAGAGTTCAGACACATCTTATGTGTCACTTCAGATCCTCTCAGCCTCACCTGTGCCTGGGGCCTCTGGAAACTTGTTTCTCTTGATTCACTGCTGCAGCAACATCCCTGCATGAACTCAGAACAACTCTACATGGGCACAAGCAGCAACGAAACCTGACCTCATGCCTGCAATGGGCACTACTTGTCTCAAGCCCCAGGGCTTTCCTGTTGATGCTGATGCATGAGACGTTACAGAACCCATTGAACTATTCACACGCGACCTGGAAGTACAGCGGAGTTAATAGTCTCTGGGACAAACATTTCATGAACCAGTGGATGAATTCACCTCCCTTCTTCTCCTCAGCTAGGTGGTCTTAAAACACAAAATTAAACAATCAATTACACTTGATAGCAAGCAGTGGCCAGCTCAGTAAGACCTTCATACAAGTGTTGTCTCCTTCCCTACCACACTATACTTTTCCCTCTCTCCTGCTTCCCTGGAACTGTACCGGCTGATAAAATAATAGCACAGAAACTTCTTCTCAGGGTCCTCCCTGTAGGCAATGTAAGCTAAGAGGAGTGTTTCCAGGAGAGACCCTCAAGATCCTTGTGATAGGATTTCAAGCTTGTTACTTATCCATGTTTGGCCCAAGTCTGATCTCACAGTGAGTTCAGTAAGTCCATGAACTCACCCTATGGTTGTTTTCCTCTATCCTTTAACATATATTTGGGATAGATATGCTCATCTTCTGGTAGAACTCATTATAGTGGCTTCCTAACTTGTGAACTAAGAGTACTTATGGGCTGGGCGCAGTAGTTCATGCCTGTAATCCCAGCACTTTGGGAGGCCAAGGCGGGTGGATCATGTGGTCAGGAAATAGAGACCATCCTGGCCAAAAAGGTGAAACCTCATCTCTACTAAAATAAAAAAATTACTTGCGTGTGGTGGTGCACACCTGTAATCCCAGCTACTTGGGAGGCTGAGGCAGGGGAATAGCTTGAACCTGGGAGGCAGAGATTGCAGTGAGCTGAGATGGCGCCACTGCACTCCAGCCTGGTGACAGAGTGAGACTCCATCTCAAAAAAAAAAAAAATAAATAAAGTCCTTATGGTATAAAGAGCCAAGTGGAAACCCTTGAAACTCAATACTGTGCTGTGGGAGGAATTGCAGAGATTGCATCATCATCAAAATTTAGAGGATGCAGGATTATTTGTCCCTATCATACCTCCATTCATTTCACTTGGCCCCTGCAAAAAACCTGCATGACTGAAGCTAGTGGATGTGGTAGATTGAAAAAAAATCCCACAAATTCTTCCCATTCCTGTGTGTATATTCTTTGCAACATGACTTTGCAGCTCTTCCCTTCAAAGGTGGAGTCAATTTCTCCACTCCTTGAATCTGGGAATGTGCATTTGATTTTCTTTGAGACAGTAGTAAATGTGACATATAGAGGTTTGAAAAACACTCACTGAATGGAAACTGCTTTCTTGTTGCATTTTGAACCCAGCTCCCATGGGTTCATGCAAGCGTGAACTAGACTGAGGGATGATGAGAAACATAAGGCCAAGTCATTCTCATGCCCCCTCCCCCACAATAACCAACCAACCATTAGAACTTTGAGTGAGGCCTGACTATACTATGCAGCTGCAGCCAAACCAGCCCAGAGCAAAAGAAATGCTCAGAAAGCCCCCAGAATTGTGAGAAATAATATTCGTAATTTCAAGCCTCTGAGTTTTGGGGTTACTGATTGTTTTCGTCTGTTTTCATGCTGCTGATAAAGACATACCCAAGACTGGGTAACTGATAAAGAAAAACAGGTTTAATGGACTCATAGTTACACATGCCTGGGGAGGCCTCACAATCATAGCAGAAGAGCAAAAGAGAACAAAGAGACATCTTACATGGCAGCCAGCAAAGAGAATGAGAGCCAAGCAAAAAGGGTTTCCCCTTATAAAACCATCAGCTCTGATAATACTTATTCACTATCATGAGAACGGTATGGGGGAAACCACCCCCATGATTCAGTTATCTCTCACCGGGTTCCTCCCACAACATGTGGGAATTATGGGAGCTACAATTCAAGATGAGATTTGGGTGGGGACACAGCCAAACCGTATCACTTATTATGTGGCCAAAGCTAATTCATAGTGACTACTTTAAATGTAAACAAATAGCAGCTCCAATTTCAGCTGCTATGTCAGATGTGACATCTTTACTGGAGTTGACCAACCTAGTTTTTGGTCCTTAGTATGTGCTTAATGATCTGACAAATGTATTTTACTTGATCTCTGACATTTAGGAGAATTAAAAGCCATTCATGTGTGCATGGTAAGGACTGCAGCACTGTCTTGCCCCAGGTTCCTGATAACCCTCCTAATCTCCGTCATATTGTAGTCCACAGAGGCCTTGATCATCTTTACATTCTGAAGAACATAGCACTGGTTCATTCCACCAATAAAATCATGCTAATTTGACCTGGTGATCAGGAAGTGGCAATCACTGTAGAAGCCATAGTAATGCAAATGAGTGACAGAAAGAGGGAGATAAACCTCATGAATGTTCACTAACTTACCACATCAGTGAAGATTTTAGAAGTCCAATCATCTGGGACATGCCATAGTATCTCCCTTAAGGTAAAGAATAAGTTATTACAACTCACACTTCCTAAACTGATAAACAGGCACATAATTTGGTAGGGCTCTTTGACATTTGAAAGTGATAGATACATGATAGGTAGATAGATAGATAGATAGATAGATAGATAGATAGATAGATAGATAGAGTGGGGCGTGGTGGCTCACACCTGGAATCCCAGCAGTTTGGGAGGCCAAGGCGGGTGAATCGCTTGAGGTTAGGAGTTCGAGACCAGCCTGGCCAACATGGTGAAACTCCATCTCTACTAAAAATACAAAAATTAGGCATGGTGGTGCACACCTGTAGTCCCAGCTACTCAGGAGGCTGAGGCAGGGGAATCGCTTGAAGTCGGGAAGCAGAGGTTGCAGTGAGCTGAGATCGCGCCACTGCACTCCAGCCAGGGTGACAAAGTGAAACTCCGTCTCAAAAATAAAATAAAATAAAATAAAAATAATAGATGGGTATATATAGATGTGTGTTTATATATAACATATATGATTTATATGATACATATATAAATCACACTTCAGAATAGTGTTCTTTTTTTCTCTTTTTTTAATAGTTCTAGGTGTCTTTTATAGCTGGTTTTTGGTTTTGTTTTTGTTTTAGACAGAGTCTTGCTCTATTGCCCAGGCTGGAGTGCAGTGGCATGATCACAGCTCACTGCAGCCTTGACCTCCCTGGCTCAAGTAGATCCTCCCACCTCAGCCTCCCGAGTAACTGGGACTACAGGCACATGCCACCGTGCACAGCTAGTTTTTAAATTTTTTGTGGAGACGGGGTCTCCGTGTGTTGCCCATGCTGGTCTCAAACTCCTTTTTCTTTCTTTCTTTTTTTTTTTAGAAATAGGTTCTCACTATATTGCCCAGGCTGGCCTCAAACTCCTGGCCTCAAACAATCCCCCCACTTTCGGCCTCCCAAAGTGCTGAGATTACAGGCGTGACCCATCATGACTGGCCTGGAATTTTGTTCTGACTCATTTTTCAGATAAACTTGAAGGCTGCTGAGTTTCAAAGCAGGTGAGAGCTCTACAGCAGGTAAAGCCTGCGATGCAATCTCCCTGTCCCTGAGCCACATGAATCAGCAACTTTGATGGTGTCACCTCTATCCATAATGGTTGAAGCTGTTATGTGGAGTCTCTGGCAAGATACAAAAGCAAAATTACAGCCCGTAAGGTTCTGAAGTAAGTCCATTTATTATGCAGCATATAAGTGCTTTCAATTTGAAAACCAGCTGCTGAGTACTAATAGAGTCTGTGATTTTGACCATGGGACATCAAGTATCTATATGACTAAAACTACCTGTCATGAGTTGGGTATCTAACCCACTAAGTCATAGTGCGATTTGGGCACAGTATTAATTCATTGTAAGAGATCTAGATGGCACAAAAGAGTTACACACACAGACAGCTCAGACTCTCATGTCACTGACCTTGGTTGCAGCTATGTTGTTCCTTTAATTCACATTCATGACATCATATGAAGATTTTCCTGTAGAATATTAAGGAAGAAAAGGTCTGGCTCACAGATGGATCAGTGTGACTGATGTATTTTGGAAGCTGAACCTAAATTATCATATTACGGGACCACTACTCAGAGGTGGGTCCTACAGGCAGTGGTGAAGGTAAATCCTGGTGTACAGAGCTGTGATTGGAGATCTTCACTTCATTTGTTTGTTTGTTTGTTTTAGAGACAGGTCTTTCTCTGTTACCCAGGCTGGAGTGCAGTGGCAGGATCATAGCACACTGCAGCCTCAATCTCTTGGGTTCAAGTGATTTTTTCATTTCAGCCTCCCCAGTAGCTAGGACTACAGGTGTGCACCACTACACCTGCTAATTTGTTTTGAATGTTTTGTAGAGATGGGGTCTCCCTATGTTGCCCAGATTGATTTTGAACTCCTGGGCTCAAGCCATCGTCCCGCCTGAGACTCATAAAGTGCTGGGATTACAGGCTGAGCCACCACACCTGGCCCCTTCACTTAAATTGGAGTGAGATGTGGCCCAATGTGCAGATATACATGGGCTCCTGGGAAATGGCCCATGGCTTTCTGTTTGGTCAGGATCTTGTAAGGAATGAGACTGGAAGCTCAGGGGCAAGTAGGTCTAGGAAGAAGTATGTGGATACATTTATGGGCGTACATACAAAATGCATGCATATATGTGTCTCATCCTAATTCCTACTAAAAATAATCCTTGGTTGGGCACAGTGGCTCATGCCTGTAATCCCAGCACTTTGGGAGGCCGTTGCAGGCAAATCACTTGAGGTCAGGAGTTCGAGACCAGCCTGGCCAACATGGTGAAACCCCATCTCTGCTAAAAATACAAAAATTAGCCGGGCTTGGTGGTGTGCACTTGTAATCCCACCTACTCAAGAGGCTGAGGCAGGAGAATCACTTGAACCCGGGAGGCAGAGGTTGCAATGAGCCAAGATTGCACCACTGCGCTCCAGCCTGGGCAACAGAATGAAACAGCGTCTCAATAAATAAATACATAAATACACAAATAAATACAACAATAATCCCCACAAAGAAAGCTCTTAACAACAGGGATGATCCATCCCATGAAAGTAAGTCAGTCCATCTCCTCAGCCAGCCCCATGCTGGTTCAATGGTCTCATGAACAGAGTGGCCATGGTGGCAAGGGTGAAAGCTATGCCTGTGTGTTAGTCTGTTTGGCATTGCAATAAGGGAATGCCGGAGTCTAGGTAATTTATAAGGAAAGAAGGTTATTTGGCTCACAGTTCTGCAGACTGTACAAAAAGCATAGTGCCAGCATCTGCTTCTGGTGAGGCCTCAGGAAGCTTACAATCATGGTGGAAGACGAAGGGGGAACAGGTGTGTCACATGGCAAGAGAGAGAGCGAGAGAGAGACGGTGGAGTTCCCAGACTTTTTAACAACCAGATCTTGCATAAACTCATTACTGTGGGAGGGCACCATGCAGGGGCTACCTTTCACTGAAACTAATCAAGTTACCGCCGCTACTGAGTACCCAATCTGCTAGCAGCAGAGGCTGATCCTGAGCACTTGATATGCAACTGCTTCTCAAGGAGACCAGCCAGCTACCTCATAGTAACGTAATTACACAAGACATCTCCTGAATGGGGCAGGAATTTATTCTTACAGTGTCCTTAATATCTTTATGAGGTCGGAGGTGGGACTTGATTCCGGAGGTGGGGCTCAGACACCAGACCTAATTGAGGACCAGCTAAAACAGGGCCTGGGTGGAAGCAGCTTTCCATAAGACACTCCCGCCAGTGTGCCATGTCAGTTTACCATTGCCATGGCAATACCCGGAAGTTACCACCCATTTCCATGGTGATGACCTAGAAGTTACCACTCTTTTCCTAGAAATGTCTGCATCATCTGTCCCTTAATTTGCGTGTAGTTAAAAGAGTATAAATTTGACTGCAGAACTGCCTTTGAGCTCCAAGAAATCTGGTTAAATGTTGTGGCTCAAACCTACGATTTCCTTGTGGGTAAAAATGAATGTTTTTAAATATTTTAATTAGTTGGCCTTGTAGGTCTTCCCTGCATGTTCTTTATCACTGTCACAATTATTGTGTGAATGTGAGATGAACGATCAAGTTTCAAGTTATTTAGCCCTTTAAAAATAGTCTGAAAAGAAGGGAAGGGAAGAATTGAATTGGAGAAAGACCCTTGCCTATGCCAGAATTTATATTTAGGAGTGAAGCAAAAGATGTCTGCAACTTGCTTTTAATGGTTCAACAGTAATAGACAAATAATAGATGATAAAGATGATAATGATGATAGATAGCTGGATGGATGGATAGATAGATGATAGATTGATAGATAGATAGATAGATAGATAGATAGATAGATAGATAGAAAAAATAACCACAAATCATTCCCCTCCCTCTATCCACACCTTTTGTTAGTGTCCTTCTGCACTGACTCTGGGATACCCTGGTGACTTGCTGTGGCCAATGGGACATGGGACATTAGCAAACATAACATAAGCAAAGGCATGAAAAGCACCTGCTTATTAGGGGTTGCTCTTTTTTGCTCCCCTTTGGAACGTTGCAACTCCCATGTGATAAAGTTCAAGCTAGCCATTTGGAGGAGAACTGAGGCCTGCCTGACAGCCAGTCTTGTGAGTGAGACCATTCTGGGTCATCCAGCCACCACCCAACCCTCCAGCTGACCACAAGCACATGACAGAGCCCAGCAGAAATCAGTCAAGCCAGCCCATATCAGAAGAACAACCCAAGAGACACACAGGATTTGGAGAGGGGTAAAATGCTTGATGTTTTAAGCCCCTACATTTTGCTTGTGGTTTCCTATGCACCAGAGGCTGACACAGAAGATAGAGATAGAATAAGCAAATATGGCAAATGTTGACAATTTTGATCCACATAATTGCTATATGGATGATCAATGAGTCTTCCTGCCTGCCTTCCTCCCTCCCTCCCTCCCTTCCTTCCTTCCTCCCTCCCTCTCTCCTTCCCTCTTTCTTTCTCTCTTTCCTTCTTTCTTTCTTTCTTTCTTTCTCCCTTTGTCACCCAGGCTAGAGGGCAGTGGCGTGATCTCTGCTCACTGCAACCTCCGCCTTCCAGGTCCAAGCCATTCTCCTGCCTTTGCCTCCCAGGTAGCTGGGATTATAGGTGCCCACCACCACATCAGGCTAATTTTTGTATTTTTAGTAGAGACAGAGTTTCGCCCTGTTGGCCAGTCTGGTCTTGAACTCCTGACCTCAGGTGATCTGCCCGCCTTGGCCTCCCAAAGTGCTGGGATTACAGGCGTGAGCCACCGTGCCCAGCTGATGAGCTAATTTTTCAACACTTTCATACCTTTAAATTTGTTTGCAATAAAATTTAGAAAAATCACCTTTATTTTCATGATGTCACGTTTCTCAACTATTCCATGTTATCCATTTTTTTTTCCCTCAATCTCCTGGGCTCAAGCTGTCATAGTCATCCTGCCTCAACCTCCCAAATGCTGGGATTACAGGCATAAGCCATGGCACCCAGCCCCATGTCATCCTATATTTCAAAGTTAATCTGTGAAACCTTGCTTATATCAAGTTAACTCAAAATATTCACCTCTCACCTTTTATTTAGAGCCTTCTCCAGGCTCTAAATAAAATATAAATACAAAGGATATTTAATAATTCTTTATGAACATATTTTAAAGCTGTATTAGAAACTACACAAATGCTGCCAAAGAAAGGTGTTTGATCACGCTGTGGGTGGTCTGGTATATATTTACTATTATTTAAAAAATATTTTTCTGTTAGGCTGGGCGCAGTGGCTCACGCCTGTAATCCCAGTCCTTTGGGAGGCCGAGGCAGGTGAATCACCTAAGGTCAGGAGTTCAAGACCAGCCTGGCCAACGTGGTGAAACCGCATCTCTACTAAAAGTACAAAGAATTAGCCAGGCGTGGTGGCAGGCCCCTGTAATCCCAGCTTACTTGGGAAGCTGAGGCAGGAGAATCACTTGAACCCAGGAGGCAGAGGTTGCAGTGAGCCAAGATCGCTGCATTCCAGCCTGGGCAACAGAGCGAGACTCTGTCCAAAAAAAAGAAAGAAAGAAAGAAAAACGGAAAGAAAGGAAGGGAAGGGAAAGAAAGGGGAGAGGAGGGGAAGGGAGGGGAGGGGAGGGGAGGGGAAGGGAGGGGAGGGGAGGGGAGGGAACGGAAGGGAAGGGTAGAAACTAGCAAAATTAGCCAGGCACAGTGGCATGCAACTGTGGTCCCAGCTACTCAAGAGGCTGAGGAGGGAGGATCACTTGAGCCCAGCAAGTTGAAGCTGCAGTGACCCATGATGATGCCAGCGCACTCCAGCCTGGGTAACAGAGAAAGACCCTGTCTAAAAAAAACACACGACTATATAACATCAGTAGCAAGACAAGCATGTTTACTCTCATTAATTCTATTCAATCATGTACTGGGAGTTCTAGCCTATACAATAAGGCAAGAAAAAGAAAAAAAAGGCATAAAGATTGGAGAGGAAAAAGTAAAATGGATTTTGTTTTGCAGATGCCATGATTCTACTGTCACCATGTGCAGTTGTTCATGTTGGGCACTGCACAAGAACACTACACCTAAGGAGGTGCTATTCATATCACAGACATCTTTACTATTTTGAAAACAACTTTTTGAAAATTATTATGTATTGTGCATGCTATTGACGGTTGCAAAAGTGATTTACAATTTATTGCAACTATGTTCCAGCAGATGGCAGTAAAGTGTCTTGTTCCAAGAGGGTTGGTAGCTACCATTCTACTTCCATATACTAAGGAGACATTGGTTTTGAAATGGAAAGACGTGTTGATTTTATGTCATTTAAAATAGTCTGTGCTTCTAAACAATGAGCTGCTCTTCCACCTGATATGCAGAACATTTTGTTAAAGTCCCTAATGGTGCCAGCACATTGTCTGTATTCAGTATTTCATATTGCAGTTCATATTTTCATCTAATTATTTACTCTACCAGACTGGAATTGTTGAATTCTATGTTTAAATCTACAAGTCCTGGCCAGGCACAGTGGCTCACGCCTGTAATCCCAGCACTTTGGGAGGCCAAGGCGGGTGGATCACCTGAGGTCAGGAGTTGAAAACCAGAGTGACCAACATGGTGAAACCCTGTCTCTACTAAAAATACCAAAAATTAGCCCAGTGAATGAGCCGGGCGTGGTGGCAGTCGCCTGTAATCCCAGTTACAGAGGCTGAGGCAGGAGAATCGCTTGAACCCGGGAGGCGAAGGTTGCAGTGAGCCAAGATTTCGCCATTGCACTCCAGCCTGGGTGACAAGAACGAAGCTCTGTCTTAAATAAATAAATAAATCTACAAGTCCTTTCACTTGGCACAAATCACTGTATAATAATATCCGGTCAGGTGCAGTGGCTCACACATGTAATCCCAGCACTTTGGGAGGCTGAGGTGGGCAGATCACGAGGTCAGGAGTTCGAGACCAGCCTGCCAACGTGGTGAAACCAAGTCTCTACTAAAAATGCAAAAATTAGCCGGGTGTAGTGGCGGGCGCCTGTAATCCCAGCTACTCGGGAGGCTGAGGCAGGAGAATCACTTGAACCCGGGAGGTGGAGGTTGCAGTGAGCCGAGACCACGCCGTTGCACTCCAGCCTGGGTGACAGGGCAAGACTCTTGTCTCAAAACAACAACAACAATAACACAACAAACTAATATCCGGTTACCATTAATCATCCACAAAGAATGTGTGTGGGTTGAAATTAAAGAGTATTATGCAAGTCTGTTAATTATACTATTATAGTAGTTGCTTATTATTGCTTTAGAAATTTCATCAGTATAAAAATAAACTTATGAAAATTTAATGATTTGTTGCCTACATAGTATTGTAAGATGCTAAAATTCTAAGATAAAATATTAACCTTATTCGATGTCTATCAAGGACAAAAAATAATCAGGACCAGAAAATGGAAAGCTATTATGAAACAAAGTGGATCATTGAATGAATTTTTGAGAAAAACAAAGTTGCAAGGGGAAAAAATTTCCACAGCTGCTATTTTGGCAGAATGTAGCACAGATCCATTAATTATTGAGCAGAACAGACCATGAATTTACTCCTTCCACTTTTGGGTAAGCCAAGAAAAGAAAATTCAAGAAATAACTGGAAGACAGGAAAAATGGAGAATAAACGAACCCTTTAATTACATGTTCTTTTCGTCAATCCAGGTACCCAGCCACCTAATTTAAATATTAAACTCTTTAGATGTGAATATTTAAATATTAAACCCTTAAATTTAAACTCTTAAAAATTATTCACCTTAAATAAGAGCAGTTAGGCTGGGTGCAGTGGCTCACGCCTGTAACCTCAATGCTTTGGGAGGCTGAGGCCAGTGGATCAGTTGGGGTCAGGAGTTCGAGACCAGCCTGGCCAACATGGTGAAACCCCGTCTCTACTAAATATACAAAAATTAGCCAGGCGTGGTGGCAGACACCTGTAATCCCAGCCTCTCCGGAGGCTGAGACATAAGAATCACTTGAACCTGGGAGGCAGTGGTGAGTCAAGATCACGCCACTGCACTCCAGCCTAGGCAACAGAGTGAGACTCTGTCTCAAAAAAAAGAGCATTTAACTTCCAAAAGACAGTAACGGTAGACAGAAAAGTAGTTTCACATCAATTTTTTCAACTGAGGAATAAATGACCAGATCAGGTAACTTTGTTTAATCTCAAAGGATTCTGTAATTAATGTTTATTTCAAAGAGGTGGAAAAAATACACTGGAGATGGAGAAAAATACACTAAAACAAAGAAATGAGTAGAATGTGGTGGATGCTGTGATTTGCCACCAAGATCTCTTTAGGAATGAAGGACTCTGACAGCTGCTTCTGATGTCAGCCCCTTGGGCATTGCCTCAGCTGATCAGAACCCAGAAGCCCAGTGCCAGACCTCCCCCTGGGGTGCACTGAACCCTTGGATTGACTGAATCAGGACCCAATCTCACCCTCTGCTCAAAATCCAGTTTCCTTTGCCTCCTTTATGCAGCTATTGATCCCAAGGTCCTGCATGCTAATCTCAGCCTCACAATCTGCCTCCCAGGAGAGCCTAGCCTGCAACAACACAGGTGAGCACAGCTATCACAAATTATTTGAAAATTAGAAGGTGGGCCAGGCGCGGTGGCTCACACCTGTAATCCCAACTCTGGGAGGCCGAGGCAGGCGGATCACCTGAGATCAGGAGTTCGAGACCAGCCTGGCCAAAATGGTGAAACCCCATCTCTACTAAAAACACAAAAATTAGCTGGGCGTGGTGGCAGGCGCCTGTAAATTCAGCTACTACTCAGGAGGCTGAGGCAGGAGAATCGCTTGAACCTGGGACACGGAGGTTGCAGTGAGCTGAGATCACACCATTGCACTCCAGCCTGGGTAACAAGAGCGAAACTCTGCCAAAAAAAAAAAAGAAAAAGAAAAGAAAAGAAAAGAAAGAAAATGAGGTGAGGGGCACTTCCACAAGAGCGTGCAACATTCAAAATGATTTGATATAATAACCAAAAAAATTCAAAGCAGGGTCCCAAACAGATATTTGTACAGCCATATTCATAACAGCATTACTCACAATAGCCCAGAGGCGAAACAACCCCAGTGTCCATTGATGGAAGGATGAATGAATAAATAGAATGCGGTGTATCCACACAATGGGATATTGTTCAGCCTTTAAAAGGAAGGAAATTCTGACACATGCTACATACAACATGGTTATACCTTCGGGACATTATGCTAAGTGAAATAAGCCAGTCACTAAAGGACAAGTACTATATGACTTCACTTATATGAGTTATCTAGAGCAGCGGTCCTCAACCTTTTGAGCACCAGAGACTGATTGTGTGGAAGACAATTTTTCCATGGACCTGGGGAGTGGGGGATGGTTTCAGATGATTCAAGAGCATTACATTTATTGTGCGTTTTATTTCTATTATTATTACATTGTAATATATGATGAAATAATTATATAACTCACCATAATGTAGAATCAGTGAGAGCCCTGAGCTTGTTGGGTTTGTTTTGTTTTGTTTTGTTTTGTTTTGTTGAGACGGTGTCTTGCTGTGTCGCCCAGGCTGGACTGCAGTGGTGTGATCTCAGCTCACCACAAGCTCCGCCTTCCGTGTTCAAGGATTCTCTTGCCTCAGCCTCCTGAGTAGCTGGGATTACAGGCGTGCCCACTATGCCCAGCTAATTTTTATATTTTTAGTAGAGATGGGGTTTCACCATGTTGACCAGGCTCATCTTGAACTCCCGACCTCAAGTGATCCTCCTGCTTCAGCCTCCCAAAGTGCTAGGATTACAGATATGAGCCACCACGCTTGGCCCACTGAGCTTGTTTTCCTGCCACTAGATGGTCCCCTCTAGGGGTGATGGGAGACAGTGACAGATCATCAGGCATTATAATCTCATAAGGAATGCATAACCTAGATCCCTTGCATACGCAATTCACAATAGGATTCACGCTGCTATGAGAATCTAAGCCACTGATCTGACAGGAGACAGAGCTCAGGTGGTAGTACAAGTAATGGGGAGAGGCTGTAAATACAGATGAATCTTCCCTCCCTCACCCACCGCTCACCTCCTGCTGTGCGGCCCCGTTCCTAACAGGTACTGGTACCAGGCCCCGGGGGTTGGGGATCCCTGATCTAGAGTAGTCAAATTCACAGAAACAAAGTAGAATGATGCTTGCCAGGGGGTGTGGGGAGGAGGGATAGAAGAAAGGGGAGTTGTTTGATGGGTAAAGAGTTTCAGTTTTGCAAGATGAAAAGTTCTGGATATTGATTGTACAAAACATGAATACACTTGATACTACTGAACTGTAAAAGAAAATTAAGATCTGATTTGAAAGAAAGAGATATTGATGCTGCAGGAAGAATGCATGTGAAAACAACAAAAGAGGCCAGGTGTGGTGGTTCACGCCTGTAATCCCAGCACTTTGGGAGGCCGAGGCGGGTGGATCACCTGAGGTCAGGAGTTTGAGACCAGCCTGGCCAACATGGTGAAACCCTGTGTCTACTAAAAATACAAAAATTAGCCAGGCATGGTGGCAGGCACCTGTGATCCCAGCTACTTGGGAGGCTGAGGCAGGAGAATCACTTGAACCTGGGAGGCGGAGGTTCCAGTGAGCCAAGATGGCGCCACTGCACTCCAGCTTGGGCAACAGAGTGAGACTCGGTCTCAAAAAATAAAAATAACAAAATAACAAAAGAATATATTGGCATACAATCTGCATGATCCAATTTTTGACAAGGTCATGACTAGAGTTCCAAAAGAAAATTCACAATTCTGATAATGTGTGAAATAACATTTATGCAGAACATGAGGACTGGAAGCAAGGGATGACCCACATTACTTAGGGAATATCTTAAAACGCATTACAATTATGACTTGTTTGATTAATGGAATCATTTCCAATAAGGCAAGAAATACTAAATACTTCTCAACTATTTGGGCCACAAACCCTAGAAGGTACCCACATTTAGTAAACTGCTTATGAAAATCAAATATGAAAAAAAATTTTGAGAGGCCAGATGTTTGCAAACATGATTGGAAATGGAACCATGCGTGGAAACTGATGGAATGCAACAGAAGATCCTTGAGAACATTCTAAGGCATTCAGAATTCTAAGGCATTCAACAGACTCGTGAACACTCAGACACCAGGCAGATGAAGACAGCCAGATGGATGCTCCCAAAAGGTACAGGGAGCTGACACTTCAAAGTCTCCAAAAGTACCTGAATGATACCAGAATCAAAAGTGCACACAGCACTCACATACTCATGCATTCACCAGACTGGTCTGCCTACCCTGTAAGCCTCAATCCCTGAAACTGACAACTGCTGTGAAGACCTTCAGTGCCTCCACCTTCCACGGGGGCTTCAGAAAAACCATCCTCCTTCCTGGCCAGACTCCACTCTCCAGAGACCCCCGAGCACAACCCTGCCCCGGTCTGGATAGACCCCCACTGAGAGCCTGGGGCAGAAACTGGAGAATCAGGAAGGAAGAATAATTTGTATGCAAAACAGGTTCTGGGAAGTGAGGCCTGATGGGAAGAGGAGGGATTTGGCAAGATGACAGTAAGGGAGGACATAGTTTGGTGAGTGTCCATAGTGGCTGCTGTCAAAGAAAAATTGCACAGGCAAGGCAGACTTTATTCAAGGAGATTGCAATAGGGAAAGAGACTGAACTCAACTCCACTGAAACAAATATGCTAGGGTGGTTAAGCCCTAGGTGAGTTAATGGAAAAATATTGGAGGACAATGGGGGAGGTGGGTCAATGGGATGTGTCCATCACATGGAGTTATTCTGTCAATGGGATGTGTCCATCACATGGAGTTATTCCTGAGTCTGCAAATGTTTTTCTCTGTGATTGGGCCATCTGAGTTTGCTGATTGTCAATTATCAAAGTGAGGCTCCTACCCTCCCACAGAGACTGGGCGATAGGGGTGCTATCTCCCTTGATGATTTCAAAGGGATAATTCCCAGGTCCTTGAAAAAGACATTCCTGGGTTGTAACGCTGGCAAGAGACCAGGAGAAGATTTACCTACATTTCAAAGGCGCAGAGAAGGCCGGGCACAGTGGCTCACGTCTGTAATCCCAGCAATTTGGGAGGCCGAGGCGGGCAGATCACTTGAGGTCAGGAATTCAAGACCAGCCTGGCCAACATGGTGAAATTCTGTCTCTACTACAAATACAAAAATTAGCCAGGCATGGTGGCACATGCCTGTAATCCCAGCTACTCGGGAGGCTGAGGCAGAAGAATGGTGTGAACCTGGGAGGCGGAGCTTGCAGTGAGCCGAGATCACGCCACTGCACTCCAGCCTGGGCAACAGAGTGAGACGCCGTCTCAAAAAGAAAAAGAGAGGGGGTGCGGGGGGAGCAGAGAAAGAATTTGCAATTATATTTGGCCCTCTGTGTCTATGGGGTTCTGCATCCACAGGTTCTACCTCCACGCATTCAGTCAACTTTGGATAAAAAATATTTTGAAACCAAAAAACAATAAAAAAAATAGAAATAGAAAACAATACCGAGGGATGACTGTACAAGTTTTCTAAAGTAAGTGTCCTACAAAAAGCGTGATCCAGGGCCGAGAGGAAGAAACCTGTCTAAAGTTTAGTCGATCTGAGGGGACCATTAAGGCTCTTTTGGTCACCAGTGTTACGTGGACTCTGCCATCCAGATGTGGGTCTGAGACTCTGGGTGTCTGCACATGGCTGGTGCCCACTCTGTGGCTAGTATCCACTAGCCTGATCCAGCAGGCAGCATCTCCAGGCAGCAAGAAGTGAGACAAACCAGGAGGTGCTAGCCTGGGGTCTCTGCCTCAGCACCAACCACCTGCTGGGGCCTCCTCTGGACCTCCTCACCTGCTGAGTGTCTGAGCATCCACATGTGTCTGCCTGTGTCCTCGGGGGACAGTGACCCTCTGGTTGTCTGCTGTATCTCCATCTTCTTGATTTCATTCATTTAATAAATGTTTCTGAAACACCTGGGGGCATGTCGTGTCTATCGGGGTGTCCCTCTTCACCTCTAGGTTTGTCTGTGTGACTACACAGTCACATCTGTTCACAGCAGGCTGTGTCTGTCTTTCTGCATCTCATGTGTAATTGCTTCCTCGAAGGCACACTCTCTCTCTCTCTCTTCCTCTCTCTCTGTTTCTCTTTTGTGTCTGTCTCTCCCTGTATGTCTCTTGGTGCCTCTCTGTTTGTGTCTTCATTCATTGATTCATTCGTTCAGTCATACGGTATCTCAGACATTCCTGGAGGCCCCCGAAGAGTTCACAGCCCGGTAGGGGAGACAGACGCTAGCCCAGCCTAGTTTGATCAGGGCTGGGAGACAGGAAGGTGCTGGAGGCTGAGGGTGTGTGGATGAGTGGGGAGATGGGGTTCAGAGAAGGTTTAGATGATGGGACGATGAACGTGTCTTTGGGTGTGGAGACATCCCAGGATTGGAAGCTGTGTGGGTGGTGTGTGTTGGGGTAGGGGGAGGGAAGGGAAGTCAAAAGGCCATATGTGCCACCCTCAGATTAGAGCAGAGTGCTGGGAGGGGTGAAGGAAGAAGGCCAACAAGACACCAATCATTCAAAATTAAGGGTTCCAGACTTCTAGTTCTCTCCTCCCTCAGACCCAGAAGTGTAGATCTCCAGCAACTGAGGATCACCCTGTTTCCATCACGATTACCTAGGAAGAGACCCGCCCACATAGGGAG
The DNA here is from genome assembly GCF_000001405.40 of Homo sapiens. NCBI lineage: Eukaryota > Metazoa > Chordata > Mammalia > Primates > Hominidae > Homo > Homo sapiens. The sequence goes on along the minus strand of NC_000019.10, from coordinate 43,802,499 downwards.
GGTGGGACGAAGAAATACTGGCCAGGCTGGGTGGCCGGGATGCTTAGGACTCAGTAAGGAGAACCAGCCAGGCAGCACATCACAGCGGGAGGAGCTGTCCCAGGTGGCCCAGCTCAGCAATGGCAATGGGGGTCCCCAGAGTCATTCTGCTCTGCCTCTTTGGGGCTGCGCTCTGCCTGACAGGTACGCAAACTTCTGAATCCAGTAGTGAGAAGGGGCAGGTGGCCTGGACTCCTAGATCTGAGGGAGGAGAGACTGGGGGCCTGGACTCCTGGGTCTGAGGGAGGAGGGGTTGGGGGCCTGATCTCCTGGGTCTGAGGGAGGAGGGGGCTGGGGGCCTGAACTCCTGGGTCTGAGGGAGGAGGAGGCTGGGGGCCTGGACTCCTGGGTCTTGGTGGGCAGGAGCCTGGAGGCTATGTCATTTTCATTTCTCTTCCCTGCCTTTGTTCTTCTCCCATCAGTCATTTTTCCTGGTGTCTCTCTTCCCACCATCCCAGCCTTTCTTCTCTTCCTTGCCCAACCCCCAATTCAAAGGTATTTCCAGGGAGCCCTCAGGACTCTTTCCGAAACTGGCAGAAACCCTGGCTTCACCTTCAGGCAACCTCTACCCCATTGTGGGCTAGGACAGGAACATAACTCATTTCAGAATGGAAGTGGTTACAAAGACAGGGAATTAGAAATGTAGAAAGGAGGCTATTCCTGCACACAACCAAATCTGTGTGTTTCTGCTCCTTAATGGGAGAGAGTTTGATTTCTGTATGTGTCCAGGTTCAGTATGTCCTATGAGTCTCTGTGCTTGTGTGTGTTTCTCTGTATAGGTTTTAAAGTCTTAGTCTGAACAAATGCGTTTGTGGGTCTGTTTCTGAGTTTGCTTTCTTTGTAAAAGAGATGCGTGTGTAATTTTGTGTATCTGTGTCTGTGTTTATGTATCTGTGATTTGTAAGCCTATATTTATCTCTATGTATATATGCTCAGTTTTTGTTTTTTGTTTTGTTTTTTGAGACAGGGTCTTGCTCTGTCGCCCAGGCTGGAGTGCAGTGGCACAATCACAGCTCACTGAAGTCTTGACCTCCTGGGCCCAAGCAATCCTCCCACCTCAGCCTCCTGAGTAACTGTGACTATAGGCATGTGCCACTGCGCCTGGCTAATTTTTGTATGATTTTGTAGAGGTGGGGTTTCACTATGTTGCCCAGGCTGGTCTCAAACTCCTGAGCTCAAGCAATCCACTCACATCAGCCAATGAGACTGGCCTTTTTTCTTGTGGTTGTTTTTAAAATAGAGATAAGGTCTCACTCTGTTGCCCACACTAAGGTGTAGTAGCACAACCATGGCTCACTACAGCCTCAAACTCCTGGCTCAAGCAATTCTCCTGCTTCAGCCTCCCAAGTAGTTGGGCCTGCAGGGGGACACCACCATGCCTGACCAATTGTTTGGGCCTTTTGATGTGTTTTTTTTTTTTTTTCTCTCCATGTATCTGTGTTACATGGGTCTATACATTTTGTATCCATATGTGATTTTGATTTTTTTTTTTTTTTTGAGACAGAGTCTCCCTCTGTCGCCGCCCAGGCTGGAGTGCAGTGGCGCGATCACAGCTCACTGCAACCTCTGCTTCCCAGGCTCCAGCAATTCTCGTGCCTCAGACTCCTGAGTAGCTGGGACCACAGGCGTGCACCACCATGCCCAGCTAATTTTTGTATTTTTAGTAGAAACGGGGTTTCACCTGTTGCCCAGACTGGTCTCTAACTCCCGAGTTCAGGTGATCCTCCTGCTTCAGCCTCCCAAAGTGCTGGGATTATAGGCATGAGCCACCACCCCTGGCCTCCATATATGATTTTAAACTGTATGTTTTTGTGATCTCATTTTCCTGTATCTCTAAACATCGCATAATTGTGGCCTCTGGTTTTATTTGTGCTTCTGTGATTTGGGACCTCTCTGGGTATGATTTTCTGTGCATCTGGTCCCTCTCTGTGTTGATATGGTTATCATACAGGCACAAGCATCCTCACAGACATACGCTTTGTGTCTGTGTGATTTTCCATGTGTGAAGTGCTGTGCCTTAGTTAGGGAGGTTTATATTGCAGGGTCCAGATGCGTACTTGTTTTGTGTGAGAATGTAAAACTCTGCCTGGGTGCATTCAGGATATTCTGTGTATATTTGTGAGACTTGGATGAACCTGTGTATGTGTTGTTATTGTGTGTTTATGTCAGTTTGTGTGTTGCTGGGGCTGATGTATGGGTTTACAGGGCACTACAGGACCACACTTCACTCTACCTGTCCTGGAGTGCATGTTTCTTGTCAGGGGTCTCTTACTGTGCTGTCCACTTTGTGAGTTAAGCTTGGGGAAGGATGGGCAGAGCAAGAATGAATCACTTTTCCTTCCTATTCTAAGTCATAGCTAGGGAGAGGGCTTCCTGGAAGAGGGTGGAGACCTGGAGTGTCCTGGAGGGAAAAAACTGGACTGTCAGCTGCAGAGAGGTCATTACTCTGCCATGAGACAGACACAGCTGTGACCAGCTGCAATAGCAGCACCTGGTCTCTCAAGGCGTGTCTTCCCTGGGAGCAGAGGGGCCAGGCCCGTGTGCCTGTCATTTGCTGGGTGGAGCTCTGAGTTCCTGGGACAGGCTCACACTGGCCCTGCTGACTCTGCCACGCCTCTCTCCCCAGGGTCCCAAGCCCTGCAGTGCTACAGCTTTGAGCACACCTACTTTGGCCCCTTTGACCTCAGGGCCATGAAGCTGCCCAGCATCTCCTGTCCTCATGAGTGCTTTGAGGCTATCCTGTCTCTGGACACCGGTAAGGAGCGGGAGCCGGGGGACAGGGATGAGAGATTAGGGAGGAAAAAGGGGGGAGAGGGGAGCAGAAAGGGAGGGGAATTGAGTAGAAGATGAAAAGATAAAGATAGAAAGATGGGGAGGGAGAGGAAGAAGAGGAGGAAGAAAAAGAAAAGGGTGGATGAGGGCTGGGGCAGTGGCTCAGGCCTGTAACTCTAGCACTTTGGGAGGCAGAGGCTGGCGAATCACGAGGTCAGAAGTTTGAGACCAGCCTGGCCAACATGGCAAAACCCCGTCTCTACTAAATATACAAAAAGTTAGCTGGGCGTGGTGGCGGGCACCTGTAATCCCAGCTACTCGGGAGGCTGAGGCACGAGAATCGCTTGAATCCGGGAAGCGGAGGTTGCAGTGAGCCGAAATCGGGTCACTGCACTCCAGCCTGGCGACAGAGCGAGGCTCCGTCCTCCGCCCCACAAAAGAAAAAGTGGATGAGGGACGAGCGGTGAGGGGAGGAAACAATGGGGAAGCAAGGAAGAGAAGGTGGGAGAGGCGCACAGGGAGGAAGAGTGGAGGAAGAGAAGAACTCGGGGGAAAAGGTCTGGGGGTGAGAGGAAGGAGGGAAGGAGGGAGGGGAGGAGGTGTAGGTGAAAGTGAAAGGATAGAGGGAGGAGGAAGAACGCTGAGACTGGAGGGAGAAGGGTTTCGGGAAGCAGAGCACGAGCCCCGATCCCGCCCCCAGGGTATCGCGCGCCGGTGACCCTGGTGCGGAAGGGCTGCTGGACCGGGCCTCCTGCGGGCCAGACGCAATCGAACGCGGACGCGCTGCCGCCAGACTACTCGGTGGTGCGCGGCTGCACAACTGACAAATGCAACGCCCACCTCATGACTCATGACGCCCTCCCCAACCTGAGCCAAGGTGCGCGGGAGAGCGGGGCTGGGCTCCGGGAGGGACGATGAGAGGCCTGGCAGCCTCGGGGAAGGCGTGGCCTCCGCTGGGCGCCTGCTCTTGGCGCGCTAGGATCCCAACCCCCGAGACGTGCTAGGCGCGGGCTCTGGCGCAGTGCGCAGCCCGCACGACTGTGCCAGGGTACCACTGCCTGAGTGTGCATCTACGCTCTCTTGCCAGCACCCGACCCGCCGACGCTCAGCGGCGCCGAGTGCTACGCCTGTATCGGGGTCCACCAGGATGACTGCGCTATCGGCAGGTCCCGACGAGTCCAGTGTCACCAGGACCAGACCGCCTGCTTCCAGGGCAATGGCAGAATGACAGTTGGTAAGGGGCTGGAAGGGTGGAAGGGCCTGGGCAAGGGATATGGAGGCAGGGCAGCCATGAGGGTAGTGATACCAGACAGGCCCAACAGGGAGACATGGCCCTGCTCTGAGGTGGGAGGCATGACCCTGGTCTGAGGGAGAAGGTTTGACCCTGGTCTGAGGGAGAAGATTTGGCCCTGGTCTGAGGGAGAAGATTTGGCCCTGGTCTGAGGGAGGAGGCATGACCCTGGTCTGAGGGAGGAGGCATGACCCTGGTCTGAGGGAGGAGGCATGACCCTGGTCTGAGGGAGGAGGCAAGACCCTGGTCTGAGGGAGAAGCCTGGCCCTGCTCTGAGGAAGGAGGCCATGCCCTGGTCTGAGGGAGGAGGCATAACCCTGGTCTGGGGGAGGAGGCATGGCCCCTGGTCTGAGGGAAGAGGCATGGCCCTGGTCTGAGGGAGGAGGCACGACCCTGTTCTGAGGGAAGAGGCATGGCCCTGGTCTGAGGGAGGCCTGGCCCTGGTCTTAGGAGGAAAACCTGAAGCAAGTCTGAGGACCGAGGCATGGCCCTAGCTACCAAGGTGAAGGTTCAGGTGCAGCTGTCTCCCTCAGTTCTGACCGTTCCTCACTGCTTTGCCCACCTCCAGGCAATTTCTCAGTCCCTGTGTACATCAGAACCTGCCACCGGCCCTCCTGCACCACCGAGGGCACCACCAGCCCCTGGACAGCCATCGACCTCCAGGGCTCCTGCTGTGAGGGGTACCTCTGCAACAGGAAATCCATGACCCAGCCCTTCACCAGTGCTTCAGCCACCACCCCTCCCCGAGCACTACAGGTCCTGGCCCTGCTCCTCCCAGTCCTCCTGCTGGTGGGGCTCTCAGCATAGACCGCCCCTCCAGGATGCTGGGGACAGGGCTCACACACCTCATTCTTGCTGCTTCAGCCCCTATCACATAGCTCACTGGAAAATGATGTTAAAGTAAGAATTGCACTCCTGTCCCTCTGGCCTTCCATCTCTCCCGCCCTTGTGCCCCACAACCTGGCCAACAGTACTGGAAGAAACTGGACACAGTCACCAGCATCCCCGGGGAGGGCAAAACAGCCATGTCGTGCCCCGATGAAGAGCAATTCTGATCACAGCTGTTACTCACTGAGCACCAGCCAGGCACCAGGCACCCCATAACACGGCTTCCTGTGCTCTCCCTCCAGAGCCTGTCGCAGCTCTAGGAGGGAGCTATACAATGATGTCTTTATTAGTGTCATCATGAGAAGCCCAATAAGCAGTATGCCCTAACAGTTAGTAGGCCAGGCTCTGGAGCTAAGCTGCATGGGTTCAAATCCCAGCTCCACCATTCAGCCTGCAGAGACCATGAGCGAGTTACTTAAGCCAGGCTCTGGAGCTAAGCTGCATGGGTTCAAATCCCAGCTCCAGCATTCAGCCTACAGAGACCATGGGTGAGTTACTTAAGCCAGGCTCTGGAGCTAAGCTGCATGGGTTCAAATCCCAGCTCCACCATTCAGCCTGCAGAGACTGTGGGTGAGTTACTTGAGCTCTCTGTGCCAATATTTTCTCACCTATAAGGTGGAGGTGAAAATAAACTCTATAACATGACAAGAACTACTTCACAGTAGTTGCAGTGAGGATTCAACGAGATGAACATTTAGTACTTGGGACACAGCAGTGGCCCAGTGTAAATGGGCTACTTGTCATAAGCCCTAAGTCACAGGTCAACAAACTGAGAGGCAAAAGCACTTGGTTGAGCTTGTGTATCTAGTGAGTATGGATTCAGGGACCAGATTCCCAGCCCCACGAACTGCTAAGCAACCCCACCTCCTAAACACATGAGTGCCGATTAACTTCACAGAAAAACACACAAGGCAAAGTTCAGCGAGGTGAAATTCTCCAAGCTATAAAGATCAGGGAAGACTTCCTGGAGGAATTCACCCTTGAGCAAAATCCTAAAGGATCAATAGTAGCTGGCAAAAAGAAGCAGGAGGAAGCGCATTCTAGGTAGAGGAGACAGCCTGGACAAAGGTCTGAGGGAGGAAGGAGCACAAGGAGTGCAGGACACTTTCATGAGTGCAGGACACTTTCATAACTGCATGAACTTCATAGAGATGGGATCCTTTAGCATGTTCTCTGTGCACATGCTTGACCATGTTCTTTCACATGCTTTTTGCCACTTGATCTTTCCAGCAACTCAGTGAGAGAAGCAAAAAAGTAAGTTGCATCCTGCTATTGTCTGAATGTTTGTGTCTCCCCAAAATTCATCTTTTGAAACCTAATTACCAAAGTGATATTACTGGGAGGTGGGGCCTTTGGGAGGTGGTGAGATCATGAGGGTGGAGCCCCCATGAATAGGATTAGTGCCCTTATAAAAGAGGCCCTGGAGAGCTGCCTTGCCCCTTCCACCACATGAGAACACAGCCAGCAGGTGCCTATAAGCAAGAAAGTGGGTTCTCACCAGCCATCGAATCTGCTGGTGCATTGATTGCAGACTTCCCAGACTCCAGAGCTATGAGACATAAATTTCTGTTGTGTATAAGCCATACAGTCTATGGTATTTTGTTACAGCAGCCTGAAGGGACTAAGACACCTTCCTGTTTTACAGACAAGATGCCCAAAGCACAGTGAGAGAGCAATTTTCAGAGTAAGTGCATAGCAAGAGTAGACTCCCGTGTCTTCTCGCTCCATGTCAGCAAGTAGACTTGTGGGAAGGGGGGCAATTCAGAAACACTCCGCTCCTATGCTCCTGTAAGGCCATGTGACAAGGGCTTCAGGTGTCTTTACATCCTGACATACAAGGGGAAGCTGGATGTCTTCATTCATCCTTCACATTTACTGAGCACCTACTATGTGCAAGGCACTGTTCCAGTTGCTGGGCATGCAGCAGGGAACTAAAGTGGCAAAAATTCCCACCTTCAAGGAGCTAGCCTTTTTGATGGGCTAGCAATCCAAAGCGAACTTTGGATTTTGCTTGTGTATTTATTAGAGACAAGGTCTCGCTCTATCCCAGGCTGGAGTGCAGTGGCACAATCAGCTCACCGTGGCCTCAATCTCCCAGGCTCAAGCAATCCTCCCACCTCAGCCTCCCTAGTAGCTGGGACTATAGGTGTGTGCCACCACACCCTGCTAATTTTTGTATTTTTCATAGAGATGGGGCCCCCACTATGCTGCCCAGGCTAGTCTCAAACTCCTGGGCTCAAGCAGTCCTCCTGCCTCAGTCTCCCAATGTGCTGAGATTACAGGTGTGAGTCACCATGCCCAGCCAGATTTTGGATTTTATTGCAAATGTGGTCTGAAGTTGGGATGGCCAGTTTGATGTGTCAGCTTACCTATGTGACAGTTCCAGTTATTCAGTCAAACACTAATCAGTGTGTTGATGTGAGGGTATTTCGTAGATGTGATTAAAGTCCATAATCAGTTGACTTTGAGGAAGGGAGATTGTTCTAGACAGTTTGGGTGGGCCTGACTCTATCAGCTGAAAGGCCTTAGGAGCAGAGATGAGGCTTCTCTGAGGAAGAAAAAAACTGCACCTATGGACAGCTGCTTCAGCCCATGCCTGAGATTCCAGCTTGCTCTTTCTGACCTGCCTAGCCAGGCCACATAAGCCAATTCTTTGCAATAAATCTTATATTATAGATTGTCTACTGGTTCTGTTTCTGTGGTTAATCCAAGACTAACACAGAATGTGTTGGAGCCAGCGTGGTGGCTCATGCCTGTAATCCCAGCACTTTGTGAGGCTGGGTTGGGCGGATCACCTGAGGTCAGGAGTTCAAGACTAGCCTGGCCAACATGGTGAAATCCCGTCTCTACTGAAAATACAAAAATTAGCCGGGCATGCACCTGTAGTCCCAGCTACTTGGGAGGCTGAGGCAGGAGAATCACTTGAACCCAGGAGGCAAAAGTTGCAGTGAGCTGAGATCATGCCATTGCATTGAAGCCTGGGCAACACACAGAGACTCTGTCTCAAAAAAACAAAAAAAAGAATGCGTTGGAGAAGTAGAAGGCTGCCATAATCATATATAAGGGTGTATGTGTGTGTGTGTATGTGTGTATATATATGTTGTATGTGTATATAATTATATGCACATATAATTACATGTAATATATGATATAACATTTTCATTGAGGTATAAAATATATACAATAAAATGCATAAATTGCAATTTTTCCATATGTACATACCTGAATAACCTCCACCTAGGTCAAGATGTAGAATATTTCCAGCCCATGTCCCCAGAGCCTCCCTCATAGCCCTTCAGAGTCAGTTTCCCACCCCAAGGATAACCATGACTCCAACTTCTATCACAGATCAATTTTGCTTATTTTTAAACTTCATATGAATGGAATCCTACAGCATGTGCTCTTGTGTACATGCTTTACATTTTAAAAGCTTCCCTGTGGCAAGAATGGAAGCTAGACCTGTGAGGTGGCTACTGCCCCAGTCTAGGCAGAGATGATATACCTAGGCAAGAGATGATGGCAGAGGTAGTGCAAGGAGTTGGAAAATGAATAGATTTTTTAAAAATTTAGCTTCTCCTTAACAGGCTGCAAGGAATAGGTTTTATTAGTGGAGAAGACAGGACCTGCTGATATATTGGTTGAGGAGTACTTGAGATGACTCCTAGGTTTCAGCCTGAGGAACAGGGTAAATAGGTTTCAGCCTGAGGAATGGGGAAAAAAGGAATCGCTCAGCTTCATAGTAATCTTTCTTCTTCTTCTTCTTCTTTCTTATACAGAGTCTTGCTCTTTCACCCAGGCTGGAGTGCATTGGCACGATCTCGGTTCACTGCAAACTCCGCCTCCCAGGTTCAAGCAATTTTCCTGCCACAGCTTCCTGAGTAGCTGGGATTACAGGCATGAGCCACCGCGTCTAGCTAATTTTTTGTGTGTGTTTTTAGTAGAGACGGGGTTTCACCATGTTGGCCAGGCTGGTCTCAAACTCCTGACCTCAAGTGATCCACCTGCCTCAGCCTCCCAAAGTGCTGGGATTACAGGCGTGAGCCATCACACCTGGCCAGCTTCTTTATAATCTTATGGTGCCACAGTGATGATAAAGGCAGTCCGTCGTTGGCCAAGGGGTTGTTAGGCAGTGTATGACTGTACTTCTGAGATAGAAGATTATCCCTGAGGCATGGTGGCCAAGGACTCCTGTGAGATGAAATACATGAGCAATTGGCAGTTCTTTGTCATGAGAATGATTCAAAAACTTCTAAAAGCTTATACTTGACAGCTCTCACTAAGTAGAACAGGGGTGCACCGACTGCCTTAGAACTCATAGTATGGGGGGTCCAAGTGAAACTGTGGACTCGGCTATGTAGCTGCTTGGGTATTGCGACCCAGATGCCTTCCTGAGTGCTTAGCAGAGAGGGAGATGCCTTTCAAAAGTAATTATGGTTTTGGACCATAAATTTCATTTTATTTATTTATTTTTTAGACAGAGTCTCACTCTGCTGCCCAGGCTAGAGTGCTGGAGTGGCACGATCTCGGCTCACTGCAACCTCCACCTCCTGGGTTCAAGCAACTCTCCTGTCCCAGCCTCCTGAGTAGCTGGGACTGTACAGATGCATGCCACCACATCCGGGTAATTTTTGTATTTTTAATAGTGACAGGGGCCAGGGGGAGGGGGAGCTTTCACCATATTGGTCAAGCTGGTCTCAAATTCCTGACCTCAGGTGATCCACCCTCCTTGGCCTCCCAAAGTGCTGGGATTACAGGCGTGAGCCACCACGCCCAGCTCGGACCATGAATTCTAAATCATTATAACTAGGCTCACACACATCTTTATTAATCAAAATAGGAACCATTACAATCAACACATTTTTGCCAATGAGAAATAAGTTTGTTGATTCCTGTAGTATAAAAATATGTGCTTCAGGATTCAACAAACTCTGCTTTATGACCCATTTTGAACTCAAATAAGAAATAAGAAAGTCGCTCTAATGTGCTTTTTGTCTAATATCATTTCCAGAGTCTAAAATAAACATAAAATAAACATCAAGTAATAAGTCATTAGCAGAAAAACATAAAGCAAGAAATGCCCATTACAAGGATGTATAACAGGCCAGGTATGGTGGCTCACAACTGTAATCCCAGCACTTTGGGAGGTCAAGGTGGGCAGATCACTTGAGGCCAGGAGTTTGAGACAAGCCTGGCCAGCATGGTGAAACGCTGTCCCTACTAAAAATACAAAAATTAGCCAGGCATGGTGGTGCACACCTATAATCCCAGCTACTCAGGAGGCTGAGGCAGGAGAATCGCCTGAACCTGGGAGGCGGAGGTTGCAGTGAGCCTAGATCGTGCCACTGCTCTCCAGCCTGGGTGACAGAGTGAGACTCTGTCTCAAAAAAAAAAAAAAAAGATGTGTAACATAACCACATTTATTTAAGAATGTATTCCAATATCAAATGGCAAATTCCAACAATGCAAAAATCGCAATTACTTTTGCACTCACCTAATAAAAGCTTCACCTGCTGGAAACAGTGGCTCACACCTGTAATCCCAGCAATTTTGGAGGCAGAGGCAGAAGGATTGCTTTAGCCCAGGAGTGCGAGACTAGCCTGGGCAATGTAGCAAGACCCCGTCTCTCTAAACAATTTAATTAAAAGTAAAATAGGCTGGGCACAGTGGCTCACGCCTGTAATCCCAGCACTTTGGGAGGCCGAGGCGGGCGGATCACGAGGTCAGGAGATCAAGACCATCCTGGCTAACATGGTGAAACTCTGTCTCTACTAAAAATACAAAAAATTAGCCAGGCGTGGTGGCAGGTGCCTGTAGTCCCAGCTACATGGGAGGCTGAGGCAGGAGAATGGTGTGAACCTGGAAGGCAGAGCTTGCAGGGAGCCGAGATTGCGCCACTGCACTCCAGCCTGGGCGACAGAGTGAGACTCCATCTCAAAAAAAGAAAAAAAAGTAAAATAAAAGGCTTCATTTATTAGCAAGGATGTGGAGCTACTGGGATTCTCACATCCAAGTAGTATGTGTGTAAAATAGAACAACCACTTTGAAAAACTATTTTTCAGTACCTACCTGTGTTTAAAGTGTGAGGAAAGCCAGAAGCAGTGGCTCACTCCTGTAATCCCCGCACTTTGGGAGGCCAAGGTAGAAGGAACACTTGAGCCCAGGACTTTGAAACCAACCTGGGCAACATGGTGAGACCTTATCTCTACAAAAAACTAAAAATATTAGTGGGGCATGATGGTGCATGCCTGTGGTCTCACCTACTAGAGAGGCTGAGGTGGGAGGATTGCTTGAGCCCAGGTATTTGAGGTTGCAGTGAGCTATGATCGCTCCATTGCACTCCAGCCTGGGCAACAGAGTAAGACACTGTCTCTATTTTTTTTTAAGTGAAGAAGATGTGAATGAAGATGTGGCAGTGCCCCTGAAGGGCTTACAATGTCAAATAGGGATAACATTTTCTGAACTTTCTCCTACAGCCAATGGGGATACATGGACTGATATAGAGAAGGGGCGAGGCATGGTCAAAGCCAGGTGATATGAGGCTCTCCCTGTGGCCATGCAGGAGACAGGCCCGAGGGAGTGAGATTGGAGGCAGGGAGACCAGGGAGGTGGATGGTGAGAGGGCCTCTCATGCTGCCTGGTTTCCAGAGTCAAGGGCAATTTAGGATTAAAAGGCTGGAGGCAGAAGGAGGAACTGAGAAACCAGAGTGTGAGTGTTATGGTCTACGAGGAGTTAAAGTCCCTTCTAAGTGAGGGTAGTGGTTTCCTCTGGAGGTTGGGGGTTCCCGATCATAAAGGAGCACATAAGGAGATTCTAGGGAATGCAAATACTTTCTCTTGGTGTGCCTTTGATTTTATGGAGGTTCACAATACATCATTTGTCCAAAATGTACCACTATGTTTTATGCACTTTTGGCATATAAGGTATATTTTATTTATTTATTTGTTTTTGTTGTTTTTATTTTTTGAGACAGAGTCTCGCTCTGTCGCCCAGGCTGGAGTGCAGTGGCACAATCTTGGCTCACTGCAAGCTCCGCCTCCTGGGTTTACGCCATTCTCCTGCCTCAGCCTCCCGAGTAGCTGGGACTATAGGCGCCCACCACCATGCCCGGCTAATTTTTTTTTTGTATTTTTAGTAGAGACGGGGTTTCACCGTGTTAGCCAGGGTGTTCTCGATCTCCTGACCTCATGATCTACCTGCCTCGGCCTCCCAAAGTGCTAGGATTACAGGCTTGAGCCACCGCGCCAGACCTATTTTTTTTTTAATGTCAAAAGCAAAGACATGGCTAGAGCTCAGGTCTTTGGACATCCATATTAGAGCTTTTTAATCTTTGGTGATAGGGATTCAGAATACTGGTTATCTCTGGTGTATCAGTTGGGAGGGTTACAAGAGAGCCTCTTGTGGTGATGGAGATAGCTTGATAGAGATGGTGGTCACACATGTCTGTATACAGGTTTAACTGAATTAATCCATACACTTAAGATCTGCGGACTTGCAATGTGTAAGTCTGTCTTAGGTCAGTCCTGGTGGCTCACGCCTGTAATCCCAGCACTTTGGGAGGTCGAGGTAGGAAAATTGCTTGAAGCCAGGAGTTCAGGACCAGCCTGGCCAACATAGAGAGACCCTGTCTTTACTAAAAATTTTAAAAGTAACTAGGTGCAGTGGTGTGCGCCTGTAGTCCCAGCTACCTGGAAGGCTGATGCAGGAGGATCTCTTGGGGGCAGGAGGTCGAGGCTGCAGTGAGCTATGATTGGGCCGCTGCACTCAGCCTGGGTGACAGAGTGAGACCCTGCCTCTAAAAAGAAAAAGAAAACAATTTTAAATGCCACATATGATTAAATGGTATTACCTCTAGGTTTTACACTGAAATAACATAGGAAGTGAGGAAGTAAATGGAAGCACAGATGAAATGCAATTGACCACGAATTGGTATTTGTTAAATAGATACATGGAGATTTATTATACTCTTCTGTTCACTTCTATATGTTTGAAGTTCTCGATAATAAATATATATGTACACATATATGAATATGTATGTATATATGAAAAGGTAGATAATAGATAGAACTAATACCTATTTAACTCACAGTGACCCATACACCCACTTGGGAACCCAGACATCTCTCTTCTTCTGGTAATGCAGATAATGATTATTTAATGTCTGGATTTTACATACAACCTTGCCCCTTCCCAAGATTCCCCCACCCTCCCAAGCTTAAGCGGAAGTGGAAGTCCAGGTCAGCACCAAGGACAGATCCACAGTATTGGGTCTCAGAACCACAGACAGCAACTCAACTAACGGAGGACAAAAGACAGGGAAATGAAGAAATGCCATCTTGAACAGTGTGGAACAGGACAAGAGGCTAGAGTCAAAAAACGCCTATCAGTATCATTGAACAAGAGCATTCCTTCAACAAATATTCATTGAGCATCTGCTATGTGCCAGGCACTGTTCTGAACACAGGATGGCCAGGTTCCTGTCCTTAAACAATGAGACAGATAAAATGAGATCATTTTATATAGTCATAAGTTCTATGATAAAATATAAAGCAGTGAAATAAGATGTAGGATGATTGAGGGAGATGGAAGAGACCGTTTTTGAAGAGGTGGTTAAGGCAGAGATTATATTTGAGCAGAGTGGCTGGATACTGTGGCTCATGCCTGTAATCTCAGTACTTCAGGAGGCTGAGGAAGGAGGATTATTTCAGTCCAGGAGTTCAAGACCAGCCTGGGAAACATAGGAAGACTCCTTTTCTAGCAATTTTTTTTTAATTTGCTAGGCATGGTGGCTTGTACCTGTAGTCCCAGCTACTTAGGAGGCTGATGCAGGATAATCACTTGAGCCTGGGAGGTTGAGGCTGCAGTGAGCTATGATTGTGCCACTCTACTCCAGCCTGGGTGACAGAGCAAGACCTTGTCTCAAAAAAATTTAATAAAATAGGAAACAAAAATTATATATAAATATATATGAATATATAAATAATATAAATTTATATAAATTTATAAATATAAATAACATAAACATAAATATAAATATAAATATAATGATATATATTTATAATATAAATATATATTTTATAATGTAAATAATATGAATATAATTATATGTTTATAATAATAGAAATATAAATAAGTATTTATAATAATAGAAATATAAAGAAATATTTATAATATTATAAATATAAATATTTATAATATTATAAATATAAATATTTATAATATTATAAATATAAATATTTATAATATTATAAATATAAATATTTATAATAATATAAATATAAACAAATGTTTATGATAATATAAATTTATATATATTATATAAATTATAATTATTTATTAGATATTATATATAAATTATATATAATATATAAATATAATATATAATATATTTATATATTATATGATTATATATTTATATATTATTGATATATGTATTATTTTTATTATATGTTATATGATATTATATATTGTATACTATTATAATATATATAATAATTCATATATATATTTGAGCAGAGAACTGAATGAAGTGAGGGAATGCCCCATGAAGAGAGTGGAGGTGCAAGCATTCAGGAAGAGGGAACAGAAAATGCTAAGACCCAGAGGCAGAAAAAAGCTTGGTATGTTTGAGAATCAGCAACAAGGCCAATGTGATAAAGCAAAGTAAATGCAAAGGAAAGTGATGGGAGGAGTTTCGCCAAGATAGGAATAGACACACAGAAAGAAAGCAATAGAGAAAGACAGACAAGAAAATTGAGACCCAAGCTGAGACTGACCAAGAAAGGCTCATAGGCAAAAAAATTAGGAGCAAAATGATGCTAGCTGCAGTGTATGGAGTGCAATTTGCATTATACATTTTATTATTTTATTATCTATTCACATATACATACATATGCATATACTTTTTTTTTTTTAGTTGAAGTCTCACTCTGTCACCCAGGCTGGAGTGCAATGGCACGATCTTGGCTCATTGCAACTTCTGCCTCCCAGGTTCAAGTGATTCTCATGCCTCAGCCTCCTGAGTAGCTGGGATTACAGGTGCCCACCACCACGCCTGGCTAATTTTTTTTGTATTTTTAGTAGAGATGAGGTTTCGCCATGCTGGCCAGGCTGGACTTGAACTCCTGGCCTTAAGTGATCTGCCTGCCTCAGCCTCCCAAAGTGCTGGAATTACAGGCGTGAGCCACCATGCCTGGCCCATATATATATATTTTTTATTATGGAAAACTTCAAACATGCAGATATGAACATAAGGGTATAATAATCTACTTTTTATTGTGTAACAACCCGCTCCAAAAGTTAGTGTCTTAAAATAAACAATCTCATGATTGAGGCTTGACTGGGCATTTCTGCTGGTCTCTCCTGAAGTCATTCACATGGTTGCATTCTGTTAGGACAGGACTGGGGCTTTAGCCAAGATAGCTTCATTCTCCCTGCATGGCCTCTCCATGTGACTAGCTTGGGCTTCCTTACAGCATGGTGGTCTTCTAGTTCTAAGGGTACAAAAGCAGAAGCTTCTAGTTTCCTTAACATCTGGACCTGGAACTGGTTCAGTGTCATATTTGCCACATTCTATTAGTCAAAGCAAGTCATGAGCCAGATAGACTGAAGGAGAAGGAACATACTGTTCCTTTTCGTGGGAGAAGCCACCTGCCAGTGCAGGGAAGGGAGGAGTCACTGGCAGGCAACTTGGGAGACAATGTATCACAAGACTTTAACATAGACCAGGCCTGCTGTTAGGGCTCCAGACATTCTCTCTCACCTAAGCCTCAAGCAGCCCTGTCACATAGGAAACATAATCCCTCTTTTACAAGTTTCACAGAGCACACAACTATGGATGGCAACTAGGTTTGAACTCAGGTTTGTCTCTAAACCAGGCTGTACGTATAACATATTCCATACAAAAATAAAGTTAGGCCGGGGGTGGTGTCTCATCCCTCTAATCTCAGCCCTTTGGGAGGCTGAGGCAGGTGGATCATCTGAGGTCAGAAGTTCAAGATCAGCCTGGCTAGCATGGTGAAACCCCGTCTCTACTAAAAATACCAAAATTAGCCTGGTGTGGTGGTGCATGCCTGTAGTACCAGCTACTTGGGAGTCTGAGGCAGGAGAATCGCTTGCATCCAGGAGGTGGAGGTTGCAGTGAGCCAAGATCGTGCCACTGCACTCCAGCCTGGGTGACAGAGCGAGACTCTGTCTTGAATGAATGAATGAATGAATGAATAAAGTCAGTGGTCACATCGAGGCTTAAACCGAGGTCTCTAGACTTCCATATTGTGAGATATAGATATCTGTATATCATATACATCTGTATACACTATACATCTGTATACTATGCCATATACTATACTACATATCTGCATATACTATATATAGAGTGTGGGTGTATGTCTCTGTGTAATAACATAATATACATACATTTTTAACTGGCGGGGAACACAGAGATACAAAGAAGAAAATAAAAGCAGAAATGAAGAAAAAAGGAGAAAGGAGAAAAGCATGCACTTGGAGACTAAGACCAGGAGATAGAAACAGAGAAGCAAGACAAGGCGCAGTGGCTCACACTTGTAATTCCAGCACCTTAGGAGGACGAGGCAGGAGGATGGCTTGAGACCAGGAGTTCGCGACCAGCCTGGCAACATAGTGGGAACTGATTTTATGACCAAAAAAATGTTTTTTAATTAAAAAGAGAGAGAGAGAAGAAAGAAAGAAAGAAAAGAAAAAAGAAAGAGAGAGAGAAAGAAGAAAGAAAGAAAAAGAGAAAGAAAGAAAAAACAAGGACAATGATATACAGAGAGAAAAATGAAGACTGAGAGCAAAGAAGAGACTGAGATTGATGGAATCACGAGGTCTCCCTCCTTTAGCCTGGAAACTCCACAAGAGCAAGAATTTTGTCCATTTTTGTTCATTACATATCGCCAACTCCTTGAGCAGTGCCTGGCACTCAGTAGGTGTTTTGCTCTATGTTGGCAAGAAACCAGGCTGGACAGGGAGAGTGTCTGCAGTTGCCTAAGTGAACACTAGGTGACAGTATTTATAAGCCCTGGAGCTTCCAGGCTCCAAGGTCCCAGAGATGGCGGTGGAGGATTTGCCGCCACTGACCTCTGACTTTCAGGATCTCTTCCTCGGGGCTCAGCCCTGCCTTTCCCTGCACAAGCCTTGGGCGATGAATGACCTTTCCGCCTGAGACACCCTCTTCACTCTCCTTCACCAGCCTGCCCAGTTAAACAACTCTTTGTCCCTGGCCCCTTCCTGCTGGGCCCCGAGGCACCTGGGTTCTTTCCAGGCCCGGAGATGGGGCTGCGACAGAGGTGGTGCAGCTGGGACAAGGCCAAGGAAAAATCCTGGAGACTCTGGAATCAGTTCTTCCAGTGTATGAGACCCAGCCCCTCCTCCCTCAGACCCAGGGGTCCAGACCCCAGCACCTCCTCCCTCAGACCAGCAGTCCAGGCCCCAGCCCTCCTCCCTCAGACTCAGGAGTCCAGACCCCAGATCCTCCTCCTTCAGACCCAGGAGTCCAGGCCTCAGCCCCTCCTCCCTCAGACCTAGGAGTCCAGATCCAGCCCCTCCTCTCTCAGACCAGCAGTCTAGACCCCAGCCCCCCTCCTCCCTCAGAACCAGGAGTCCAGACCCCCTGCCCCTCCTCTCTCAGACCAGCAGTCCAGACCCCATCCCCTCCTTCCTCAGACCCAGGAGTCCAGACCCCAGCCCCTCCTCCCTCAGACCCCCTCCTCCCTCAGAACCAGGAGTCCAGACCCCCAGCTTCTTCCTCCTGGACCCTTCCTCTTAGGCATTTTGAGGTCCTCTACTATTCCCTCTCCCTCTCTTTTACACAAACCCCTCTCTCCCTCCACTCCCCATTCTAGGATTGAGACCAAGGGTGAGTCACAAGAAGCCCTGAGGCCCTGAGTCACCTCGCCCTCCCCCCTTGGCCCCTCCCTGGGCTGGAGGCAGCTGGCTGAGGAGTGAAGCAGTTTCCTAGGACTGACCCCTGCATCCCAGGACTGCAGTTTGAAGGCAGGTGCCCTTCCCACTGTAACCCCATCACTGCCACCCAGGCATGTCCATGCCCATCCTTTGCTGTTTTTCTCTTTCAGTCATGGCCTATTTGGAGACAAAATTTCTCTGTGCTCTAACTTCCGTGTCTTGATTGTGTTTTCCGGTTTCTCTGCACCTGTGGGTCTCTTTGATTTTTTTTAATACATGCCCCCACCATCCCTGGCTGAATGCCTCGAGGTCTCTCTGATTATCTCTCTCTCCCTCTGTGTCAGTCTCTGTCTCCGTTTTTCACAAGTGCCTGAACTGGGGCACAGATGCCATGGCATGGCCGCAGCTGGAGCGCTATTTAGTGGCTTCTGACCCTTGGGTGGCCACAGTCTCTGGATCACTGGCCCTCAACCCCTGAGTGGGACTGGGGTAGAACCGGAAGGAACCAGGCTGTCCGTAGATGTGCCAGTGAACAGCAGAGAGAAACTGAGGCAGAGACAAGCATAGAGAGGCCCGGAGAGAGAGAGAGAGACCCAAGAGGAGACCAGGAGGCAGGGAGAGAGTGAAACAGAGACGGAGAGAAACACCGATTCAGCAAGAGACAGACAAAAACAGAGGGCCCTAGAGACGGAGAGATGGAGACAGAGTGAGACACGATGACAGAGACACAGGCAATGATGAACACAGAGAGAGACATGACAGAGAGACAGTGACGGGGAAAGAAGGAAACAGAGGAGCAGAGAGGGACACGAAGATGGAGAAAGGGACAGAGCGATGAGAGAGACACAGAGAGGCTAAGAGAGGCAGAGACAGAGAGACAGAGTGAAGAGAGACAGAGAGAGACAAAGGTACCAGGAGAGAAGAACAGAGACAGAGATAAAGACAAACCTGGCCAGGCACGGTGGCTTACGCCTGTAATCCCAGAACTTTGGGAGGCCGAGGCGGGTGGATCACCTGAGGTCAGAAGTTCACGACCAGCCTGGCCAACATGGTGAAACCTCGTCTCTACTAAAAATACGAAAATTAGCTGGGTGTGGTGGTGCACACCTGTAATATCAGCTACTCGGGAGGTTGAGGTAGGAGAATTGCTTGAACCTGGGAGGTGGAGGTTGCAGTGAGCCGAGATCGTGCCACTGCACTCCAGCCATGGGAGACAGAGCAAGACTCTATCTCAAAAAAAAAAAAAAAAAAAAAAAAGACAAACGCGGAGGTTTCCAGATCAGGAGAGACTGAGACAGGAAGCAAGTCCCAAAGAACCAGAGAAAGAGCCGGAGAGGGAGGAGAGAGACGCAGCGAGCCGGGCGGCCAGTGGGCAGGGGTGCCCAGGCTGCAGGCTCAGGAGTGCCCGGCGGCTGCACTTTCCCCAAGTGGACGCATGTGTGGTGTCTGGGCGCGCCCGGGTGTGTCTCCAGCCCTCTCCCGCCAAGTCTCGCCGAGTGGGTAATTGTGTGTGCCGAGGGGCGGAGCCCCCGCAAGGGTTGTGTTTTTGCCACTGGGCGTGTCCATGTGTATGGTTTGGTGTCTCTGGGTGTGTTTGTGTGGGCTGCCTTGGTGTGCAGTCAGACATGTCTGTGCGTGTCTCGCTTCCCTGGGGCTGGTGGGTCCAGGGTCCCACACGACCTAGGACACAAGGAGGGGGAGGGTTGTGTCCGCAGGTTCCTTGCAGAGGGGTGTGCATGAGGCCAAGGGCAGTGTCACCAGTTCAGTGCATGATGCTGGGAGGTGATGTGCGTCACCAGGTCAGTGCATGCCTGTGTGTCTCCACAGGAGGGTTTGATCTGTGTCGGAGCGTATGGTGTACAGATCCATGAGTGGCTCGTGCTGCGACACATGGAGATGTCCTATGTTGTGTGTTGCTCTGAGAGTCACCGTGCACATTCCACACTGGCATTTGCTGTATCTCACGTCAGGGTCCATGTCCCTGTTGGGGGCCTCTTCCTTCTCAGCCCCCAGCACCCACCCTGAGTGCCAACCACCCCAAGTGTCTTGTGTTTGTGTAGCTGTGTGTTATGTTGTGTCAGAGGATACACCCCCCTCCCCCGATGCTGGTGTTGTGTGGGTGGCGGTAGACCTCAGTGTCAGTAGTATCAGTGAGTGGTGACATCTGGTGTTTTATGGGACATGTGGTCGTTTGTGGAAGGTTGGGTGTGTTGGAAAACATTGTGTTTATGTGTTTTGCGTTACTGTGTGCTGGTGTATTACTCCGCGTATGTTGTTGTGTGGCCACGCATGTTGGAATATAACGTGTTGGGTTGTGTGGAGGTATTGTATGTCATGTTTGGGTGTGGCTCATGGCTCAGAGGTGATGGTGTATGTTGCGTTTGTTTTTTTGTTTTTGCTTGTTTTAGAGATAGGATCTTGCTATGTTGCCCAGGCTGGTCTCAAACCCCTGGGCTCCAGCAATCCTCCCACCTCAACCTCCCAAACTGCTGGGATTACAGGCATGAGCCACTGCACCCAGCCGTATGTTGCATTTGGGCACTGGGGTCTATGAAGGTCCAACCCCATCCCCTTCCCCCAGGGCATCATCCTGGATGTTGTCCTGTGTGGCCAGAATATACCAGAATCATCTTGCTTCAGGCATGTGCTTCTTGGGTTTCTCCGTGTGTCGCTGTACCTTGTAGGTCTCTGCATGCATCCACTCAGCTTGTCCTCTGACCATACATTTGAATCGCACCACACATCAGAGCATGCTGAATCAGTGCGTGTTTTGAATCATCACTGCGAGCACTTGTGTTCGAGTCAACAGGCGCCACAATGTATGTGCAATTCTCTAGCTCTGGGTGATTGGGGGCTACTATAGGTATGTCCCTAAATGTTGTGTGTCTACACGTATTGGGTTTCGTTCCAAGGGTGTGTAGTGTTTAGGAAACTGGGACTGCACAGTGTTTGTGTCGGTGTGTGGTGTGTGGCATCAGGGCGTCACTACTTTAATATATATTGTGTGTTTGTGTAACACCTGGTGTATGTTGTGTTTGTGTGGCCACAGTTGTGCATCGTCCTATTTGTGGTGTTTGGGTGTGGCTCTTTGTGTCAGAGAAAGTTGTGACAACTTTGAGTGTAATATTTGTGCCTGTGTGTGGACGGTGTTTGGGTGGCTGTGTGTGCCACGGGATACTGCCTGCTTGCTAAGTGCTGGTGTGTGTCACACCATGTGTGTGGTGTCTGGGTGTGGCTGTGGGTTTCAGAGCTTGCTGGGAGTTGTGAGTCACTCTGTGTAGGTTGTGTTGTGTGCCCTGGTGTGTTAGTCTCCGTCTTGGGCTGTGGAGTGTCCTTCGGTGTCTGGGTGTGGTGAGTAGAGGTGTGTGTCACAAAGTACAGACCATTGTGTGTGACAAAGCCCATCGTGTGTCTGTGTGTGTCTTTATCCACGTGGATGGACGTCTCTTTCTTGCTCTGCCCCAAGACACACCCTAGCCCCTCCTTATTCTCAAAAGGGGGAGCTGGGGAGCCTCCCCCTACCCTGGGGCCTCCCCTGCCCCTCCCCGCCCTGCCTGGCCGTCACCACTCCCCAGAGGGCACAGGGCTCTGCTGTGCCTCAGAGCAAAAGTCCCAGAGCCAGCAGAGCAGGCTGACGACCTGCAAGCCACAGTGGCTGCCCTGTGCGTGCTGCGAGGTGGGGGACCCTGGGCAGGAAGCTGGCTGAGCCCCAAGACCCCGGGGGCCATGGGCGGGGATCTGGTGCTTGGCCTGGGGGCCTTGAGACGCCGAAAGCGCTTGCTGGAGCAGGAGAAGTCTCTGGCCGGCTGGGCACTGGTGCTGGCAGGAACTGGCATTGGACTCATGGTGCTGCATGCAGAGATGCTGTGGTTCGGGGGGTGCTCGGTGAGTGGGGCATGGTGGCTGGGAGCTGGGACTCCTAGGTCTGAGGGAGGAGGGGCTGGGGGTCAGGACTCTTGGGTCTGAGGGAGGGGGGGCTGGGGGTCAGGACTCCTGGGTCTGAGGGAGGAGGGGCTGAGGGTCAGGACTCCTGGGTCTGAGGGAGGAGGGACTGGGGACTTGGACTCCTGGGTCTGAGGGAGGAGGGACTGAGGGCCTGGACTCCTGGGTCTGAGGGAGGAGGGGCTGGGGGTCAGGACTCCTGGGTCTGAGGGAGGAGGGGCTGGGGTCTGGACTCCTGGGTCTGAGGGAGGAGGGGCTGGGGGTCAGGACTCCTGGATCTGAGGGAGGAGAGGTTGGGGGCCTAGACTCTTGGGTCTGAGGGAGGAGGGGCTTTGGCTGGGACTCCTGGGTGCTCCCAGGAGACAGTTGCTGGGGTCCTTCTCTGCAAAAGGAAGGGAATATTTGTTTCAGTGTTTCAGTCTTTGAAGATGTTGCCATTAGACGGCCAGAGGTCCAGGACCCCTGGAGGCCAGAGGGTGGCTGATCAGACACTCAAGCCCCCCAAGAGCCAATAAGGGGAGAGGTAGCCCCAGGTTTGGTGAAGGGAGAGTGGAGGAAAGACAAAGTTCTTCCAGTAGGCGGCAGCTCTTTGGTCCTTGTCTAACCTCTAATGTTTACCCAGTGCCTTAGATGCAAAGGACAGAAAAAACTGCCTTGGGGGTGGGGATGGGAAATGGGAAACAAACCTCTCCCCCGACCTGCCTCCCCCCACCAACCCCAACCCAGTCTCCACTGTTAACAAGCTCAATTTCTCCCCAAATCTGCATGCTGATTAGTCAGGGAAATAGTGGAGAGGTAGGCTTACAGTGGCCTGGACTCCTAGGTACCAGGAGAGGAGGGGGCTGGGTCCTGGATTCCTGAGTCTTAAGGAGAAGGGGGTTTTGATTGCTTTTGGGGAAGAGGGGCTGACTCCGAAGATGAGTGGTGAGTAGGGAAGAAAGGGGAAAGTGGGGTCAGGGCAGGTCTCAGCAGGCTCCCGTCACATTCCAGCCCTGGTCAGGCCAGTGATGGGGCAGATCAAGGACAAGGGTTGGAATAAGTGGCTTGAGGGGAGAACAGACTTGCTCAACAGGAAAGGAGGGGCTGGAGACCTCTCTGGCAGAAGGGTTGTGGAACTGGGCTGGTAGGGCCAGATGCGGACACTGATATGAAGATTGGGTAGATTCCTGAGGGTCTGATGTTCCGACTTGGATCTGGAGGGGGTGGTGGGCAGCTCTGAAGTGACCAGGAGCCACATGGAGGGTCAGGCATGCAGCTTCCTCTGGCAGGCGGCGGGCACTGAGGGGGTGGGGCCGCCGAAGTCCATGCCAACAGGAAGCATGGCCGGGGCCTGCCCGCCGCTCCCACGCCGAAGCACCGCACCCAGAAGCCGAGGTGGGAACACAGTGACCCTGGCAGATGGGAAGAGACGGGGTCCATCCTACCCCACTTCACCCCTCTGCTTTCTCACCCCTCATTTCTTCCTTCCCTCCACCATGGCCAGGCCACTGCCTCTATCAGTGGGACCTTGGGGAAGCTGTTACAACCCTCTGAACCTCAGTTTCCCCATCTGTAAATTGGGGTGAGGGTTAAAATACATGACCCTAAGGGTCACCCTCCACCCTTTTTATTTTATGTAGAGATGGGACCTTGCTTTGTTGCCTAGGCTGGTCTTGAACTCCTGGACTCAGGCAATCCTCCTGCCTCAAAGTGCTGGGATTACAGGCCTGAGCCACAGCTCCTCAGTCCCCTTTTGAGGACTCTCTTAATAACATCCACCGCCCCTCACCACCTCCATCTCAATCTAATGAGCTCATTTCTGCAAAGGACCCAGACACCTGCTCCCCAGGGGGAGGGGCTGGCAGAGAGGCAGGTGCAAAACCCTAGGGAGTCCAAGGGAACTGGATAGAGATATCCAAAAGCACCAGGTGGGGTGGAGGAGGAGGGATGGGGAGAGGTACAGAGAGAGACAGAGACACAGAGATACATGGAGAGAAAAAGAGAGATGGAGACAAAAATGCAGAAAGATAGAGAAGTACAGCTAAAGAGAAAGACAAATAGGGCTATCAAGCTACTGAGAAATCCACCAGTGAGAGATACACACACAGCGTTAGAAAAGACAATAGAGGGCCGGGCGCGGTGGCTCACGCCTGTAATCCCAGCACTTTGGGAGGCCGAGGTGGGCGGATCACAAGGTCAGGACATCGAGACCATCCTGGCTAACACAGTGAAACCCCATCTCTACTAAAAACACAAAAAATTAGCCAGGCATGGCGGCGTGTGCCTGTAGTCCCAGCTACTCAGGAGGCTGAGGCAGGAGAATGGTGTGAACCCAGGAGGCGGAGCTTGCAATGAGCCAAGATCGTGCCACTGCACTCCAGCCTGGGTGACAGAGCAAGACTCCGTCTCAAAAAAAAAAAGAGACAATAGAAACAAAGACCCTCAAAACACATAGAAAGACAGCAACAACCATCCCTAGAGACAGGGAAATTCAGAGAACAGAGTACAGGCCCAAGTGCAGACAGGTCCGGGATTTGGGGGAAGAGGAAATGGAAAAGTAGAGAGGACCACCAGAGAAGCAAATTGCAGTGTGAGGAGGGAGCTTGTTGTCTAGTGGTGTGGGCAGTTAAGACAGACTGAAGAAAGAGGCAGGGAACCAGGGAGCCATAGAAGGTGGGGGAGGGCTGGTGACAACAGCACTATTGTTCTGATAGGGGGTTGGGGAGCAGGCCCCTGGGGCAGGAAACTGGCCCTCTTCCCCTGCTCAGAGGCGGGATGCTGGCCCAGCCAGGGGAGCTGGCAGCCCTCTTAGGAGAAACAGGTGCAATGCTTTGTAAGGACGCCCAGGTGGTCCCCTCCCCCTGCAAATACCCGCCAGGCAGGGACCAACCCCTCTTAGGAAATCCAACAGTCCCAGTCCCCTCTAAATCCCTCTCTCCAGAATTCTAGATTCCTCCAAGGTTGTGCCACACAAAGAGAGGAAAAAAAAAAAAAGGAACAATTTCTCCGTGGTTTCTGGAGGCCCTGTGCTTCCGGCCAGATCTGCCCTGGGCTTAGAGCCAGAAGAGAGGGGTGGCAGTGGGGAGCTGCAGGGGGGCAGAACCGAGGGGGCTGTCTCAGAGCTGAGGCTGGGTCTCAGGGACTCAGCCCTCCGGATGAGAGCAGAGAAGGGTGTGACTCAGTCTTTGAGGATTGAATGGTAGTTTCTACATTCTTCCAGATCTGGGGTTGGGGTTGATTGAAGTTGGTTTCTAGGACAACACCAGGTGGGTAGGAAGGGAAGGGGAGGGGGCACTCTCTAGAGGCTAGATGTCTTTTTCTAGACACCACACACACACACCCACACACACACACACACACACACACACCTGAAGAACTATTTTTGATGTGAAATGGGACAGGAATAAGAAGGAATGTGAGTTTCAAGGTCCCCCTTCATGGGTATGGGTCTTGGGAGAAGAGCTGAGGAAGAGGGTAGACACCAGCATCTGGACAGGGTTGTCCTGTTGGGGAGAAAGAGAGCATTCCTGGGGACCAGATGATGGTGTTTTTTTGTTTGTTTGTTTGCTTGCTTGCTTGTTTCGAGACGGAGACTCGCTCTGTTGCCCAGGCTGGAGTGCAGTGGCGCGATCTCTCAGCTCACTGCAACTTCCACCTCCTGGGTTCAAGATTCTGGTTCCTCAGCCTCCCAAGTAGCTGGGATTACACACCCAGCTAATTTTTTGTTTTTTTAGTAGAGACTGGGTTTCACCATGTTGGCCAGGGGGTCTCAAACTCCCGACCTTCGGTGATCCACCTGCCTCAGCCTCCCAGAGTGTTGGGATTACAGGTGTGAGCCACCGCACTGGGCCCAGATGATGGTTTTGAGACTTCTCCAGAACCGACACATCAAGAGGGACTGATTTGCAGGGGAAGGAGGCTAGGAAAATTGGGAATCAAAAAAAAAAAATGGTGGTTTTGAAGGAAAGGTGGAGGGCCAGGCGGAGGGAGACCTGGGATCTCACACCGCTTTTTCCGTCCCCCCTGACAGTGGGCGCTCTACCTGTTCCTGGTTAAATGCACGATCAGCATTTCCACCTTCTTACTCCTCTGCCTCATCGTGGCCTTTCATGCCAAAGAGGTCCAGGTAGGGCAGGCCCCGCCCCTAAGCCTTGCTCCCTCCAACCCCCTCAGCGCCCTGTCAGCTCACACTTTCCACCCTCCTCCTCCTCCTGATCTGAGTAATGAAGTTCTTCTGCCCTAGGTGCTGCGTCCACACCCTCACCTACCCAGATGGGATGAACCATGAGCAGACAGGCAGAGCCTCCCCCACCAGCTCCGCCTTCCCCTGTAGTCCCCAGCCCCCCCTTGCACACTCACGGATGCTGAGAGTGCCCTTGCAGCCCTGCTTCCGCCCCCAGGCCTCTGTCCACTCTGCTCCCAGGCACTCAGCTTCCCAGATCTCTGTGCTCCGACATGGCATCCCCAATCCAGTCCTCAAGCAACCTAAGGTCCTAGGGCTGCCCACTCCTTTTTTTTTTTTTTTTTTTTTTTTTTTTTGAGACAAGGTCTTGCTCTGTTGCCCAGGCTAGAGTGGAGTGGCACGATCTCTGCTCACTGCAACCTCCACCTCCTGGGTTCAAACAATTCTCATGCCTCAGCCTCCCAAGTAGCTGTGACTACAGGCAGATGCCACCACGCCCAGCTAATTTTTTTGTATTTTAGTAGAAACGGGGTTTCACTATGTTGTCCAGGCTGGTCTCCAACTACTGAGCTCAAGCAGTCTGCCCACCTTGTCCTCCCAAAGTGCTAGGATTACGGGCTTGAGCCACTGCACCTGGTCCGGTCCCAGGGGTGCCCACTCCTAATCACCCTATCTCTGTGCCAATAACCTCCCTCTTGCCCCAGACCCAGGAGCTCTCCCCATCCATACCCCACCTTGGGTCTCACCCAGACACATCCCATCCCCTATTGTCCCATTGCCCCAGATCCTGTTGCTCCATTCCCTTTCCCCTCTTCCCCCTCTCCTATCATAACTTTGCATGTAAAATGGGGATTATTGGCCATGTGTGGCAATTCTATGAGCAGTGCCTGGCACATAAGAGGTGCTCAGTAAACAGTGCACATTATCATCTTATCATAGAGTAGCTAAGTAGCCTGTAGCCCAGTGCGCCATTGCCCATGGAAGGGACCTGGGCCTCAGCTTCCACATCTATAAAATGGGGGCAATAATAATATCAATCTCACTGGGTTGTGGGCATTTACTAAGTCACAATATGTAAACGGGATAGAGCAGTACCTGGCGTATCCACGGTGCCCAGTACATGCTGATTTTGTTATTGTTATTGTTTTGTTTATTTTGAGATGGAGTCTCGCTCTGTCACCCAGGCTAGAGTGCAGTGGCATGACCTCAGCTCACTGCAACCTCTGCCTCCTGGGTTCAAGTGATTCTCCTACCTCAGACTCCCCAGAAGCTGGGACTATAGGTGTGCGCCACCATGCCCGGCTTATTTTTGTATTTTTCAGTAGAGATGGAGTTTCACCATGTTGGCCAGGCTTGTCTCAAACTCTTGACCTCAAGTGATCCACCCACCGCAGCCTCCCAAAGTGCTGGGATTACAGGCGTAAGCCATCGCGCCCGGCCCATGGCTTTGTTATTGCTGATATTATTATTACAGTTATTACGCGTGTCAACCGAAAGGGGAGTAGGAGCGAGCTCCAGGCATGTGGAATGCAAGCTCTAGGGAGGCAGGGGGGTCTGTTGGGTTCACTGTGTATCCTTAGCACATAGAACAATGTCAGGCACACAGTCGGCGCTCAGTCAGTGTTCAAAGGCTGGAAGTGGGCTGAAACTAGTGGGGTGGGTGGTGGGGAAGGAGGAAAAAGTGGAAAGATGTCTTCCTCAAGTCCTGTCCCGCTCCCTCCCTATCCCTCTCCCGCCCTGCACTCCCTCCCTCCTGGCCAGGCGGCACACCCCACTTATCTCAGGGCGCAGGCAGGCGCGGGCCGCCGCCTGACCTGCGCCTGACCTGCTCCTGACCCCTCCCTTCTTGGCCCCCTACCGGCAGCTGTTCATGACCGACAACGGGCTGCGGGACTGGCGCGTGGCGCTGACCGGGCGGCAGGCGGCGCAGATCGTGCTGGAGCTGGTGGTGTGTGGGCTGCACCCGGCGCCCGTGCGGGGCCCGCCGTGCGTGCAGGATTTAGGGGCGCCGCTGACCTCCCCGCAGCCCTGGCCGGGATTCCTGGGCCAAGGGGAAGCGCTGCTGTCCCTGGCCATGCTGCTGCGTCTCTACCTGGTGCCCCGCGCCGTGCTCCTGCGCAGCGGCGTCCTGCTCAACGCTTCCTACCGCAGCATCGGCGCTCTCAATCAAGTCCGCTTCCGCCACTGGTTCGTGGCCAAGCTTTACATGAACACGCACCCTGGCCGCCTGCTGCTCGGCCTCACGCTTGGCCTCTGGCTGACCACCGCCTGGGTGCTGTCCGTGGCCGAGAGGTGAGGGTGATGGAGGCATAAATGCGCAGGGGGGAACCCCGGACAGCCACGGCGGCCGTCCTGTGCCGCGGTGCAGGTTGAGGCCCCCTAGGACCAAGCAGTGGAGAAAGTTCACACTTTGACCCCTTCTCCTCTTGCTGGCTGAAATTTGCCCACACTCCCATCAACTGGGGTGAGAGGAACCAACAGACAAGCCCCCAGCCAATCCTCCACCTGCAGCCTTCAGTCTCCCCAAACGCACACACAGACCCTAGAAAGCCCCTCCCTTCCGGCTGCCTGACCTCTGCCTCAGGTTTACAGGCCATCTGTTCGGTCTCCGAACCTATCTCTGGGACCTGCCTAAAGGGTTGCCTCTGCCTTGGAGGAAGGAGACATATTTTCCCAATTAGCACGGAATGCACTGTAGGTAGGTGCTTTTTGTGATCCTAGGAAGGGGATGATTTGGAACTGCTCTGGAAAATAATTCCAAGCAGGGAATTGGAACTAGATCCTGGTTGCCAGCTAGATACTGTGTAACCCGATGCCGCGCCTCAATTTCTATCCCTTTCAGAGAAAAACGAGGTTGGGAGTGATCTCAGCCAGTGGTCCTCAAAGTGTGATTTCAAGACCAGCAGCATCACCTGGGAACTTGCAAATGAAAACTCTCAGGTCCCTTCCAGACCTACTGAATCCTGGAGGGTAGGGCCAGCAATCCACTTTAGCAAGCCTTCCAGGTGATTCTATGGCCCAACCAAGGTTGAGAACCTCTGGTCTAGTGTATGTGGCAAAGATCCTTCAGGGCAGGAGGAGAATGAGAAGATCTGGCTTTAGATCTCTCCTCTCTGAGCCTCAGTTTCCTCATCTGAAAAATGCATGTCACGTTCCACCATCTGTAGTCTCCCTGGCAGTTCTTGTTTTTTGATCTGGAGTCTCAATTATCCAGGCTAGCGTGCAGTGGCACAATCTCTGCTCCCTGCAACCTCTGCCTCCCGGCTTCAAGCAATTCTCATGCCTCAGCCTCCCTAGTGGCTGGGATTACGGATGTGCACCACCATGCCTGACTAGTTTTTGTATTTTTAGTAGAGACCACGTTACCGTGTTGCCCAGGCTGGTTTTGAACTCTTGATTTCAAGTGATCCTCCTGCCTAAGCCTCCCAAAGTGCTGGGATTACCATGCCCGCCCTCTGTCATGAGTTTAAACTCCTTCACCTTCCAGGATCTTAGTTTTCACAATTGGGAAATTGGTCAGAATCAGGATTAATGAATGATCCCCCCACCATGTTTCTCAATTGAATGATGGGAGAATGGGGAGGAAGTCAAAGTTCCACATTCCAAGGCAGAAGTCCTGAAACTAGAATGTACTTCGGAATGAGGGGGTGGGGTTTGTGAACAGTACAGATTCCATCTTCGCTCCTAGAAACTCCAACCCGGTGGGTCTGGGGTGTCAGGGGCCCTCATGAATGAAGCTTTCCCTGCTGGTCTTGCGGCAAGGGGCCTGTGGACAAAGTTAGACAAATCTCAATGTTTCAACCCCTTCCATGGCTGGACTTAAATGTCTCCTCTGTGAAGTGAGAGGAAAGGAAGGCCGAGTCCCACCAAGCCTTTTTAGAGTCCTTTTTGGTCCTGATAGGGCCACTTCTGGACCACACAGCATCTTTGTGGAAATTAGAAAAATATACCCCTTCCTCTGGGTGGATGTAGCCACCAGTCAGGGTCTGACTGGGTTTTGGCCCCCTATCGACTCTCCACCCTCAACCACACGCTCTGAATGCTACAGCAGCCCGGGTAGCCTAGCTGAGACCATACCGGCATTGGGATTGGCCAGACCCAGTCTCAAATCCCAGAGTGGCTAAGCAACTTGCCCAGGTCACACAGCAGAGAGGAGGCCATGCAGGCTTTCCAAAGCTCAGAACTTAATGGCTTTTTGTCCAGGTGATTCTTAGGACTATGGGTGTATACTGGGAGGGGAAGGGAGGGAACCAGAGGGAAGGGGATGGGAGGGTATAGAGGGAAGGGGAGTGAATATCATGGAAACCTCTATGGTGGGGTTTTAGAACTAACCTACCCTTCCCCATAGGCAGGCTGTTAATGCCACTGGGCACCTTTCAGACACACTTTGGCTGATCCCCATCACATTCCTGACCATCGGCTATGGTGACGTGGTGCCGGGCACCATGTGGGGCAAGATCGTCTGCCTGTGCACTGGAGTCATGGTGAGTACAGCTGCCTTGGGGACATGATCCCTATCCCAAACTGGTCATCCTCTGGCCCCAGGAAGCCATGATTAAATGGGTTCAACACAGGCTCTCAGGGACAGCTCCTGAGAAACTTGAGTGTCTGGGGCCCCCAGAGCCCCATTCTCTCTTCAAGAACAAGATACTCACCTGTAATCCCAATATTTTGGGAGGCCAAGGTGGGAGGATCACTTGAGCCCAAGAGTTTGAGGGTACAGTGAGCTATGATCATACTGCTGCACTCCAGCCTGGGTGGCAGAGTGAGACCCTGTCTCTTAAAAAATAAAATAAAAAATCAGACCTAGGAATCCAGCCCCTAAGTCCTTGCTCTCTCTAGAACCTAGGGCCCCAGCCCTTATCCTCCTCAGGGACCCAGGCTCCTGACTTCGCAGCCCCATTTTCTTCCAGAACTGGGAAATCGTCTCCCAGCCTCCATCAAGGGTGTAGAGTCCAGTTATCAAGTGCATACCTGTGGGGCCAGGCTACCTGGGTCCGAATCCTGCGGCTGCCACTTCCTGGCTGGGGAGCTCAGGCGAGCCACGTGATCTCTCGGGGCCTCACTTTCCTCATCTATAAAATGGGGATGCTGATGCTCCTCATGGGCTTGCTGAGATGATTAAATGGGTCCAACTACGTAAAGTGCTTCCAACAGTGCCCAGCCCACAGGAGGTGCTCAGTAAACAGGTCTAGGGGTGGCCAGGCATCCAGCCACCCCACACCAGCTCCTGTTGCCCTCAAGGATGAGGCAGAGGCTCTGCAGCCTGAGTCAGCCTCTTCCTGAACCCTGACATCCACCTCCTTCCCTCCATAGACCCAGTCACTCAGGTCCTCCCACCCAGCCCTGGCCCCCTCTAGAGACTAGCACCTAATGCCTTGGCCTTCACCTCCCTACAAGATCGGGTTCCCCTCACCCTCGGGGACCTAAGCCACCAGCACCTAGCCCAGATGTGGGCCTAGGAAGGACATATTCATCCCCCAATCCCTAGGTGCACAGGTGAAGGATGTGGTGACCTCCACTCCCCCAGTGGTGAGTCTTTGGAGCAAGGGAAGAGGGGCAGAGACTCAGTTAGGGACCTGCAGCACCGCTCAGGACCTCCTCCCTCATTTGACAAAAGGAGAAACAGAAACCTAGAGAGATAGGGTGATGTGCACTTGAGCTCACAGCCTGCTCCTGGAAGAAAGGCTCCATGGCATGGTTGGGCCATAAAAGCTTACTTTTCCGGAGCACATACTCTGTGCCAGTCTCTGCCCTACACACTTGCCAGGGGTAATTCATGAAATCCACCTAGTAACCCTGTGAGGCCATTTCACAGATGAGACACTGAAATACTGAGAGATTAAATAACTTGCTCAGAGCTGGGCTTGGAACCCAGGCAGTCCCCTGGAGCCAGCGTTTGTGACTGGAAGTTGTTCTGAGTGATCAAGAGCTGAAACTATAGGGTTGGGGATGCTTCCTAGGAAGATTCCTTCTAACTTGGGGACAGGTGAGCAGATGCCACAAGCAGCTAGGAATTGCCAAGGCCTTGAAGGGCCAGGAGCATTGGGAGAAGGAAGGGAGGAGAATGAGTGTTCGGAGGAAGGTGCTCAGGGAGGGCAGGCAGCATGGAGCCAGGGCTGAGTTGTCCAGGTGGGAGGCATAGACCTTGGAAGGCCTTGGGAGCCAGGCTGAGACGTTCAGGCCAGTGGAAGCCTGGGAGATTAGAGGGGACCAAGGGGGTTAGGGGAGGATGAGTGGGAGGCTGGAGACGGTCCAGGAGAGAGAAGACAGGGCTGGAGCTAGGAAGAAGTTGTGGGAGTGGGAGAAGGATGGTCGCCCTCCACAGTGCAATGGCTGACCACATGAGCACTGAGGACCCAGAGGCCTGCCCCTGGCTCAGAACCCAGCCTTCCTCTCACTCCTCCAATCCTATCCTTCATTCAAGAGGCCACCCTGAGGGTGTGAATGCTATGCATCAAATTTGGGCTCGGACGTATGCGATTTATGATTCTAGCTCCACCGCTCTGAGCTGGGACCTTGGCTCTCCTCTCTGAGCCTCTTTGCTTGTCTGCTAACTGGGGATGGTCGTGCCTACCGTCTGTGGCTGTTGGGCGGGTTCAAGGAGGGAGTCGGTGGCACAGCCTCATGCCACGGTGCCTGCTGTGCCCACAGGGTGTCTGCTGCACAGCCCTGCTGGTGGCCGTGGTGGCCCGGAAGCTGGAGTTTAACAAGGCAGAGAAGCACGTGCACAACTTCATGATGGATATCCAGTATACCAAAGAGGTGAGATGGGCATATGGCACCCATGGGACACCCCTCTTCCAAGAAGCAGGAGTCCAGGCGCCCCTGCTTCCCCTAGGACCCAAGAGTCCCAGCCCTAGCCCTGCCTTCCCAGAACCGTAAGGGTCTATCTCCACGGACACTGTGCCACCCACCCCCAGATGAAGGAGTCCGCTGCCCGAGTGCTACAAGAAGCCTGGATGTTCTACAAACATACTCGCAGGAAGGAGTCTCATGCTGCCCGCAGGCATCAGCGCAAGCTGCTGGCCGCCATCAACGCGTGAGGGCCGCTTTGTATGCACACGTGTCCATGTGCACCCATGTCCAAGTCACCTCTCTGCACGGCTGTGTGTGTGCATGTCCATGCCTGTCCAGGTCAGGACACCCAGGTGTGGTCTCACTCAACATCCAGGTCTCACCTGGATCTGACCGTGCATGACTCTATGTGTCTGTGCTGGTTTGTCTCCGCATATCTCGGTGTGTCTGCGGACCTGGGTACCTGGGTTTCTACTGGGGATGGGGGCTCGTGGGGAGGCAGGGTGCATCCCCTCCCACTCTTTCAGCTCTTCGACAACTTTGTTTCTTTGTTTTGTTTCTTCATGTGCCTCTCCTCCCTTCATTCCTCCCCTGAGCTACAGCTACATTCAGGGACCAGGCTTGTAAAACTGACTCCCCACTTCTTCCCACAGGTTCCGCCAGGTGCGGCTGAAACACCGGAAGCTCCGGGAACAAGTGAACTCCATGGTGGACATCTCCAAGGTACTAGGATCCCGTGGGAGGAGGTCTTGAAGAAGGGGGAGGTTGGGGCCACAGGGAGGGAAATCTGGCCCTAGAACAGGGAACCTTGGCAGGGGCCTGGCACACACAGCCTGTCAGTAAAGGTCTGTGGTTGAATGAAGGAAGGAAGGAATGAATGATGCAACACAGAGCTTCTTACATTCATGAAAGGCACAGATCCCTTACAAACTGAAAAAAAAAAAATTGCACAAAGAACCCCAGTGTTTGGTTTCAAATTATCTTTATTGTTAAGTTACTTACATGTGGACGGATATAAAATTCCTTCCAACTACAGCTCATACAATAAAACCAAAGCAAATTTACAAACCAAGCCCATAGACGGCAAAACCAATACAATTAAAATGAACAACACTGACAAGGACACAGGTGACATTGTTTCCGTAAAACTCAATCTCTGCTGCTCTTGTGGAGGGGTACTCAGGGCAACAGGGACGTCCATGCAAGTTTGCCTGGCCAAGGCGTGACTCAGCTACCCGCCCCCTTCTTCTGCTGAGACCATTTGATTTCGCCAGTGCTTAGGGACAATGATGTCACAACACCCCCTTGGCCTGGCTCACAGCATCTTCTGCTTATCTGGTGGCCTTTGCTTTTTCTCGTTAGCCCACGACAGTTCAAACAGTGGCCCCTGGCAGCAATGCCATGGTAAGCACGGTCACAGATGCAGGCCCCAAAACCGCATGGCAGGTCTCAGTGACGAGGCAGTGGCCCAGATCTGCAGGAATTGGCAGGTGGTAATTTCTGAAGGTTATCAAGCCAAAAACACAGAATTCAAGAATTTCCATAGAAAATCCACAAACCCTCAGGGATCAACTAGTGAATCCTAGCCAGAGAATGCAGTAAAAGACTATGTGGATTTGGAAGTCAGGCATCATCCATGCTAGAAATATCTAATGAGCACCTGCTATGTTCTAGGTCTTATTTCAGGAGCTGCTTTGGGCATGTCATTTAACTGTTCCATGCCTGTTTCCTCAGCTGTAAGACAGGAACAGGATTCCCACTCCCTGTGGCTTTTGGGAGGATTTTAAACCATATAGGGAAACACCTGGGCAGGTAGCTGGGAAGTGGTAGGTGGTCAATACATGGTAACAGTTATTGTCGAGGGTAATCCTCAGAGGACCATAAGGATGTGGTCAATATTGGTTCCATTGCCTTACGCTATGGAGTAGGTGGGGGTCGACCCCAGCCCCGACACCTCTGATCCTCTCCTCCCACCCAGATGCACATGATCCTGTATGACCTGCAGCAGAATCTGAGCAGCTCACACCGGGCCCTGGAGAAACAGATTGACACGCTGGCGGGGAAGCTGGATGCCCTGACTGAGCTGCTTAGCACTGCCCTGGGGCCGAGGCAGCTTCCAGAACCCAGCCAGCAGTCCAAGTAGCTGGTGAGGGGGCTGGGACTTGGGCAGGAAGGCATCCTGGAGGAAGGGTTCCTGTGGCCAGCACCCTATGTGGCTAAGGGGGCGGGGGATGGCTGGGAGACAAGGCCGCCTTTTCTCATCAGCTCTGGCACTGTCTGGAGGAAAGGACTCAGTTCGGGGCTGGACTGGCAGTGAAGGAAGATGGTGTACCCTCTCCCCTTCACTGACCCTTGATGGCCTTCTCCCTCTTTGCTTGGTCTCTCTCTCTCTCTCTGCCTGTCCTGGGCACATTGTCTGGCTGTCCATCCAATGTCTCTGTCTAAATGCCCTCCTGCCCCCTGGCCTCGGGGCCCGGAAACACCTGCCCCCTGTCTCCCACTTCTGCCCACCGGTTTCTGTCTGCACCTCGGTGTGTCCCACTCTCACTCTCCCTCTTCCTGGCCTGCCTCTCCATCAGTCTCTCTGTCTCTCCAGGACCCACGAGGAGGAACCAGGCTACTTTCCCCAGTACTGAGGTGGTGGACATCGTCTCTGCCACTCCTGACCCAGCCCTGAACAAAGCACCTCAAGTGCAAGGACCAAAGGGGGCCCTGGCTTGGAGTGGGTTGGCTTGCTGATGGCTGCTGGAGGGGACGCTGGCTAAAGTGGGTAGGCCTTGGCCCACCTGAGGCCCCAGGTGGGAACATGGTCACCCCCACTCTGCATACCCTCATCAAAAACACTCTCACTATGCTGCTATGGACGACCTCCAGCTCTCAGTTACAAGTGCAGGCGACTGGAGGCAGGACTCCTGGGTCCCTGGGAAAGAGGGTACTAGGGGCCCGGATCCAGGATTCTGGGAGGCTTCAGTTACCGCTGGCCGAGCTGAAGAACTGGGTATGAGGCTGGGGCGGGGCTGGAGGTGGCGCCCCCTGGTGGGACAACAAAGAGGACACCATTTTTCCAGAGCTGCAGAGAGCACCTGGTGGGGAGGAAGAAGTGTAACTCACCAGCCTCTGCTCTTATCTTTGTAATAAATGTTAAAGCCAGAAGTTGCCATTTCTCTCTAAACATATCTACACTCCTAACTGGCAGACCGTCCAGTGGAAGACTGTTGCCTTGTCTGAACCTGTCTCAGAGGCCTTCTCCTGTAAGTGCCCTCCCAACTCTGTAGGCTGGGCAGTCCTCAGCAACAGTCCCCTGCCCAGATCTGAGGCAAAGAGCAACAGCTTTGAACTCAGACAGATCAGGGTCCAAATCCTGGTTCTACCATCCACTGGTGGTGTGATCTTGGGTAAGTGGCTTCACCTCTGAACAGTTTACCTCACCTGTGAAATGGGACTGCCTCCCCATGGAACTGCTGTGAAGATTAAAACATGGAGTAGCCCAGAGGCATTTAGTAGGAACCAAATATGTGAGAGAGAATCTTTTTTTTTTTTTTTTGAGATGGAGTCTTGCTCTGTCACCCAGGCTGGAGTACAGTGGCGCGATTTCGGCTCACTGCAACCTCCGCCTCCAGAGTTCAAGCGATTCTCCTGCCTTAGTCCCCAAGTAGCTGGGATTACAGGCACCTGCCACCACGCCTGGCTAATTTTTGTATTTTTAGTAGAGATGGGGTTTCACTATGTTGCAGATGCTGGTCTTGAACTCCTGGGCTCAAGCAATCTGCCCGCCTCAGCCTCCCAAAGTGCTGGGATTACAAGCGTGAGCCACTGTCCCTGGCCAAGAATCATTTTTATTATTGTTTTTGATTTTCACACACAATGCGTGGCTGCCCTTTTTCTGATTTTTTGTTGCTTTTCTCCCTCTATTCATGCCTTACCAGAATCTAGATGACAACTCACTCATCAAGAGACTAACAGAGGCCCCAAACCTCCCCAAACCACCCACATACCCGTTTCACATCCGCTCAAGAGAGGATGTGAAAGGGAAGGGGGCAAAGGAGGGGGGCTGGCACTTCCAGAGGCCCTACTGTGTGCCCAGCTCTGTTTATAAGTCACCATAACCACTCTCCTGACCCTCGTTACCCCACTGCACAGATGTAGAAACCGAGGTTTCAAGAGGAGCCAGGCCTCCCCTCAGGCCCCCAGCCGGAAGCTAGGAATACGGGCTGGAGAGCCCAGATTCACACCCATCCCGCCCCACTGCAAGGTGAGTCAGAGGCAGAGTGGCCTTGGGCCACAAACCGAGGACTGACTTCCCGCCGCAACTTCATTCCAGCTTGAGAGGCTGATTCATTCTTGCTTCCCTCCTCTTGAGGGGAAGATCAGGCTGCGAGTCATCCTTTTCTGTTGAGCTATCTTTGGATTTCCCTTAAAGTCCACAGCCAGCCTCGCCCCTTCATCCCTGAGAGCTAAATTGGAGCCTCCGCCACCCACTGCCACGAACTGCCCTTCCTCTGGAGGCCAGCCCACCTGGGGAGTAAAGGCGGGGACTCAAGAAAGGAACTGGATGAGACCTCCAGATATTGCTGACACCCTTCCCCTGCAAGAAGCTCTCCTGGCAGTGTTGCCAAAGCCCCTGCCAAACTCATTCTTCTGGGACCTCTCTTTCCTTGCCTCCACTCCCTTTTAGCTGGCAAACACTCCTTCCTACGCCTCCTGTAGGCCTCGGCTAATATGTCCCCTCCTCCAGGAGGCCCTGTCTGATACTCCTATAGCCTCATAAACCTATCCCTATCACGATAATAATATTGGGTCTGGCCAGGCATGGTGGCTCACGCCTGTAATTCCAGCACTTTGGGAGGCCGAGGCAGGCAGATCACCTGAGGCCAGGAGTTCGAGACCAGCCTGGCCAAAATGGTGAAACCCTGTCTATACTGAAAATACAAAAATTAGCCAGGCGTGGTGGTGTGTGCCTGTAATCCCAGCTACTCGGGAGTCTGAGGCAGGAGATCACTTGAACCCAGGAGGCGGAGTTTGCCGTGAGCCGAGATCGTGCCACTGCACTCCAGCCTGGGTGACAGAGCAAGACTCCATCTCAAACAACAACAACAACGACAACGACAACAAATTAGCCAGGTGTGGGGGCACACACCTGTGGTCCCAGCTACTTGGGAGGGTAAGGTGGGAGGAACACTTGAAGAGGCTGGGAAGTCGAGGCTGCAGTGAGCTGTGGTCGTGCCACTGCACTCCAGCCTGGGTGACAAAGTGAGACCCTGTCTCAAGTAGTAGTAGTAGTAGTAATAATAATAATAATAATAATAATAATAATAATAATAATAATAATAATAATGGGTCAAGCACCACGCTAAGCCCTTTTAATAAGTGACCTCACAAAAGGAGGCAAGGTAGGCAATGTTGGTCCCATTTTACAGATGAGGTAACTGCCCGAAGCCATAGCAAAGCAGTTTGGAGCCAGGATGTGACCCAGGCAGCCTGACCCCAGAGCCCCAGCACTTAGCCACCTGGCGCATTCAGACACTCAGGAGACCATCACATTGTATTTTCATTTTTGTTCATGATTGCGTCTTCAACACCAAGGGCCTGACATAGACAGGGCCTCAGTGAATGTCATTAAACGAACCCTCTGAATGCCTGGGATGGCCTGAAGCCACCCCATGTTGGTTTCAGCTGAGCCATCCCATGTTGATTTCAGCTGAGGCAAGGTCAGAACCAGTGAAAAGGGGCTTTTGACTAAGAACCTAGGAGAACATACAAGAGATCCTGTGTTCTGAATTATCTTGGATCTGCCCTGGCCCGCCTGCCCTCATTCTCCACTGTGGGGCTCAAGCCTGGATGCCCCCACTTCTGGCAGGTTTTGCACCCCCCTCACCAAATCAACACTTCCTGAAGGCCCTGAGCCAGGAGCTGGGCTGCAGACATGAATCAGAGGGCTCTGTCCTCCAGGAGCTGAGTCTCATGGTGATTTTGGCTCCTTCCTTCTCCTATTTCTGTTCTGCCTGCACTCTCATGAGGACTGGGTGGGGGAAAGGCGGTCCAGAGAGGGCAGGGGCTTCCCAGGGTCATACAGCCAGTCACGGGCCTTTCCCCTTCATAAATCCCCCAACTGCCCTTGAGGACCTTTCTAACACCCACACACTTCCCATTCCTCCCACTGCCCTCCTGTCAAAGTCTAGCTCTGAGTCCAGCTCTTTTTTTTTTAGAGACAGAGTCTTGCTCTGTCACCCAGGCTGGAGTACAGTGGTACAATCGTAGCTCACTGCAGCCTCGAATTCCTGCACTCAAGTGATCCTCCTGCCTCAGCCTCCCAAGCAGCTGGGACTACAGCTGTGTGCCACCATGCCTGCCCCCTTTTTTTCTTTAACTGACATATATTTTAACATACAATAAAGTACACAAATTTTAAATGTAATCTCAATATATTTCTTCAAATACATTCACCTGAGTAGCCATCACTCAGATCAAGCTAGAAGTGTCTAGCCCCCTAAAGCTCTCATTTCCCTCCCAGCCAACAGCCCCCTTCATCCCAGGAACCACCATCCTGACCTGTCTTGATTCCTTTTGTTCAACTTTGAACTTTGGAAGGAACCCTGCTGCACGCCCTGGTGTGTATCTGTGTCTTGGGCTCTGCAGGGTGGTGGTGAGATTCAGCCATGCTGCTCATCCTTTTCATTACACAGTAGTATTCCATTGTGTCAGTATGCCCACAAGCCTCACCCGGGGGACTCTGCAAGCTCAGTCTCTCCCCGTCTTCTGGCCTCCCCTTCTCCTCCCTGTCCTGGCTGCTCAGGCCACTAGGCTCCTCTTCCTTCCCAAACTGCCTGCTGCTCTCCCCTCCTTCTTGCCCCATCCACTCAGAATAAAAATAAACATCACTAACATTTATTCAGTTCTTTGTTGTAGAGACGGGGGTCTCACTATGTTGCCCAGGCTGGTCTCAAACTCCTGGGCTCAAGAGATCCTCCCACCTTGGCCTCCCAAAGTGCTGGGATTACAGGCAGGAGCCACCATGCCCAGCCCAGCTATTTATTATGGTCCATAAAGGAAGCTGTATCATCATCATCAACACCAGACTGGCAGTCCAAAGGCATGCTTTAAGCTTTTATGTTGTGTGGAATAGCTGCTAACATATACAAACCAGGAGAGTGCTTTTTATAATTTGGAGGGGGTGTCAAATGATAAAACTTTCCTTTCTTTTTCCAGGATGAGCTGGCCCTTCTTCAAGTCAAGTCTAGCCCCCTCACCCTGTCCACACCTCCTCAAAAAACAGCTCCAAAGTCTCCTGGTCTCTTTTCCCTCTATCATTCCCATCTGCACACAAACATGCTATAATTTCTCCCATCTTATAAACATCCCACTGGAACTTTCAGAAGCATTTTAGATTCTCCATTTTCCTTAAAGTTCACTATTCACCAAACTGCAAAATATCTGTCGCTCTGTCACCTAGGCTGGAGTGCAGTGGCGTGATCTCGGCTCACTGCAACCTCTGCCTCTCAGCTTCAAGCAATTCTCGTGCCTCGGCCTCCCGAGTGTAGCTGGGATTACAGGTATGCACCTCCACCACGCCCAGCTAATTTTTTGTATTTTTAGTAGAGATGGGGTTTCATTATGTTGGCCAGGCTGGTCTCGAACTCCTAGCCTCACGTGTTCTGCCTGCCTCTGCCTCCGCCTCCCAAAGTGCTGGGATTACAGATGTGAGCCACCAAGCCCGGCCATAAAGTTGGTTCTAAACTCCTGCTACATAGAATGACATAAAAGACTTTGCCAGACATAAAGAGCTAAAGATGCCAGACACACGGAAGACATGCTGTAAGATTTCATTCGCATGAAGTTCAAAAACAGACACAACGAATCTCTGTGCCTGTTTTTGAAAGGCATTAGATGGGTGGTTGCTTCTGGAGCAGGGGAATTGACAGGGAAAGAGCACAAGGAAGACGTCTGGGTGCTGGAAATGTTCTCTGATTAGCGGTTACATGGATGCATAAATTTGTGAAAATTCATTACCTGGTACACTTAAGATCTGTGCCCTTTATATACTTTACCACACTTAAGTTATATGTCACCCAAAAAGAAAATAAATAAAAATAAAGAAAAATAAGTACTTATACATTTTTCCTGATAGATACTGAGAAGGTTCCATAACACAGTTAGATGGGGGATCAAAAGTCATGTCTTTTCCATGGTGGACCCCACATCTGCCTCCAGCTGCTGCCCCGTGTCTCTGCTCCTTAGTCCATTATCTTCTCTTTGGAACCCTTTGATCCCATGGCGCCAGGTCATCCCCTCTCCTGACACTCCTGGCTCCATCTCAGCCCCTCTCCAGGATCCTGGCTTCTACATGCGGGATGCTCAGGCCTAGTCCCTGCTCTCTTCAACCTCTCAGCCTAGATGATCTCAGCAAATCATAGCTTTAAATATCATCTATAAATAGGCAGCTCCAAAATTTAGCATACTTGTATAGTTATTAACAAAATGACAGGTTATCTGTGATTTTCTTAAAACAAACAAAACTCCAGGGGGTGGCGGGAAGTATGCTTATATGTGGGAGGGAAAAATAGAAGACATAAGACAAGAAAAATGCAGATGTCTGTCAATATTGGGCGATGGGTACGTGGGAGTCTCTTCATACCATAACATCTTTGTGTGTATTTTTAAAACTCTGTAGTGACTGTAATCCCAGCCTTTGGGAGGCTGATGGGGTGGATTGCTTGAACCCAGGGGTTCGAGACCAGCCTAGGCAGCATAGTGAACCCTCATCTCTAAAAAATTAGCCGGGTGTGCTAGAGCATATGTGGTCCCAGCTACTTGGGAGGCTGAGGCAGGAGGATTGCTTGAGCTCGGGAGGTGGAGGTTGCAGGGAGCCAAGATCGTGCCATTGCATTCCAGCCTGGGTGACAGTGCAAGACTTTGTCTCAAAATAAATTAATTAATTAAACTAAATTCTGTGACGCAAAGTCAGAAAGTCTTTATCTACAAACCCCGGCTTTTTCCCCTAACTCCAACCACTTATTTGATGACCAACGTGCATCTCAAAGTTAAGAATTTCAAAGCTTGTTGATTTCCCATCAAAAGTACTTTTCCTCATCCCGGTAAAAAGCCTCAGTCTTAGGCCGGGCGTGGTGGCTCACGCCTGTAATCTCAGCACTTTGGGAGGCTGAGGCGGGTGGATCACGAGGTCAGGAGATCGAGACCATCCTGGCTAACATGGTGAAACCCCGACTCTACTAAAAATACAAAAAAATTAGCCGGGCGTGGTGGTGGGCACCTGTAGTCCCAGCTACTCGGGAGGCTGAGGCAGGAGAATGGCATGAACCCAGGAAGCGGAGCTTGCAGTGAGCCGAGATCACGCCACTGTACTCCAGCCTGGGCGACAGAGCAAGACTCCATCTCAAAAAAAAAAAAAAAAAAAAAAAAAAAAAAGTCTCAGTCTTCAGGCAGTTGGCCAGGACCAAAACCTCTCGAACTTTTTTTTTTTAATTATTATTATACTTTAAGTTTTAGGGTACATGTGCACAATGTGCAGGTTTGTTACATATGTATACATGTGCCATGCTGGTGTGCTGCACCCATTAACTCGTCATTTAGCATTAGGTATATCTCCTAATGCTATCCCTCCCCCCTCCCCGCTAGAACTTTTTTTAATGCTGCAAATAACATGATGTTTTAATATATGTACACATTGTGGAATGGCTAAATCAAGCTAATTAACATATGCATTATTTCACATACTTATTTTTTTGTGGTGTGAGAAAACTTAAAATCTATTATTTTAGTAAGTTTCAAGCATATAACACATTGTTATGAATGAGAGTCACCCTGTTGTACAACAGATCTCTAGGATGACTTTCAAGTCACCCCTGATTCATGCTTCCTCTCACACCCCATGTTTAATTTCTTGGCGCTACCTTCAAAAAAGATCCCA
Organism: Homo sapiens; assembly: GCF_000001405.40. Lineage (NCBI taxonomy): Eukaryota > Metazoa > Chordata > Mammalia > Primates > Hominidae > Homo > Homo sapiens. The sequence goes on along the minus strand of NC_000019.10, from coordinate 43,759,760 downwards.
GTTCCTGACCCTTCTCAACTCATCTATTAGCACCACCCTCTTCCAGAACCACTATCCTTTCTTGCCCAGGCAAGGACACCAGCTTTCTCATCTCCTGCTTCCGCCCCTGCAGGCCATTCTCCTCACAGCAACCAGCACTGTTTTCACTGAACATTTTTGCGCATAGCTAATAATTACGTGGTTTAAAAAAACAACAACGCTTTTTAAGTTCCCATAGCCCTGACCCACATCTGTCTATAACCCTCATCCCTATAGGCAATCACTGTTAATTTTTGTTGTTCACTGGAGAAGTCTTTGTAAACATTAATTGGAACAAGCCGGTGCTTGTTTGTAGCCCTGCAATGGCTTTGTTACATTTGGAAGTAAATTCCAAATGCTTACCATGGCCTGTAAGACTTTATGTAAACTGGCCCTGTCTACAGCTCCGTCTCTAAATAATCCTGCCCTTCTTTCCCTCCCTTGCTCTGTTTCAGCCACTCTGGCCACCTTGACCATCCTTGGACAGCCAGGCCCACTCCCACTTTGGGGTCTTTTACTGGCCGTTCTTCAGCATCTTTAGATGGCTCATTTCCTGACCTTCCTTAACTGCATTCAGGCCTCTGATCAAATGTCATCCCCTCAAAGCGGCCTTCCCTGGCCACCTGTCACTCTCTGTGACCTCTATCACTGTCAATTCCTGTAACCTGACTTTTTTTTTTTTTTTTGAGACAGAGTCTCGCTCTGTTGCCCAGGCTGGAGTGCAGTGGTGCGATCTTGGCTCACTGCAAGCTCCGCCTCCCAGGTTCATGTCATTCTCCTGCCTCAGCCTCCGGAGTAGCTGGGACTACAGGCGCCCGCCACCACGCTTGGCTAATTTTTTGTATTTTTAGTAGAGACGGGGTTTCACCATGTTAGCCAGGATGGTCTCGATCTCCTGACCTTATGATCTGCCCGCCTCGGCCTCCCAAAGTGCTGGGATTACAGGCGTGAGCCACTGCGCCCGGCACCTGACTTTATTTTTAATTGAAAAATAAAAATTGTATATATTTATGGTGTACAACATGTTTTGTATATTTATACATTGTACAATGGCTAAATCAAGCTAATTAACATATGCATTATTTCACATATTTATCATTTTTGTGGTGAGGACACTGAAAATTTATCCTCTTAGCAATTTTCAAGTATACATTGTTACTAACTATAGTTACCATGTTGTGGACTGGATCTCTTGAATTTATTCCTCCTGTCTAAATGAAATTTTGTATCCTTTGCAATGTCTTCCCAATCCTCACCCCCGATTTTCTTTTCTTCCAAGCATCCTTTATCTGATGTCATCTGCCCCACTAGAATATCTGCTCCCAAAGGGCAGGTGCTTTTCCTATTCATTACAGGATCTCCAGCCTACAGCTGTGCCTGGCAGATGACTAGAGTTCCATAATTCATTCAACATATAAATGAAAGAAATGAACAAAAAGTGAAAAAGAGATGAACAGGGCCAGGCGCAGTGGCTCACACCTGTAGTCCCAGCACTTTGGGAAGCTGAGGTGGAAGGATTGATTGAGGCCAGCCTCGGCAACATGGTGAAACTCTGTCTCTACAAGAAATACAAAAATTAGCCGGGTGTGGTGGCACATGCCTGTAGTCTCAGCTACTCGGGAGGCTGAGACAGGAGAATTGCTTGAACCTGGGAAGCTGAGGCTGCAGTGAGCTATGATCATGCCACTGTACTCCAGCCTGGGTGACAGAGGGAGACCCTGTCTCAAAAACAAAAAATAAAGACATGAACAGATCATTTGGCAATGGCTCTCAAAATTCCCAATGTGCATACCCTTTGACCCAGCAATTCTACTTGCACTTCAAATGAGATAGTCTACTGACAATACTAACATATACATGCAGCCACGTGTACCAGGATATTAACTGTAGCATAATCTCAGCACTTTGGGAGGCTGAGGCAGGAGGACTGCTTGAGCCAGGAGTTTGAGACAGCCTGGGCAACATAGTGAAACCCCGTCTCTACAAAAAATAGAAAATTAGCTGGGTGTGGTAGCACATGCCTGTGGTCCCAGCTACTCCTCAGGCTGAGGTGGGAGGATTGCTTAAGCCCAGGAGGTTGAGGCTGCAGTGAGCCACAACTGTATTACATGACTCCAGCCTGGGCGAGACAGCAAGAACATGTCTGAAAAAGAAAAAATTAGAAAACAGAAACATACACACAAACCCCTGCAGTAAATGTTTGTAAGAGCAGAAGTTCAGCAACAGTCTAAATGCTCATCAACAGAGAAAGTGTTAAAGTATGATATATCTCCAGAACAGCATACCATGCCACTAATACAAAAGGCAGCTCACTGGGTGCCTGACTGTACTGCTGACTCATCACCAGGCTGGCTCCCCGGTGCCAGGGAAAAAGTGTAGGCTTGCTCTGGAGTGAGACAGGCTTGGGTTTGAATCCAGGCCCGGGTTTGAATCCAGGCCCTGCTGCTTCCTGCCTATGGGGACTTCGGTAAGGCCCTTCTCTCTTCCAGGCTCATTTGTCTACATCTGTTTTTTTTTTTTTTTTTTTTTTTTTTTGAGACAGAGCCTTACTCTGTCACCCAGGCTGGAGTGCAGTGGTGCGATATCAGCTCACTGCAACCTCCACCTCCTGGGTTCAAGTGATTCTCGTGCCTCGGCCTCCCGAGCAGCTGGCATTACAGGCGCATGCCACCACACCCGGCTAATTTTTGTACTTTTAGTAGAGATGGGGTTTCGCTATGTTGGCCAGGCTGGTCTTGAACTCCTGACCTCAGGTGATCTGCCTGCCTCGGCCTCCCAAAGTGCTGAGATTACAAGCGTGAGTCACTGCGCGGACCAACATCTGTTAAACAAATTAGGGGAGAAGATTATAGTGATGTATATAAAGCAGAGAGCACACAGCCTGGTACACAGTGGGTCCAAGGTCAATGCCAGGCCTCCTCTTTCCCTCTTTTAAGAAAATTCTACCTCTGAGGGTTGCCCTGACGTGAAACTGGCAATCGTGAGTGATCTGGGGTTGAGAAATTCAGATATGGCCTGAGCTGAAGAAGTAAAATTGGACACTGATAGACATAATACAGAGATGGCCTGTCATGTGTATCTTTATCAAACACCCAGAATCTTTCCCCAGAATCCATCAACAGTGGACTCAAGTCATTCTGGGTGACTGGTGTTTCTACCTGTGGCAGCCTGGAGAGGTGGCTCCACCTGGTACTGGTACTGGGACAATGACAGTAGGGATGAGGCCTGGAGGGGAGAGGGCTGCTCAGAATCTACAACTATCAGCATGGTAGACCACAAAATAATACACAGAGACAACACACAGTACCATTAGGCAACAGGCACTGTTCTATGCACTCTCACCCATTTAATGCTGGCGGCAATGTTGTAAGTAAGGTTATACCACACCCAATTCACAAACAGGGACGTAGAAGTAGAGAGTATTAAGTCACTTGGTCAAGCTCAGCCGCTATTTATATGAACTCAACACATGCTCTTAACTCCAATGCTTTATTATAACAGCAGCTCCAGAAGGAAACCGGGAACCAGTGCTTTAGGAAAGGAAAATGGGAACCAGAGGTGGAAACTTACTTTTATTGTATACAGCCAGAGAGGTTTGAATTGTGTATGTACATGTAATACCTGTTCAAATATAATTTTAAAAAACTTTTTTTTAGACCAGCCACGGTGGCTCACGCCTGTCATCCTAGCACTTTAGGAGGCCGAGGCGGGCGGATCACTTGAGGTCAGGAGTTCGAGACCAGCCTGGCCAACATGGCAAAACCCAGTCTCTACTAAAAATACAAAAAATTAGCCAGGCGTGGTGGACGCCTGTAATCCCAGCTATTTGGGAGGCTGAGGCAGGAGAATCGCTTGAATTTCAGGAGGTGGAGACGGCAGTGATCCGAGATCTCGCCACTGCACGCCAGCCTGGGTGACAGGGCGAGACTCCGTCTCTAAATAAATAAATAAAATAAAAATAAATAAAATTTCAAATAAAAAGCTAGAACCTTCCCATCCACCCACTCTGCCCACTGGGGAACTGCCGACCCTTCCGAATGCGCATGCGCTCTCCAGGCCGCGCCCGTCGCCCAATGTTCCTCTTTGGCGCGCGCAAGACTCCGCCCACGTGTGTTTAAATTTTCGACCCTGGAGCGGATTCCCTTCTCCAACGCGGCCTTCGAGGGTTTTAAACATAGTTCTGTCTCAGACTATTCTGCATCTCCCAGGCCTTAAGGATAAAACTGACACTGGAGACCCTTCAGGGTCTGACCTGCCCATTCTGCTGCCTCACCTCCCACCCAGGTGGACCCTGAATCCAAGCCAGTCTAGACCTCTTCCCCCGGGGTCTTCGCCGCCTTTGCTTAGCTGTTCCCTGGAGTACCCTCGCCTGCCTGTCCTTCAAGGTCCAACCGGACCCGCGCCCTTTCCTAAGTGATTTGAGGCCCTGGCAGTCTCTCCACAGGCCGGGGTGTCTTCCAGGGCGCACGCCAAGTCTGATTCATTCATGTGTTCTTGGCACTCAGCCCAGAACAGTGAAATTCCTCCCTGTCGTCCCACCCCACTGCATCCCGCCAACATCACCGAAGAGGCACAACTCGAACCCCAGATCCGGGCCGCTCTCCCTCCTGCCGGCTCCTCGGCGTATCCATTTCCCTACTCATCTCCCCACCCTCAACCCCCCAACCGCGCGCACGCGCATTGAGTCAGAGCCGCGGCGTCCTCCCGCCTCCCGCTCCGGAACCCGCATGCGTGCTGAAGCCGACCGCCTCCATCCACGCACGCTCAGCCCGGCGAGCGCATTCAGTTCTCGAGCTCCAGCCCTCAGCGCATGCGCAGGACGAGTCGCCTGAGGGAACTGATCTCAGCTCGGGCCCGCGTTACATCCTCCTCCTCTTCTTCCTTCGGCCCAGCTTTCCTTAGGGGCTGCAACCCGGACGCCGAGGCCGGTTTCGGAGTGGGGAGTGCCCATTTTCTCTCCTTCCCACGTTCCTGGCCCCCAGACGCCATTTGCAGGCGGGTGGCTTGGGTCAGCCTCCCCGCCCCCACCCGACTCCCGTCACGGGAGAGCGCACACCGCGCCCCGAGAACCAATCAGCAGCCGCGTTAGGTAAGGGGGCCGCGAGCCCGCGCGAGGCTAGCGCACCGGCGGCGGGCGGGGCGCTCCGGCAGGCCCCGCCCCCGCCTTGGCCATTGAAAGGTCGCTGGGACGTCCGGCGGGGGTGCGGCACTGAGTAGGGGGCCGGCGACCGTCAATTCGATACTGGGTTGGCAGGAATGGGGGCGGGGGACGGAAATAACGTGTAAATGAGAAACTTATGCTCTGCGAGATCCAAGTACAGCCTGCAAACTGCCCGTCAAGTACTGGGGAGGCCGCCCCAATAACGTGTAACGAGAAACTTGAGTTGGGTTCCCCGAGGGAAGCTTTGTAAAGCAATGCCTAAATCCGGGGGAGGCTCCCTTCTAGAACCCCGTAGAGAGAAGTTTAAATCCTAGGGAGTCCTTAGGAAAATGTGCAAATCGACTACAGTTCTGGGCTGGGGAGTGCCCCACGAAGTGGGCTTACATACTCAGGAATCGGGAGAGTCTCCCCAAATATTTGCAAATAGTGAGGTTCTGGGAGATCCCCGAAGGGAGTGTGTGAAGCGATGCCTAAATACTGAGGAGACACTCCCCAAAAATATGTAAATTCGATTTGTTAATTTTCGGGAAGTCACCCTAGAAGTCCATCAGCAGACACTTAAATAGACCAGCTTTCCTAAGTTTGGGGGTAATCCCCAAAGGAGCCCGGAAACAGCATTGGAAGTCCCCAGCTTGCATGTGGGTGGGGTTTTTTTTTTTTTTCTTTGAGACAAGAGTCTCGCTCTGTCGCCCAGGCTGGAGTGCAGTGGCACGATCTCGGCTCACTGTATCCTCCACACCTGGTTTAGGTGGGCTTTTAAGTTCCAAGGAACTCCCCACATTCAGATACTGTGGAAGCTCCCAGAATAAAGGGCACAGGGAGGCCAGGTGCGGTGGCTTACCCGGGGAATCCGATCACTTTGGGAGACCGAGGCTGGCGAATCACTTGAGGCCAGGAGTTCGATACCAGCCTGGCCAACATGGCGAAACCCCGTCTCTACTGAAAATGCAAAACTTAGCCCGGCCTGGTGGTATGCACCTGTAATCCCACCTACTTGGGAGGCTGAGGCAGGAGAATTGCCTGAACCCGGGAGGCAGAGGCCGCAGCCAGCTGAGATCGTGCCACTGCACTCCAGCCTGGGCAACAGAGCAAGACCGTCTCAAAAAAAAAAAAAAAAAAAAAAGAAAAGCATTCACACAGGGGCGCTTACTTTGCACAGGAAAGGGCATCCTCATAGGCCAGTAAACAGAAACCTCAGGGCTGGGCAGTATCCCAATTGAGGCATGAAGACAAGTACTTAAGCACTGGGTAGATTTCAGAATAATGTGTAAAGACACTTAATTGCAAGTGAGGGAGGAGTCTCAGATTCTGGGGAGAATCTCCATCCCAGACTAAGCAGTCATTTCGGTATGGAATGAGTCATTTTCCCTAAGCAGCTGTAAACAGGCCCTTGTCCTCCTCTGTCTAGGAAAGCAGTCTTCAGCCTGGCTTGTGGCTCTGGGAGAGGTCATGTAGCACAGTAGGAGAGGAGCTAGACAAGCCACTTGTCTGGCTAGCAAAATTATGACTGCATCTTGTAAACAGACCCTTCCATTCTGGAGAGTCTCGGAGGGACCTGTTTATGTCATTATGAGGTGGGGCAGGGGAGGATTCATGGAGGGATTTAACAGATACTTCCAAGCTAAGCAAGGGTCAGCAAACTGTTTTTTTGAGACAGGGTTCTGCTTTTTTTTTTTTTTAGACAGGGTCTTGCTTTGTTACCCAGGCTAGAGTGCAGTGGTGCAGCATGATCATGGCAGCCTTGACCTCCCAGGCTCAAGTGATCCCACCACCTCAGCCTCCCAAGTAGCTGGGACTACAGGTGCATGTCACCACGCCCAGCTACTTTTTTCTTTTTTAAATGTTATATAGAGACAGGATCTTGCTATGTTGCCCAAGCTGGTCTCGAACTCCTGGGCTGAAGCAGTCCTCCTGTCTCGGCCTCCCAAAGTGTCGGGATTACAGGTGTGAGCCACCATACTCGGCCATTCAGTAAAACTTTCTGTTAAGGCCAGAGAATAATTATTTTAGGCCCTGCAGACTGTATTGTCTGTCTCAGCTCTGCCATTGCATCAAGAAGGCAGCCACAGACAGTTTCTAAATTGATGGATGTGGCCATGTTCCGATAAAACTTTCTATTTACAAAAACAGAAAGCAGACCAGATTTGGCCCCTAGGCCACACTTTGTCAACCTGACTTCTGAGCTTGAGCAGATAGCCCCACTGAGTTCTACAAACAGTTAAGTAGTCAAATACCACCCTAGACTGATGTGTGAACAGCTGGGAAAACTCTCTAAGGACCTGTAAACAGATACTGAAATGGTGGAGAGTGGGTTGCATAGGTAGCCAGACATTATATAACATCTCAAATAGAATAAACACTGGAGACACCTTGAAATGAAATTCACTGTGAGGGAAGGCAGACCGTCAGGAACGGAAGACAGACAGACACTGAAATGTAGTGGGATACCAGGTGAAAATAGGCCCTTGAGTGTTGGAACCTCACCATGACATACACTAGTAAGTGGCTGGAGCCCCACCATGACATACACTAGTAATGACTAATCAAGAGTAGCTGTTGGACTGAGGATCACATTGCTGGTTTGTAAGCAAATGCCTTGCTGCATTTTGGTAAGGAGAATATCCTATTTTTATGTGAACTTGCCCCTGTGAGTTTATTTATGTTGGAGCATTTTAATAGTTGGGAATAGTTTTGGCTGCAAGTAAGAGATAGATGTGTATTTGTTTTTCACTGCCTCTCGAAGTAGGCAATTCAAGGTTAACGTGGAACCCCCCAACCTTGTGTCTTGTTTTATTGTACCTTCCATTAAATTGCCTTACAGCCCAGGATAGCTGCTTGAGCTCCAACCTCCACACCCACATTCCTGTCACTGGGAGGAAGGGGCAGAAGGCATGTGCCAGAGTCTGTGAAGGGAAGTTTCTGGAAGCTGCCAAGCCACACTTCTAGTGTCATACCATAGCCAGAAAGTACTTACTCACATGGCCACACCTAACTGCAAACAAGGATGAGAAGTTTGTTCTGGATAGCCATGTACCTAGCTCAGAACTGAGGGTTTTACTTTTTTGGAAGAAGTCAGGAGTGGATGTTGGGAACCAGCTTGCAGTTGCTACCACAGGCCCAGAGCTCTGTTGAAAGGAAGGGCCTTGGCCGGGCATGGTGGCTCACGCCTATAATCCCAGCCCTTTGGGAGGCTGAGGCAGGTGGATTGCCTGAGGTCAGGAGTTTGAGACCAGCCTGGCCAACATGGTGAAACCCCATCTCTACTAAAAATACAAAAAAAATTAGTCGGGTGTGGTGGTGGGCATCTGTAATCCCAGCTTCTCAGGAGACTGAGGCAGGAGAATTGCTTGAATCTGTGAGGTGGAGGCTGCAGTGAGCCGAGATTACGCCATTGCACTCCAGCCTCGGTGACAAGAGCGAAACTCTGTCTCAAAAAAAAGAAGAAAGGAAGAGCCTTGGTTGGGCACAGTGGCTCACATCTGTAATCCCAGCACTTTGGGAGGCCAAGGTAGGTGCATCACCTGAGGTCAGGAGTTCGAGACCAGCCTGGCCAACATGGTGAAACCCCATCTCTACTAAAAATATAAAAATTAGCCAGGCATGGTGGTGGGTGCCTGTAATCCCAGCTACTTGGGAGGCTGAGGCAGAAGAATTGCTTGAACTCAGGAGGCAGAGGTTGCAGTGAGCCAAGATCAGGCCACTGTACTCCAGCCTGGGCGACAGAGAGACTCCATCTCCAAAAAAAAGAAAGAAGGGACTTCGTATAGTCTAGGATATGCCAAGTAGAGTAGGAAGAGACTCTGTCATCCTGAAATCCCCTCATTCCCTCCATAGGTAACCATGTCTGAGTCTGGACACAGTCAGCCTGGACTCTATGGGATAGAGCGGCGGCGACGGTGGAAGGAGCCTGGCTCTGGTGGCCCCCAGAATCTCTCTGGGCCTGGTGGTCGGGAGAGGGACTACATTGCACCATGGGAAAGAGAGAGAAGGGTGAGTGTCTGGACCCAGGAGCAGCATTCATGTATCTATTTGGTTCCACGCACCTGCCATGTGCCAGGCACTAATCCAGATGCCGGGGATATATTTGTAAACAAAACCTACCACCCTCATGGATAAAGAAGGTGGAGAGTGATAAAGGAGACTGTTCTAGATAACATGGTCAGAGAAGGTCTCTCTGAAGAGGTGACTTTTTAGCAGAGACTTGAAGGAGATGAGAGAATAAGCCATGCCAGCATCTGAGATGAAGAGCATTCCAGACAGAAAGAACAGCAAGCGCAGAGGCCCTGAGGTGGCCCATATCTGGCGTGTTCAAGGAGTAGCCATAGGAGGCCAGGATGGCTGCAATTGATGAGGAAGGAGGGAGAGAGATAGGAGATGAAGTCAAGTAACTGGGGCCAAATCATGTAGGACCTGGTAGGCCTTGGAAAGAACTTTGTATTTCACTGAGTGAAATTGGCATTGGAGAGTTTGAGCTGAGAGGTGCCATAGCTCATGTTTTAAAGGGTCATGTCATAATAACAACAACTGTTACTCTTTTTACTGAGCAGCCTATACTGTGCTTGCACTGTGCAAAGTCTTTTACATCCTTTGGGTCTTCCTGAACCCTTACAGCTACCCCATGAGGTAGATTCTATGATAGATCTGATTTTCACTAATGAGGAAAATGAGCCCCAGAGGTGAAGGGACTTTTCCAAAATCAGAGTCAATAAACTTTGGGTCCAGGACTCAGATCCAGGTCCAGCTTAGTCTCACATATAGCATCGCTCTGCCTGCTGTAGAGAGCGCCCTGGGCTGGGAATCAGGAGGGATCGGCTTGTGCCCAGGCCCAGCCTCGCTCCCCTCCTGTACCTAGGTGACTCACTGCCAGAACCTGCCCCCTGGGCTTTTTTCTCTAGGGCCCTGTCCACCTCAGAGATGTCAGGTAGGGTGGAAGTAGGTGACAACTGGGGCCAGCTTCTGAGCTATAAAACTGTACAAACATGAAGAATAGTTTTTTCACAGTGAGCTGGGCTCTTACTTGCTCCTTCTCTTGGGCCACAGTGTAAATGAGAACACGTAGTCTCTCTTCCTTCCACATAATGCCCTCCTGGGGAATGTTATCCCGCCACACCTTCAGGTTTAATCCTTGAACAAGCACCTCCTAAACCTCATCTTTGTCTCTAAATGTGCTACTGAGCCCTGGCAGCCTCTTGTCACACCCATGGGCTTCTTATCCTCTGTGTCCCGTGCTGACCTCGGCATCTTTCTGCCATTTTTCCTCTTCCCATTTTTTTCTCCCATATCAGTGACAGCCCATTGGGCCTTATCCTGAATGCCTCTCTCGCCTCTCCCCTGCTTCCTCTGTGCTAGTCAGGCACCAGTGCTTTACATTCTGCCGCCTGGTTATATCTGTGTGTCTTCTCTCTACCCTCACAGCGTTCATCCCAGGTATAGACTGAATATCCGAAGTGCTCCAAAATTCCAAATGTTTTGAGCACCAACGTGACATTTAAGGGAAATGTTTATTGGAGCCTTGCAAATGGATTTGGGGTGCTCAACCAGTAAATATGCAAATATTCCAAAGTTCAAAAAAATCCCAAATTCAGAACACTTCTGGTCCCAGGCATCTGAGATAAGAGATACTCAGCCTGTATCATCTCCCCCTTCCTAGCCTCCTGGAAGTCCACAGCCTCTCCTCCTGTAGTTTTTCCCTTGAAACTTCTTTTCGAAGCACTTTCACTTCGTCTTTTTGTTTGTTCTTCACCGTAAGCCAGTGAAGTGAGCAGGGTTTAAGTAAGTGTCCTCAGTATATTGGTGAAGGAACAGACACAGTTAGGGGTCAAGACTCTCATGAGGTTACTCAAGGAACCAGAGAAAGAACGGGACTCAGACTCAGATTTCTCCCCTCTTCAGCAGACTGAGGGTAAGTTGGGGAGGCATGAAGAGGTCAAGGCTTGGGATCAGCCTGCCAGCTTTGCCAGAGCAGGAGGGGGCTGAGGCAGAGGTGATCAGGATAGCAAGTGCCACCAGCAGCTCTCACATAGTGAGCACCTGCCATGTGTCAGGTGCCATGCTAGACACTTGATGAGTTCTCTCTCCTTTCATCCTCATCATAGTCTGTGAGGAAGGAATTCCCATACCCACTCACAGATGGGAAAATGAGGCATAAGTGAAGGTGGCGAGGGTGGTTCCTTATTCAAGTTCACACAGCCAACACGAGGCGGGATCAGGTTTGCACCCAGACCTGTCTAGCTCCTAGTTCCTTTCCTCCTGGGCTTGTTGCCTCGCAGAGGCAGCTGAGCAGAATGCTTGAGGATTTGGTTCTGCAGCCAGGCTGCCTGGGCTTTGTGACTTTGGGCAATCTGCTTAACCTTTCTAGGCTTCATTTTCTTCATCTGTAAAGTGGGGGTAATAATAGTATCTATCTCACAGGGCTGTTGGTAGGATCAAGGTAGTTAATATATTTCGGCATTTAGAATAGTTCATGGTACATAAAGATCTGGAATGTCCAGGAGAGCCATTCATGAGTAACTGCCCTCCCTCACCACAGGATGCCAGCGAAGAGACAAGCACTTCCGTCATGCAGAAAACCCCCATCATCCTCTCAAAACCTCCAGCAGAGCGGGTGAGCAGAGAAGGAGGGAGGAGGGGGAGCCGTTAGGGAAGGGATTGCCCCCATTGATGGGATTTTTTTTACCTCCGTAGTCAAAACAGCCACCACCTCCAACAGCCCCTGCTGCCCCGCCTGCTCCAGCCCCTCTGGAGAAGCCCATCGTTCTCATGAAGCCACGGGAGGAGGGGAAGGGGCCTGTGGCCGTGACAGGTGCCTCTACCCCTGAGGGCACCGCCCCACCACCCCCTGCAGCCCCTGCGCCACCCAAGGGGGAGAAGGAGGGGCAGAGACCCACACAGCCTGTGTACCAGATCCAGAACCGGGGCATGGGCACTGCCGCACCAGCAGCCATGGACCGTGAGTTGGGGCTGGGCAGTACCAGGTTGGGAACTGGCGTCTCCTCACAGATCCTCACTGCATCCTCTGTCTCCTGCTTTCTCCAATCTCCAGCTGTCGTGGGTCAGGCCAAACTACTGCCCCCAGAGCGCATGAAGCACAGCATCAAGTTGGTGGATGACCAGATGAATTGGTGTGACAGTGCCATCGAGGTACCGAGGGGTCCTGCCCTGCCTGAGCTTCCGCACATCCTGCATCCTCTGATCTTCCACCTCTCTGTAGGCAACACCAGACTGGAGGGTTTTGAGGCAACTTACAGCAGTGAGAGGGGGTGGTATCAGAACATTCTCACCTAACCAGAGCGGAATTTCAACTAGCTCGGCTGTGCTTGCTAGTTGGTAAAATACAGAACTCCTTTGGTACCGATTGGTAAAGAAGTACTCTCACTACCACCCCAGGACCCCTGGGATCTCCCGTGCCATCCACAGCAGGGGAGTCTTTTGGACCCTGCTCCAGTACCCTTCTTATTTGGTTGAAACCCTTGCTGGTGGCTCATGCCTGTAATCCCAGCACTTTGGGAGGCCAAGGTAGGAGAATCACCTAAGCCCAGGAGTTCAAGACCAGCCTGGGCAACATAGGAATACTCCATTTCTACCAAAAATTTAAAAATTAGCCAGGCATGGTGGCAGGAGGCATCCAGGCCACTCAGGAGGCTGAGGTAAGAGGATCACTTGACTCCAGGAGGTCAAGGCTGCAGAGAGCTGTGATCATGACATTGCACTCCAACCTCAACAACAGAGTGAGACCCTGTCTCAGTAAAAAAAAAAAAAAAAAGAACAAGAAGCCCACGCTGTCTCAGTGTCAACTGTTTTGAATGTCACTCCCCCAAAGTGACCCCCATCCATCCCACCACCCCCTGCTCTAGTTCAGACCTCACATTCCTAGATCATCATACATAACACCAGTCTCCCAGATGTTGTGTCCCTTCTTCTGCTTTTTCTCCCCTAGACCTGTCACACCCCTGCTCAGATTGTCCCAGAGGTGTCACCTCTCCTACCCAGCAGCCTGGACTTATTAGCACAGCCTCAAGTCCATTTATTGCCTTGCCCCTGCCACTTCTGTGTCCACTCTCACATTGGAATTAACTGGGGAGCTTTAAAAAAACAAAAAACAGAACAACAACAAAAAACCAAACCCTACCCTTCAGCGCTATTAAGGAAAACTTTCTGCAGTGATGAAGATCATATATATTTGAACTATCCGTCCAGTATGGTAGCCGCTATCCCCAGATGTGGCTTTAGAGCACTTGAAATGTGGCTAGTACAACCAAACAGAATTTTTAATGTTGTTTAAGCTTACTAATTTAAATAGCCATGTATGATCAATGCCTACTGATTGAACAGGGCATCCATAGATATTCTGCTTTAATGTGTTAAAGCACGTTAAATCCTGATTGGGCCCAGGATTTGCTTTATTTATTTAGGAGACGGTCTCGCTCTGTTGCCTAGGCTGGAGTGCAGTGGCACCATCTCGGCTCACTGCAACCTCCACCTCCCGGGTTCAAGCAGTTCTCCAGCCTCAGCTTCCCAGGTAGCTGGGACCACAAGTGTGCGACATCACGCGCAGATAGTTGTTTTTTTTTTTGTTTTTTTGTGATGGAATTTCGCTCCTGTTGCCCAGGCTGGAGTGCAATGGCACGATCTCGGCTCACCGCAACCCCCGCCTCCCGGGTTCAAGCAATTCTCCTGCCTCAGCCTTCCGAGTAGCTGGGATTACAGGCATGTACCACCACACCCAACTAATTTTGTATTTTTAGTAGAGATGGGGTTTCTCCATGTTGGTCAGGCTGGTCTGTAACTCCCGACCTCAGGTGATCCGCCTGCCTCGGCCTCCCAAAGTGCTGGGATTAAAGGTGTGAGCCACTGCACCCAGCCGGGTTTTGTATTTTTGGTAGAGACGGAGTTTCACCATGTTGGCCAGGCTGGTCTTGAACTCCTGGCCTCAAGCGATCCTCCCACCTTGGCCTCCTAAAGTGCTGGGATTACAGGCGTGGGCCACAACACCTGGCCTATAGGATTCGCTTTTAAAAAACAAAACAAAACAAAATTTTAAGGTAATTCTAAGGAGCAGCAGCCACAGTTCAGAACGTAGCTGTTTTCCTTGAGGAGTGTCTCTTACACCCCCTGGTGGTGAAAGTCAGCAGAGCTGGTGGCCCAGAGTTGGTCTCAGTTAATTTCCAGAGGGGCTCTTAAATCCCACAGACAACAGCATATGAATGTAAAAAAAAACAAAAAAACACACACACAGACGAAAGCCTGGGTGGCTCCTGTTTGCACACCACTCCCTTTCATGTGCTTTCCCAGGTTTGCCAGGAATCTGTGCCAGTAGCCCTCAGTCGCCGAGTCCTATCTTCTCCAACCTGCCCTTCTGTTCCTGTGACTCTCACTTTCACTTCTCCAAGATCAGACTTCCCTTTTTCCCGCTGTGTTCAGCCACACTGACTTCCTTTTAGCTTCTTGACCATGCTAGGCTCTTTTCTACTTCAGAGTTCTCACAGACACTGTTGTTTGTGTCTAAAACATTTCACATAATCCTACCATGACACGGAACAGAGGCCCTATGCCTAGTTGAAGGGGTTGGGACTATAGGAGTTTCTCTTCATATATGATAAGGCAGGTGGGGGAGCCACAAGGGTCTCTGGAGTCCCCCCCTCATTCCAGCTCCAGCAGCTGACAGACTTGTCAGAGTCATTTATGTATTTTCCCACAGTACCTGTTGGATCAGACTGATGTGTTGGTGGTTGGTGTCCTGGGCCTCCAGGGGACAGGCAAGTCCATGGTCATGTCATTGTTGTCAGCCAACACTCCAGAGGAGGACCAGAGGTGAGGGGCTATCAGATAGGGTGCAGGAGGGAGGTGGGCACCCACTGGGAGCAGGGGCAAGGTGGGCTTGGGTGTTTCAAGTGGTGTTACCAAAGGACTTTGGAAAGTTGCTTTTCTTCTGTAGACCTCAGTGTCTTCATGAGATGAAGATGATAATGGGCTGGACTAAATCTGTGTAGCTCCAAGGCATCCAATCCTGTTCCTCCCTCCCTCCCTCCCTTCCTGCCTGGCCTCAGGAAATGGTACAGGTCCTAGACAAGAAGTGGGATGATGTAGTTGTTAAGGTTTTGGATTTGGGCCCACCTCAGGCTCAGCCCTGCAACATAACTGGTTGACCTTGGGCAGGTCACTTCATTTCCCGTATCCCCTGTCCAGGTAGATTTTTGGAGAATAAAATAAGATCAAGAAGGCAAAAGTTAATGAGCACCTGGCATAGAGCAAGTATCACAGAATGGTAGCTGATACGATCTGAGAAATAGAGTGGGGAAAGAGATCTGGAGACAGAGAGTGGTTTCTGTACCAGCCTCAGTCCTACTGTGTCACCTTGGGAAAATGGCTCTGCTTCTCCAGGCTGGGGAGGATCAGACATGAGGATTCTCTGGCCTGAACAACATTCTTGAGTAAGGATGGAATGTGATTATGAAGATAAAGCATAAGGGCACAGGAGCAGGTTTTGGGGAGGGGAGAACTTGAGAAACAGGTCCCGAAACTGGGGGCAGAGAAGGAAAGGGAAAAATGTAGGAATTTGGGAATGGGGGAGATACACATCTCATTAAGGGAGAATCAAAATGGGGAATGAGAATGGATAGTAGCCACTGGGGTGGTGAAGAACAGAGACATGTTGAAGTTACCTAAAAATACAGGGATCTGTTTTTTTGTAAAGCAGGTGATACTACCCTGGCCTCCATGGATGAGCGTCAGGAGTCCATTAATCCCTTAACAGTATATGCAGAATTTTATTTATTCATTTATTTTTGAGACAGTGTCCTGTTCTTTCACCCAGGCTCAAGTGCAATGGCACGATCATAGCCCACTGCATCCTCTACCTCCCAGGCTCAAGTGATCTTCCCACTTCAGCCTCCCAAGTAGCTGGGACTACAGGGGCATGCCACCACACCAGCTGGTTTTTAACTTTTTTGGTAGAGATGGCGTCTTCCTCTGTTGCCCAGGCTGGTCTCAAACTCTTGGGCTCAAGCAATCCTCCCGCTTTGGCCTCTCAAAGTGCTGGGATTACAGGTGTGAGCCACCACCGTTGGCCGTATGCAGAATTTTACACACATTTGCAGTCAGGCTTTTCTTCTAGGGAAAAGGTCCCTAGTTTGCACCAGATCTCAGAGTGGGCTGATGGAGATCTAGAAAAGGTGAAGACCACTGTTGGGCGAATACACATCCCATAAAGCTGGAGCTGTGAGGTTCCTCTGCCTCTCTCCCTCCTCTTCTCTGCTCACTCATGACTCAGTTTGGTTCCATTTTGGAATAGTTCCAGGTCTTAGATAACATTCTTTCCATTTCAGCTTTTCACCCCAACTAGCAAATTTTCCCCATGGGTCTCAGTTCAGATTCCTGAGGTAGGGAGAATCCTGTCACCCAGCTTGTCTTTTTGAGCCACGTCAGCCTGTGGTGTGGTAGACTTCAGTATCAACTCTTTTCATCAGGTCTAGGTTTTGCCTCCTAATTCTCTCTCTCTCTTTTTTTTTTTGAGACAGTCTCGCTCTGTCACCCAGGCTGGAGGGCGGTGGCACAATTTCAGCTTAACACAATCTCCATCTCCTGGGTTCAACCGATTCTTGTGCCTCAGCCTCCCGAGTAGCTGGGACTACCATGCCCAGCTTATTTTTATATTTTTAGTAGGGATGGGGTTTCGCCATGTTTACCAGGCTGGTCTTGAACTCCTGACAGGTGATCTGCCCACCTCGGCCTCCCAAAGTGTCGGGATTACAGGTGTGAGCCACCGTGCCTGGCCTTCCTGCTAATTCTCTTTCTAATTCATCTGTTTCTTCCCTCCTTCACTCCCACCTCCTTAGTCCAAGCCATTATTATCTTACATGCAGGATACCAAGAGGTTTCTGTCTGGTCTGCCTGATTTAATTCAGTTTTGACAAGTACTGTATTAATTGCTTACTATGCGCCAGGCACTGTTCTAGGTGCTGGGGATACAGTGGTATACAAAACTGGAAAAAATCTGCCCTTGTGGGACTTATATTTTAATAGGGAAGATAGTAAACAAAATAAACACACTATTCGGCACGTTAGAATATAACACAATGGAAAAGGGTTATAGGGAGGTAATGTTGGGCCTAGGTTACAGGTTTTAAAAATTATTACTATTTTTTAAGAGACGAGGGTCTTGCTCTGTCACCCAGGCTGGAGTGTAGTGGCCTGATCATGGCTTCACTGCAGCCTTGACCTGGGCCCAAGCCATCCTCCCACCTTGGCCATATGAGTAGCTGGGAACCACAGGTATGCACCACCATGCCCAACTAATTTTTTAATTTTTTGTAGAGACAGGATCTCACTGTGTTGCCCAGACTGGGCTCACGTGATCCTTTGACCCCAGCCTTCTGAGTAGCTAGGACTACATTTGTGTACCACCATGCCTGGCTAATTTATTTATTTTTTATTTTTGAGACAATTGTCGCTTTGTCACCCAGGGTGGAGTGCAGTGGCTCCATCTTGGCTTACTGCAACCTCTATCTCCTAGGTTTAGGCAATTCTCCTGCCTCAGCCTCCCGAGTAGCTGGGATTACAGGCGTGCACCACCACATCCGGCTAATTTTTGTATTTTTAATAGAGACAGGGTTTCACCATGTTGGCCAAGCTGGTCTTGAACTCCTGACCTCAAGTGATCCTCCCACCTTGGCCTCCCAAAGCTCTGGGATTACAGGCATGAGCGACCATGCCCTTAATATTTTTTTTTATTTTTTGTAGAGATGAGGTCTTGCTGTGTTGCCCAGACTAGGTTATAGTTTTAAATAGGATGGTGAGGGAAGGCCTTGCTAAGGGGAACGTTTGAGAAAAAGCATGCTGGGAGGAGCATTCCAGTGAAAGGGACTGGCATGGGCAATGCGTCTGAAGTGGGAGCTTGCCCATAGTGTGTGTAGAAGAACGTGGCAGCCTTAGAAGGGGAGTGGTAGGAGATAAGGCCAGAGAGGCAGAGCGAGGCACTCTGGCACTGGGCCTTGTAAGCCTATCTCCACTTTTTCCACCGTACGGTCCTCACCACATAGCAGCAAGGGGACCTTTCAAACCACAGTCTGATCCTGTCACTCCTCTACTTACATCTCTCCAGCAGCTTCTCCAGGCTCATAGGCCAAAGCCTTACCATGCTCCACAAGGGTCTGTGTATCCTCTTCTTGCTCCCTCCCCTCCCACATGCACCATCTTTCTGCTCTTGCCATGCTGGTCTTTGAGTCCTAGTACAACAAGCCACCTACTTTCTGCCGATGCAACCTTCCTCTGCGTCCATCCCCCACCCAGTGCCAATTAACTCCCTCTTTCTCTCTCACCCTCAGCATTGTCATTTCCCTCTCCAGGGCAGCCCTTTCTGGCTCCACCAACTAAGCAATCTGCACTTGGAGCACTGCACGCCTCTTCTTTCTAACACCCACAGTTACTGATTTCTGGTAATTTGTAAACTAGACCAGAAGCTTCACAGAAGCCGACTTAGTCTTTTTTGTTCACTGCTATATCCTGGTATCTGGCAAATAGGAGGTTTTCCGTATAGTGTTTGTAAAGTGGAAGGATGCCTGCTTTGTGTCAGACAACAGATTATGCATCTTGAGGGGAGATAGAAATTACCCCTTGAGAGGTAGGTACTATTACCCTGATTTTACAGATTTCAAAAGGTAAAATCACTTTGCCCAAGTCACAGAGTCACCAAGTTGAACTTAGTGGTTTAGGGCACGGCCCTGCTCTGCCTGCTTTGCCCTCATATTCCCAGCACCCAGCACACGTAGAAGTGAGGGAGACTCACCTGACAGGGGAAGATGCTGGGAACAAGACCCAAACTCTCTCTCACTGTGGGAGTGGAGGGCACTCAGTGCTCTCTCTCCAATGCCTGGGATCTAGTAGGTTTATTTGATAATTAACAGCTAAAAGTATATATCATTATATATCAGGCACCATTCTAAGGGCTTTACACATACCGACCTCACAGTAATACACAGAGTTTTGATCATGTGGTTATCCCCGTTTTATAGATGAGGAAACTGATGGAAAAAGGTTAAGGAGTGTGCCTAAAGCCACACAGCCAGGAAGAGGCAGAGCTGGGATCTGAATCCTGGCAGACTGGCGGAGTCTCTGCCCTTCAACACCTCAGTGTACTGGCTTCATTAATTGAACTAATGGATCTCTTTATGGATAGGAGTGAAATTGTGTGCTTCAAAACATGCACTACCCCCGCCTCCCACCCCCTGACATGGGCCACAGATGAAAAGCTTAGGGAGCAGGCAGGGCACCACGGCTCACATGCTCAGCTCACAGGGTCACACTTCGGATGCATCCAAGGCTGAGAACCAGAGCTCTCACACACCCCTGCCTGCTCCTCTCCACAGGACTTATGTTTTCCGGGCCCAGAGCGCTGAAATGAAGGAACGAGGGGGCAACCAGACCAGTGGCATCGACTTCTTTATTACCCAAGAACGGATTGTTTTCCTGGACACACAGGTGCCAGCCCCGCCTGCCTTTGCCCCACCCTGCCACATCCTGCATTGAGCCTCTTCCTGGAATGTGATTAAGCCAGAACCCTGCGTGGATTCCATGTGCTTCCAGTCAAGCCATGGACATACTGGCTGCCCTGGGGCAAATTGTGTCTTTTCTTGGCCCTTAGTCTCTTGTCACTTTTGCCCCCATCTCATTCGCCTTCTACACAGTAGCCTAAAGGATTTCTAGTATAGTGCTGAAAAGTGTGGGCCCTGGAGAATGTGTGTTCTGATCCTGTCTGTTAGTTCTTACCAGCTGGGTGACTTTCAGTTTTAAACTCCCTTAAACCACAGCTCTTTATCTGTAAATAGGGATGGTAACTGTACTTAGCCTCTTAGGAGTTTCAAGGATTCAGTGGAACAATCCAGGCAAAGTGCTTGGCCAGGACCTGGCACAAGGTTAGTGCTCAGGCTCGTCACTGTCGTTAGCACTGACTGGTCCTGCGTTTACCTGGCAGTTTTCCTCGGCTTCTCCCTTCCTCTCAGGCAAAGTCCAGATTCCTTAAGCTGGCATTCGGAGGGTGTGGCTTGCCTCCCTCAGACTGCCTATCCTCGCCTCTGGAGGAGCCACCAGACCCCCAGCACACACACACTGATCTCTCTCTTCTCTGGACTTCGCATATCCCGTTTTTACCTGAAACCACCAACGAATTGTGTGACCTTGTCAAGTTATTTATTTTCATTCCTCAGTTTTAAGTGGGAAAAACAATACTGCCTGCCTCATAGGGGTTTTGTGAGGTTTCAGTGCATCGATGCAAGTAAAGTCCTAATGACAGCACCCAACAGGAGTTAGGTGCTAAATACCCTTAGCAATTAATACCATTATCAGTACAATAGGCTCTCGCCTTGCGTTTTTGCCTGGCTAACGCCTTCTTCTTCCTCAAGACTCCACTGGGGTGTGGCCTCCTCTCAGAAGCCCTCCCCTTCCACTGTTGCCCATATGCACCTCCCACCATAGCATGTGATTTGCCACCGTGTCTGTTCCCACTCCCTGCCTGCCCGAAGCTCTTCAGAGCAGAGCCCTGGCTCTGGGGGTGAGAGCTGGGGCACAGGGCCTGGCCCTTTAGTTGGCACTCATAGTTGGTGGAACAGAGTTCTGGTCACTGTGGCATTGATGACACAGAGTGGAAAATCTACAAATGTGATGTGAGCCTTGTGTGCCAGGCCCTGTGCAGGGGCCATGGAGACCTGGAGACAAACCAAACCGGCTGTGGTCTGGGTCAGAGACCTGTGAAGAGGAGGACGGAAGTTAAACAAGACAGAATAGAGCACTGCTCAATGTTTGGAGTTTGAGAACGCGAGCAGTTGTGAAAGCCCCTTTCTAAAAGAATTTCACTGCAGTAAGAAGCCAGTAGACTATCAAGCTAATTTAATTTAGCTCTTAAAGTTTTTTGATTGAATGTTCCTTTAAGAAAAAAAAGTCCGGTGAGCTCACCACTGATTCTTATACATACTGATGCAGTTTTTAAAATTCTCACCAGTTTTCACACTAATTATTTTTTTTTTTTACCTAAGTAATTATCTTAGCAAAGTTTTGAAAGCGTATGAAACAACTGACAACAAAATGAGCCTTTAAGGGACATGACTCATTTGAGTAAACGTTAAAAATTCATTAGCACAAAGCAGTTTCTTCTCTTTGGGCATGAGGTGCTTGCGAGCAACAGTGATTTGTAAAGGAGCTGGAAAAGTGTATCAGCTTTGAGTTTTTTTTCTTTAACTTCCTTTTGCTGTTCTAATTAGAAATTGCCTGCCTTTGTTTCTGACCTTGTTTTGTCCTGAGATAGACAATGTATTTGCCTTGAGCGTGTGAAACTTGGGTATCTGAGTGACACTCTGTTCTCTTCCTTGCTGCAGCCCATCCTGAGCCCTTCTATCCTAGACCATCTCATCAATAATGACCGCAAACTGCCTCCAGAGTACAACCTTCCCCACACTTACGTTGAAATGCAGGTGAGGGAGCCAAGCCAGGCCCAGGACTGAGGTTTTACATCCCCACCCCCATCCTCCCAAGATCTGGAGAGCTGGGTGTGGGTGGTCCACTTAGTTTCTGCTTCAGAAGAGCCCTGGCTGCCCCAAGGGCTATAGGAAGAGGACAACACTGAGAGTCAGGACTGGCTCAACTCCTGGCTCTGCCCCTCAGGCAAGTCATTTCCCACCCCCTCCCCTTTGACGCCTCAGCATCTGCCTGTGTAAAATGGGGGTGATAATTCCCACCTTTCCTGAGTTAGGGATGGCCTGTAAGGGAAGTGCCATCACAGTGCTGGGCACACAGTAGCTGCTTGAAGGCTCCTTGCCTTGCTGCCTCCTGAACTGAGTCCTGGGATCAGGGACTCCTGATTAGTCTGGGCAGAAGAGGTCCTCACCTCCCTTCCATCCTGCCCACCCTCAGTCACTCCAGATTGCTGCCTTCCTTTTCACGGTCTGCCATGTGGTGATTGTTGTCCAGGACTGGTTCACAGACCTCAGTCTCTACAGGTGAGGAGCTGAGGGGTTGGAGGGTGGGGAGGAGGAATGAGGCAGGAGACAAAGGCCCAGAGACTTGAGCCACTGACTCAAGGGACAGCAGCCAGAGGGATCCTTTTAAAATGTAAGTTGGAGCAAATCACTCCCATCTAACCTCCCCCTCAAAGCACTGCGCGCACACACAGCCCTCCACTGACTTTACATATCTACCAGAATAAATCCAAAGTCTGCCCGTGCATGGCTTACAAAGTCCTTTGCTCTCTGGTCACCTTGCTGACTTCTCTCACTGCCTCCCCTCGCTCCCTTTATTTTTATTTATTTATTTATTTATTTATTGAGACGGAGTCTCGCTCTGTCGCCCAGGCTGGAGTGCAGTGGTACAATCTCGGCTCACTGCAGTCTCCATCTTCTGGGTTCAAGTGATTCTCCTGCCTCAGCCTCCCGAGTAGCTGGGATTACAGGCACCCACCACCATGCCCAGCTAATTTTTGCATCTTTAGTAGAGATGGGTTTCACCATGTTGGCTAGGCTGGTTTTGAACTCCTGACCTCAGGTGATCCACCTGCCTCGGCCACCTAAAGTGCCGGAATTATAGGCGTGAGCCACCGCACCTGCCCTCACTCCCTTTATTAAAGCCACAGGGCCTCATGGCTGTTCTTCCTGCAGCCCAGGACCTCTGCACTCCGCCTCCCTCAGTGGGAAATACCCTTCCCGCAGATCTCCTCAGACTCTCGCCCTCGTGCCATTCGAGTCAACTTCAGGCCTTCCCTGACCATCTAACATAGCATCCCCTGTTACTCTCCCTCACTTCTGTGTTTTCCTTCATTGCATTTACCTCTCCTTAATAGGATACTGTAGCTTTCCTTATGATCTTTCTCCCCCATTCGAATGTAAGCCCTAGGAGGGCAAGGTCCCCAGCACCTCACACAGTGCCTGGCACACAGTAAATATTTACTACAAATTTGCTGAATAAGGAGCATGAGGAGCTGGCTTGTCTGATCCGTGGAGTTTTGCTGTTCATCTCCTTCAGGCTCGTGTGCCCTCCTGTTGGTACTCAGGGAGGCAGGACCTGGCAGGAGTCCTGCCTGAAGCAGCCACAGATTGCAGAAATGCCTCCAGAAGAGACTGGCTCAGAACCTATGGCCACAAGGGCTCTTCCTGGCTTCAGGCCCCAGGAGACCGCTGGGAGGTGTTGGGGGGAACAGCTTTGGGCACACGGACCAGGCAGAAGGAAGGGACAGGAGCTTATAGGGAGGGGAGAAATGGAATTAGGAAGCAGATGCCTTCAGAGCTAGGTAGTGCCTTTGAATCCTAGCTCTTACTGGGCATGTGTCTGTTTCCTCCTCAGTTCCTCATCAGCAGCATTATGTTGTGTAGATTCAGTGAGTTAAGGAATTTAAAGCATTCAGCTTAGTCCCTGTTACATAGTAAGCAGTTGATGGAGAAAACTTAATGTTTGTATTAGTAACCCTGGGGACAGGGATGAGCTGAGGGTCTGGCCAACAGCAAAAAAGGCTTGCTGGGGAGTTGGTTGTTCTGACCAGATCTAATGCAGCTGAGCTGTGACTTCATTCTGAAACACCTATTCCTACCACCATCTGGGATTCATTCACATCTAGGTGTGCCAGGCACTGTTCTGGGCACTAGGGACACAGGTGTGAACAAAACAGATAAAAGAGAGAAAACAGATAAAACTCCTTGGGGAGTTTACATTCTGGTAGGAGTATTGGCTCAGGCCGGCACATGGCAGAGCCTTGTTTTTAAGGTCTTGTCTACAGGTGGGCTTCTCAGAGTAGGGGAGCCCCTTGAGATTGTAGATGTGTTTGTGTGTGTATGAGGAGAATGTCCCTGTATTTTAGCAATCCCATTATCCCTTACCTTAGAAAACAGGTTTATGTACTCTTAACCTATTGTAAAAAATTATTTTAAAATAACATAAACTGAAAATTCCACTAAAAAACCACACAGATTTTTTTTTTTTTTTTTTTTTTTTTGAGACAGAGTCTCACTCTGTTACCCAGGCTGGAGTGCAGTGGCACAATCTCGGCTCACTGCAACCTCCGCCTCCTAGGTTCAAGTGCTTCTGCCTCAGCTTCCCAAGTAGCTGGGACTACAGGTGTGTGCCACCATGCCCGGCTATTTTTTGTATTTTTAGTAGAGACACAGTTTCGCGATGTTGGCCAGGCTGGTCTCGAACTCCTGACTTCAGGTGATCTGCCCGCCTCAGCTCCCCAAAGTGCTGAGATTACAGGCGTTAGCCACCGTGCTCGGCCACACAGATGTTTATAGCAGCTGTATCCATAATTGCCAAAACTTGGAAACAACCAAGATGTCTTTCAGTAAATCGAATGGATAAATCATCAGTGGCACATCTAGACAATGGAATATTATTCAGCACTGAAAAGAAATGAGCTATCTCACCATAAAAAGACATAGAGGATCATTAGATGCAGATCAAGTGAAGCCAATCTGAAAATGCTATATACTTGTAATTCCAACTATACAGACAGTCTGGATAAGGCAGAACTACGGAGACAGTAAAAAGATCAGGGGTTGGAGAGAGGGAGGGATGAATAGGGACAGCACAGAGGATTTTTAGGGCAGTGAAACTACTCTGTGATGCTATAATGGCAGACACACACCTTTATACATTTGTCCAAACCTGTAGGACGTACAGCACCAAGAGTGATCCCTGATGTAAACTAGGGATTTTGGGTGATAATGATGTGTCAGTGCAGCTTCATGGATCTTAAATGAACCATTCAGGTTGGAGATGTTGATAGTCAGGGAGGCTGTGCATGTGCAGGGGTTGTGTGGGAACGCTACGTGCTTTCTGCTCAGTTTTGCTGTGAACCTAAAACTGCTCTAAAAAATAGCCTTTAAAAAAAAAATACAGTAAACTCAAAGAATTTATACAGTTGGTAAGTCCATGGGTTGGTATCTGAGAGGATTATCTCTGAATTCTCTGAAATTGTGAGAAACATGGTGTGTATATGGTATTTTTCTGAGCATGGCTGTAGCTTTCATCAGAATCTCAAAGGAAGCCCCTGTCCCAGGCTGTGGGACCTGGGGTGCAAGTGCAAGAGCAACAGCCACTCACCCCAAACCCCAAGGTTCCTGCAGACAGCAGAGATGGTGAAGCCCTCCACCCCATCCCCCAGCCACGAGTCCAGCAGCTCATCGGGCTCCGATGAAGGCACCGAGTACTACCCCCACCTAGGTGAGAGGCTTTCTGGGGACTGGAGGGGTGGGCAGGAGGAAAAATGAGGGGCTGAAAGTCAGGAGCACGCTGGAGAAGAGGGGAGAGAGAGGAAGGAGTGGGGTTCTGGGTGGAGCACTTTTGAGAGTTGTGAGGAGCAAAGTCAAAAAGGATTAGCTGCTCCTTCCAAGTTCCCACTGCCCTGGTCCAATCCTGACAGTTGAGGGCATGACCCCTGAGCCTGTGTCTGGAATGGGACAGGCCCCAGGTCTGCCTATTTCTGGGTCCCTGGAATCTCCCAACTCAGGAAGTGAGTATTAGGTTGGGTTCATCTGGGTGGCCCCGTCCACCTGTTCTCCCTCCTCTAGCCTTTGCACATGCCGTTCCTTTGCCTGTTTCATCCTTTCTCCGCTCTACTCTTCTTCAAAGACCCAGTTCATTTTATGATCCCTCGCTAGGGCCTCAAAGAGACTAGGGGCAGAAATCAGACCTGACTCACTTCTGGGTCCCCAGCATTGCCCTACACAGAGCCTGGTGCTAAAGTGAAGTGAAGTTATATAAATATTTACACAGTGATCTGAACTCAGGGGTAACAACAGGTCTTTGGGGTGAGAAAGGGGAGTCCATGAAGCCAAGCGATGTCTGCCTGACAGGGCCCGTCTCTTCCCACCCTCAGTCTTCTTGCAGAACAAAGCTCGCCGAGAGGACTTCTGTCCTCGGAAGCTGCGGCAGATGCACCTGATGATTGACCAGCTCATGGCCCACTCCCACCTGCGTTACAAGGGTAAGGGTTCCCACATCACCCCCCAAGCTAGTCAGCCTCCTAATTCCTGATCCAACCCCGTGGGTCAGTCTCTACCCCCAGACTAGTCTCCTGATCCTGCTTTGACTGTCAACAATTCCCACTCCCCAAACCCACAACATGGTACCTGAAGGCTGAAGCGTTTTCTCCTCCAGGAACTCTGTCCATGTTACAATGCAATGTCTTCCCGGGGCTTCCACCTGACTTCCTGGACTCTGAGGTCAACTTATTCCTGGTACCCTTCATGGACAGTGAAGCAGAGAGTGAAAACCCACCAAGAGCAGGTACAGTTACCCTCAACAGGTTCATGGAGAGACAAGTCCTATCCTGATCAGAGAGAGACCCAGCACCCACTGGTCTAGGAGGCGACATGGGTTGCCCTGGTTTGGGAGCAGTGTGGAGCCTACCTGGTCTGAGAGAAGATCCTGGTTTGTTCCTGGGGTGTGTGGACCCTTTATTAGGAGTGTGTTTCAGAGTCATAGAAGTACAGGAAGAGCTCAGCCGGGGCTGAACTCTCAGGTGCTCCTTGAAGCCCAGGATGCTGTTAACTGGGAGAAAGACCCTGGCAGTCTATCCCTCTTACCCTCCCTGCCCCAACTTTCCAGGACCTGGTTCCAGCCCACTCTTCTCCCTGCTGCCTGGGTATCGTGGCCACCCCAGTTTCCAGTCCTTGGTGAGCAAGCTCCGGAGCCAAGTGATGTCCATGGCCCGGCCACAGCTGTCACACACGATCCTCACCGAGAAGAACTGGTAAGAGCTCTTTGCAGAGGGGGTCAATTTGAGGCACCCCACCCTGGTGTAGAGAGAAGGGGGCGTCCCTTAGATCGGCATGACCTTGTGAAGCCCCTCCTCTCCAGATCCCAGGTTCCTTTTCTGGAACAGTGATGATTGCTACTGTCTTGTAAGCATCTCACCCATGTGGCAACATGCTGTTTCCTGTGACTTTGAATCCTCCTAATCAGCCAGCATCATGTAGGTCCTTGTCACCAGTTTTCCTGGTGGGGAAATTTAGGCTCGGGGAAAAGTGTTACATAGCAAGGCCACACATCTGTGGCTAGGAGTCATTTGATTGCTAGGAGTAGGACCAGTGACCAGATTTAGCTTAAGGAAGATTTATTCCAGGGACCTGATCACAGAAAGCAGGGCCCTGCAGCAGATGGGAACCAGGAAGCCATCAGGGTCTCATTCTTCACACTTCTGCATTTGTCTTGTTTCCTGCCTCTGGCTTTCTCTCCCTGCTTTCACTTGGCCCGGCACTAGCTCTGTGGCCCCTACTTTACATTACTTCTTTGTCCAGAGCTCTCAGCATATGAGTCCAGGTCTTCCTCATCTTACTTCAAAGAGAAAAATTGGAAAGATAAATAGCTTAACTGGGTGCAGCCTCTCTAACTTGGCTCCCTACATCTGTTTGCAGTTGGCTGTGCCTGGAAGGGGTCAGGAGTGCAGACAAAGCAGCAGGAAGCCCCTCAGGGCTTGTAGGGCAGAGATGGGGCAGAGCTTTGAGTCCCAGCTCTGCTCCTGCCATTGGTCTAAACCAGGACCCAGAGGAGAGAGGGAGAAGATTGTGGGTTGTGCAGCTGCTGTTAGATGTTTTCTATGTCGTAAGACTCTGGAGGGAGGTGGAAACTGAACCCTCACCCACAAAGCCAGCACTGTGTGGAGTGGGAGAAGTTTAGGTGGTGGAGACTTGAGGTCTTAGTCCAAGCCCTGGAACCTTCAGCTTTGCATAACCTGGGTGAGCTAAGAAAAGTTGGGCCACCTCCCATCACTGTTAGGATCCTCCCTGTATCCCAGTCGAGGAGATTGGGTTCCAAGAGGCTCAGAGTCACATCTCAGGTCATAAAAGGGGCCTCAGTTTCTCCACCTGTCCCGGGTTGGTGCTGGGCTGGGGGGAGCCCCGGCCAGGCAGCCCTGACTGTTGGCCTCCTCACAGGTTCCACTACGCTGCCCGGATCTGGGATGGGGTGAGAAAGTCCTCTGCTCTGGCAGAGTACAGCCGCCTGCTGGCCTGAGGCCAAGGAGAGGAATGTCATGCAGGGGACCTCCTGGGTCCGCAGTGTACTGCGAGGGAGCACAGATGTCCATCCCCCGCTGGGGTGGAGAGCGGCAGCAGGCCTGATGGATGAGGGATCGTGGCTTCCCGGCCCAGAGACATGAGGTGTCCAGGGCCAGGCCCCCCACCCTCAGTTGGGGCTGTTCCGGGGGTGACTGTGAGCGATCCCACCCCAAACCTGAGATGGGGTAGCCCGTCCTGTGTCCTCCACAGGGACAAGCAGTGGGAGGAGTCTGAATGGTCACCAGGAAGCCCGGGCTCCATCTTGACCTCCTTTTTCAGGGACAGGAGCAACAGGCCCCTCTTCCCTGACTCTAAGCCCTTCCCTGTAAGGTGAGGCAGGGTCTGGAGAGCTCTTTATTGGAACAGATCTGGTGGTTCAAATAAACACAGTCATGCAAGCCTGTTCTTATGTTCCACTTACTCCTCTACCCACCATGCAGCTCTGGGAAGCAGGACAAATTGGACACCCAGCCCTTGCGGGCAGATGGAGATCAGTCTCTGCTAAGAAGTCCCTAGAAGGGGTTATTCTGTTTCCTGGGGTGGCATCAAGCCTCCCCTGTGTATGTTTTGGATGGGAAAATACACTGGTGCAGCTGAGTACAGCAACTACCCTCGTGTCTTCTGCTCTCACTTAAAGACAGTTACCTGCCTTTGGGTTAAATGCCCAGTTAAATACAGTGCCTAGGCTGGGCATGGTGGCTCACGTCTATAATCCTAGCACTTTGGGAGGCCGAGGCAGGCGGATCACTTGAGATCAGGAGTTCGAGACCAGCCTGGCCAACATGGTGAGACCCTGTCTCTACTAAAAATACAAAAAAAAATTAGCTGGGCGTGGTGGCGCACGCCTGTAATCCTAGCTACTTGGGAGGCTGAGGTGGGAGAACTGCTTGAACCCGGGAGGCAGAGGTTGCAGTGAGCCAAGATCACGCCACTGCACTCTCCAGCTTGGGCAACAGAGCGAGACTCCGTCTCAAAAAAAAAAAAAAAGCCTACTTTTGACTTAAGAAACAGAACTTGTCCTTAAATGTAGTAAGTACTTACCCTTAATCCAAATACCATGCCTCACCCGTACAGACAGTGCCTTCTGTTGGTTAAATACAGTGGCTTTCCTCTCGTAAACCTCATCTACTCTTGCTTAGAAATGGCAACCCTCACCTTTAATGTAAATCCAGAACCTACCCTCAGTTAAATCCACTCTGCGATTTGGTACAGTACCAACCCTCATCTGCTCAGTTAAATACAGTACATGATCTTAGTTTGAGGTTTCCCAAAGTATGTCTCCAAATTGGTCTCGCCACCCCAAATTAATCCATCGTTCAGTAAAGCAGTCAGCTCCAGTCCAGCTGGCTGAGTCTGTTCATCCATTGCCCTCCCCCACCCCCTGCCGCCCGTGGCACATATTTGTCTCCCTGGTTTCCTCCTGCTTTCAAGCATCCCATACAGCCCTGGTGTTTCATACCATGGGGATCCAGGGCCTTGTGAGAAACAACTGAAGTGAGGGGGGGCGGGGGGTCAGTGAAGAAAGCACTCAGCAGGGCCAGAGAAGGTCAGGCCAGAAGTGGATAGAATGCCAGTCTCTACAGAGGGCTGAGGCCTGGGAGACAGGAGGCCCAGCACAGGCTCTGGCACAGCCACTTCCTGACCGACTGTAGTAGGCAAGGAGCCTCCCCTCTCTGGCCATTATTCCAACATTTAAGATCATCCTCGAGGCCCTTCAGAGCTGTGACATTCACTGCCCTTTTACCGAAATGCTTCTAAATCCTTTGCCCCACTGTCGTGATCTCTACAGAACCCTCCTGACCATCCTCTCCAGCTAGATAACCCAGCTCTTCCCTGCCTTGTCAAAATGTCTGCCCCAAGTCTCATCCCCACCCCTGCTTCCCCAGGGGGTCTTCCTGCTGGTTGATTTGGGGGTTTGCCAGAGTAGGAAAGGTGGTGGGGGCAACGGCCAGAGAAAGATGGGAGACCCAAGGCAAGACGGCACCAGACAGCATGCAACTCAGTCCAGGAGAGTTGGAGCTTCAGTTTCTTCCATCCCAGCCCCTTTCAGCACAAGGCTGGGGACAGAGAGAACTGTGCCCTCCCAGCCCTAACCTACCACCTCCTGCTGGCCCAGCTCAGGGCTGAGATTGTTGATTGGATTCACCTGTGATCTTGTGGTCAGTGTTGCCAAGGAAGGTCTGAATCAGCACACTCTTGGTGTCCCTGGCTGCCAAATCCAGGGGCGTGTGAAGCATCCGGTAGATGGTGGTGAAGGAGGTGCTGCAGGTGACCAGGATGCCCGGATGGGTGAAATGAGGCACTCTGGAAATCCGGCCTAGCGTTTCCACCACCACCACCGTGGTGATCTGGTGACCTTGGTCCAAAGGCCCTGTCCCACCTCCAGGGTTTTGTGCAGGGGCTGGCTCGTTGAGGCAGTTTGACAGAGGAGTCAAACTGGCAGTAGCCTTCTGAACAGTGGGTAAGTATGTACCGGTCACCCGCCACCCCCTTTACATCCAGCAGAGGACTCAGGCTGATGCTGCCAGCAGGCCACTGTGGACACCAGCTAGATATACTGCTGCAGGGAGGCCTTCTGCTCTAGGATGGGCTGCAAGATGGGCCTGGCCACCAGGAATGCCTGCTGCTTGTGGCTCTCCAGTCCCTTCATCATTCCCAGCAGGTGGAACTCACGCTTTTCAATTCAGACACAGGAATACATTGGTATCCTTCTCACCCTCCACTGCAGGAAACATGAGCACCGCTCAATCAGCTTCTACACTGGAGCAGGCCATGTTGTGCTGGCAGCTGCCTGGGCTCAAGCGCCTGTCATGAGCGCAGCACTTGGCCTAAGAATGTCAGCCCTGCAGCCAGGCTGCCTATGTTCAGATCCCAGCCTTGCCATCTACCACCTGTGTGGCATTGGACAAGTTGCTAAAGCTTGCTGGGCATCTGTTTTGTCTGCAAAATAAGGTGATGATTGTACCTACCTCCTAGGGGTGTTGTGGTGATTAATTGAGTTCATAATGGTGTCTGTTTTAGTCGGTTCTTGCATTGCTGTAAGGAAATACCTGAGACTGGGTAATTTATAAAGAAAAGGGGTTTAATTGGCTCAGAGTTCTGCAGGCTGAACCAGAAGCATGGTGCTGGCATCTGCTCGGCTTCTGGGGAGGCCTCAGGAAACTTACAATCATGGCGGAAGGTGAACTGGGAGCAGGTACTTCACATGCCCAGAGCAGGAGCAAGAGGGGGCAGGTGGCACACACTTTGAAACCACGAGCTCTTACAACAGATTCACTATTGTGAGGACAGTACCAAGGGGCTGGCGCTGAACCATGAGAAACCACCCCCATGATGCCGTCCCTCCCGCCAGGCCCCACCTCCAACAGTGGTGACTACAAACTACAAGTTGACATGAGATCTGGTGGGGACACAGATCCAAACCATATCAGTGCCTGACCTATGCTGAGCCTCAATAAATGTTAAATGCCACCATCATCCACAGGTGCCAGGTCTGCATTGGGCACATAGCATTTTGCAATCCTCTAACTTTGCAAATAAATGAGCCAATACATACTCTTTCTCCTTAATGCAAG
Source organism: Homo sapiens (assembly GCF_000001405.40). NCBI lineage: Eukaryota > Metazoa > Chordata > Mammalia > Primates > Hominidae > Homo > Homo sapiens. The sequence goes on along the minus strand of NC_000019.10, from coordinate 43,727,976 downwards.
CGATTGGTCTCTATCACCAGTGACTGAGAAGTGCCGACTGTTAGGGAATGGCAGCTAAAAAGCATTATTTCACTACAAAGTCTAGTTCAGTCATGCGCTGGTACCGGGGGTGACCTCTTTTCCCACTCTGGGCCTCTGCTGGAAGACGAAGGGGAAGGGGTGGGCAGTATCTCAAGGGTCCAGGCTCTCCTTCTCTGCCACCAGTACCCCAGAGCATGTCCCTGACCTTCCAGCTACTGTTGACAGCCATCCAGGATCTGGCTGAGCCCACTCTCCTCAGAGAAGGTGCTGGGGTGGCAGCTTTGGGGGTGGCAAACTCCATCTTGGAGCAGAGGAAGGAGAAACGCCCTGCTGCAGGATCTCGCGAGCCAGCTGGGCATGGCCGGTGGTCAAATGCTCTGATGCAATGATAATGAGGATGTAACGGTCCAGCAGCACCTGCTGGAGGTACTTGTCAGCCTAAAAAGTGGGCGTGCCTATGCCTGGCCGGTCTGATGATGACCGTGGGTGCGGGTAGGGTGTAGGGTCCACAGCCATTTCTATCACAGCCATGCAGGCTGAGTTAGGGTCTTTATTTCGTAGCCTCTCATGATATTGACAGGTCAACTTGCCTGAGCCTGTGCCCTTGGTAGTGCCAGCGTGCAGCCTGCATTCTCCCGTGAACAAAGTGTGGCCTGCAACTTGGCAGCAACTGCTGGCAGATTCCCCATCTTGCGGGCCTCCGTCAGAGCCCTGGCTGCCTCTCACGACAGCATCAGTATCTTGAACTGGCTGAGGGCTGGCTGGGCTGTACTTGCCATGGGTTGCCTGACCCCTAGTTCTCCAGCTTCAGAACGTGGTGACCCTTAGCAGAACAGGGGAGGGAGTATTTTCACCCTGAGTTACCCATTCTCCAATCCCTCTGCATGCCTGTCATAAATGTGTTACAATATACTTGCTGCCTTGGCATCCACTTTTAGGCCTGACATACATTGTTTGAAACTCAACGAAACCTCATCACCTTGGCCTAGTAAAACTTCCCCTTCCCCTTGTGGCTTGCAGTTTAGCCCACTTGTTCCTCATCTCACCAATCCAAAATCCAACAACATCCTACAGTGGCTGACCATGGCCCTATGGGATGGTCAACATCAGAGCGATGTAAATAAGTTCCCCCTTCAAGCGTGTTTTCTTTAAAATAGCCAATCCACAACCACCATGGGAAAGCCTAAGGGAATACAGGCATAGGCCCACAGGTTGTTTTTTTTTTTTTTTTGAGACGGAGTCTAGCTCTGTTGCCCAGGCTGGAGTGCAGTGGCGCAATCTCGGCTCACTGCAACCTCTGGCCTCCCGGGTTCAAGTGATTCTCCAGCCTCAGTCTCCCGAGTAGCTGGGATTACAGGTGCCCGCCACCACCCCTGGCTAATTTTTTGTATTTTTAATAGAGATGGGGTTTCACTATATGTTGGCCATGCTGGTCTCGAACTCTTGACCTCAGGTGATCCACCCACCTTGGCCTCCCAAAGTGCTGGGATTACAGGTGTGAGCCACTGCACACAGCTCTCCATGACTGTTTGACACTATCTTTTGATTCCCTAAAAAATGTTTACAAGAATTTCCGCTAGATAATGCTGAACTGGCTGAACTATGGATATAGATGGATCGTATCTGAAAGATGACAATGGTAAAAACTGTGTAAGATATGTAGTTACCACTTCCTTCGAAGTTGCTGAAGCCGCCCCTTACCTGTGGCTACTTTTTTTTTTTTCTTTTGAGATGGAGTCTTGCTCTGTTGCCCAAGCTGGAGTACAGTGGCGCAATCTCAGCTCACTGCAACCTCTGCCCACTGGATTCAAGCAATTTTCCTGCCTCAGCCTCCCGAGTAGCTGGGATTACAGGCACCCACCACCATGCCCAGCTAATTTTTTTGTATTTTTAGTAGAGACAGGGTTTCGTCATGTTGGCCAGTCTTCCTGAACTCCTGACCTCAAGTAATCTGCCTACCTCGGCCTCCCAAAGTGCTGGGATTACAGGTGTGAGCTGCTGCGCCTGGCCCCTGTGGCTACTTTTGCACGAAAAGCTAAACTCACTGCCCTTGCTGGCCTCCTCGTGAAAGGGCAATCTGTTACTCTATACAGATAGTAGATATGCCTTTGGGGTTGCTCCTGATTTTGGACTGCTATGGAAATGAAGGGGTTTACTCACGTCCACTGGAGGTCAAATTAAAAATGGATCCTATGTACGGGACTTACTGGATGCCATCCAGCTGCCAGCTGCCTTGGCTATTATGGAAACTCCCGGACATTCAAGGTTAACCTCTGCGGAAGCTAGAGGAAACAGTCTTGGCTGATAATGCCGCAAAGGATGCTGCTGTTAAAGGTTCGGTTCCTCAAATCTCTCTTGAGGCCCAGCTAAAAGAGCCACCAAAAGGTGATCTAAAAATGATTACCAAAGATGCACAAAATTGGGCACCAGAAACGGAAGAACAAAATTGGAAAGATCACACTGCTAGTTCAATGATTTGAAAAAAAAAAAAAAAAAAAAAAAAAAGCTGTGTTTAAGGCCTGATAACCAGTTCTCTCCAAGTCAATATTCTTAACTACAGTACATAATCTGACCCACTGGGGAACTTACAAATTGTTTTATGAAACAATATTAGGGGGAGTGACATTAAAAGAAGCTGTACTGGCCAAGTGCAGTGGCTCTCGGGCCTGTAATCCCAGCACTCTGGGAGGCCGAAGGGGGCGGATTGCTTGAGTCCAGGAGTTCGAGACCAGCCTGGGCAACATAGGGAAATCGTGTCTCTACTAAAAATATCAAAATAAGTAGTTTCAACTACTGGGGAGGCTGAGGTGGGAGAGTCACCTGAGCCTAGGAGATCAAGGCTGCAGTGAGTGGAGATCGTGCCATTGCACTCCAGTCTGAGTGACAGAATGAGACCCTCTCTCAAAAAAAAAAAAAAAAAAAAAAAAAAAAGCTGCCAAAAAAAAAAAAAAAAGCCTATTTGGCACTTGTGCCACCTGCCGTAAGTTTAACTCAGGAAAATGTGTACATCCCGATCCTGGACATTTTAATCTACCTAATGGGCCCTTCAAGGTTTGGCAAATGGATTTTATCCAACTACCCACTTCCGTGTGTGTGTGTGTGTGTGTGTGTGTGTGTGTGTGTGTATATATATATATATATATATATATGTACTAGTAACAGTTTGCACATTCTCCTATTGGGTAGAGGCTTTCCTGGTAGACAAGCCACTGCTTCAGCTGTGGCCAAAATTCTCCTGGAAAAAAAGTATTCCCACCTAGGGAACTCCCCTTGAAGTACATCGTGATCAGGAGCCCATTTTACTGGCCATATAATAAAACAAGTGAGTTCAGTTTGGCCAATTTCTCAGCATTTCCACTGTCTACAATCCCCAATCTTCTGGCTCAGTGGAACAAACAAGGGGAACTATAAAAACCCAGTTGGATGGCCGGGCACAGTAGCTCACCCCTGTAACCCCAGCACTTTGGAAGGCTGAGGCAGGCAGATCACTTGAGATCAGGAGTTCAAGACCAGCCTGGCCAACATGGTGAAACCCCATCCCTATTAAAAATACAAAAATTAGCCAGGTGTGGTGGTACACGCCTATAATCCCAGCTACTTGGGAGGCTGAGGCAGGAGAATTGCTCAAACCCAGGGGACAGAGGTTGCAGTGAGCTGAGATCAAGCCGCTGCACTCCAGCCTAGGTGATAGAGTGAGACTCCATTTCAAAACAAAAAAACAAAAAACCCAGTTGGCAGAATTTATCTACACCTTCCTTGACCTAAGTTCCTCCTTTGGTATTATTAAATCTAAGGGCCACTCTCTTTGGGGCTCATAAACTTTCACCTTTGGAAATAGTCACAGGCCATCCTATGCACTTGGCCTCCTCTGCTTTTGACCCTTAATTGATAAAAGGAGACATATCCATCTGGGTGCAGTGGCTCACACTCGTAAAATCCTAACACTTTGGGAGGCTGAAGCAAGGGGATCGCTTGAGTCCAGGAGCTCGAGACCAGCTTGGGTAACATGGCAAAACCCTGTCTCTACAAAAACACAAAAATTAGCTGGGTGTAGTTGTGTGTGCACCTGTAGTCCCAGCTACTCGGGATGCTGAGACGGGACGATCACTTCAACCGGGAGGCAGAGGTTGCAATGAGCCAAGATCCCGCTACCGTACTCCAGCCTGGGCACCAGAGGGAGACACTGTCTCAAAACAAAAACAAAAAAACAAAAAAAAACAAAACAGACATACTTCAATATTAATAAAGCCTTACTAAGGTAAAGGCATTAATAAAGCAATGGATAGAAATCATATTTTGATAGAACAATCTTTCCACAGCACAATCATAGGAGACAAAGACCTACAACACCATGATCTGCAGCCTGGCGACTTTGTCTATTGGAAAAGACACGTACGCAAGAATTCTATCCAGCCTTACCAGAAAGAGCCACATTAAGTCCTTCTCACCAATCCCTGTGCTGCCAAACTAAAGGGCATTGACTTCTGTATCCACATCTTTCATATTTATTTATTTATTTATTTTTGAGATGGGGTTTTGCCCAGGCTGGAGTGCAGTGGCATGATCTCGGCTCACTGCCACTTATGCCCACTGGGTTCAAGCGATTCTCCTGCCTCAGCCTCCCAAGTAGCTGGGATTACAGGTGCCTGCCACCACGCCCAGCTAATTTTTGTGTTTTTAGTGGAGATGGAGATGGGGTTTCACCATGTTGGCCGGGCTGGTCTTGAACTCCTGACCTCAAGTAATCCGCCCACCTCGGCCTCCCAAAATGCTGGGATTACGGGCGTGAGCCACTGCGCCCAGCCTATTTTTTCTTTTTTTGAGATAGGATCTCATTCTGTCACCCAGGCTGGAGTGCAGTGGCACGATCATGGCCCATTACAGCCTTGACCTCTGAGGCCCAAGTGATCCTCCCACCTCAGCCTCCTGAGTAGCTAGGCCTACAGGCGCGTGCCACATGCCTGGCTAGTTTTTTGTATTTTTTGTAGAGACAGGGTCTCGCCATGTTGCCTAGGCTGGTCTCCAACTCCTGGGCTCAAGTGATCCTGCTGCCTCGGACTCCCTAAGTGCTGGGATTACAGGTATGAGCCCTGCGCCCAGCCACAAAGTCAAACTTTGAGACATACATGTTCAGATTCCCTGTTTCACCCCAAAAGTGACTGCAGTCTACAGAAAAGACATTGAAATTAGATCTTAAAACTGCCCAAAACCAGAATTTAACTAAATGCAAAAATACGCTGGGCATGGTCATTCATACCTGTAACCCCAGCACTTTGGGAGGCCAAAGCAGGAGGATCACTTGAAGCCAGGTGTTCAAGACCAGATTGGCCAACACAGTGAAACCCCGTTTCTACTAAAAGTACAAAAAAATTAGCCGGGCACGGTGGCTCATGCCTATAATCCCAGCAACTCAGGAGGCTGAGGTTGGAGAATCGCTTGAACCCGGGAGGTGGAGGTTGCAGTGAGCTGATATCATGTGACTGCACTCCATCCTGATGACAAAGTGAGACCTTGTCTCACAAAAAAAAAAAAAAAAAAAAGCAAAAATATTTATGCTCCTAATCCTTTAATTGTTGATGGTCTCCAGCAATGTCATAATTAGATAATAGAAGCTTGGGCAAATACTGGTTGACACCTCCCTACAACAGCCTGGGTAAGTTTTCTGTTCGTTTTTTTCAGACAGAGTCTTGCTCTGTCGCCCAGGCTGGAGTGCAGTGGCACAGTCTTGGCTCACTGCAACATCTGCCTCCCCAGTTCAAGCAATTCTCCTGCCTCAGCCTCCCAAGTAGCTGGGATTACAGGTGCCTGCCACCACGCCTGGCTAATTTTTGTATTTTTAGTAGAGACAGGGTTTCACCATGTTGGTCAGGCTGGTCTCGAACTCCTGACTTCAGGTGATCCACCGGCCTCAGCCTTCCAAAGTGCTGGGATTACAGGCATGAGCCACCACACCTGGCCGAGCAACTTAATCATTCTCTCAGTGCCAAATGTAAACAGTAAGAGAAGCTTCTTTTCCAGGGTGTTATGAACCAGGAGTACCTAGCAGTGATGAATAAATGTTAGCTAATATAAAGTACTTAGCCTTGCGTGTGGTTACACTCTCAGTATTATTATTGGTGATGCCTCAGACACTCTGGGCATTGTTATGACTTTTATTGTTATGGTTACTTTTTAATTTGGTCTTGAGCAGGGGAAAGTTAGGTTTGAGTGTGTCAAAGTGAAAAATAAAAATGTAGACATGAATCTCTAAACTTAGCTTTTTTTTTTTCTTTTCTTTTTTTGAGGCAGAGTCTTGTCACCCAGGCTGGAGTGCGGAGTCACAGTCTCAGCTCACTGTAACCTCCGCCTCCAGGTCTCAAGCGATTTTCCTGCCTTAGCCTCCCTAGTAGCTGGGACTATAGGCAGGCACCACCACACCAGCTAATTTTTGTATTTTTAATAGAGATGGGGTTTCTCCATATTGACCAGTCTGGTCAGAAAGCTCAACACATAGTTGCCCTCCCGTTAAGACCCAGGGCCTTTCAGCAGGTCCCAGTATTCACACGCGCACACCCCGACCCAATCCCACAGAGACAGGTGACCCCAGACTCAGCAAATGAGTCACAATCTTAGACTCACAGCATCAAAATCAAGAAGTCAAGGCTGAAGAGAGCTGTGATCACGCCACTGCACTCCAGCCTGGGCGACAGGGCAAGACCCTGTCTCTAAAAAAAATTTTTTTTAATCATGGAGAGACCAGGATTCTTCCCAATCACAGACACGCCAGATGTCTCAACACCATGTGCCTTCCTGCTCTGAGACACACCCGCCCTCCTTCTGGAGTAAGACTCATGCTAGGCCACGGAGTTGCATCGTCGGCCTCCTCTCTCCTCCGATGTTCATGGAAACATCCAGTCACTCTCTCACCATGCCATTCTCTGTCTTCTCAAGCACCACACGGAGGTGAGCCCTGTGGCCGCCTGGCCTCCCTCTCCCTGCCACCCCCTACCCCTCCATGGCTCCCAGGCAGCAGGCAGGCACGGATGCCCACTCTCCCCAACCTGTTTAGCCATTGCTGGACACCACTGTGCTCATCCCAGGCCCCTGGGGCTGTCTTTGGTACACTGGGTTCTCAGACACGGACATGAGATTGAAACTAAAGTACCTTAGCAGGGGCCAGGTGCAGTGGCTCACGCCTGTAATCCCAGCACTTTGAGAGGCCAAGGTCAGGAGTTCAAGACCAGCCTGGCCAACATGGTGAAACCCCCTCTCTACCAAAAATACAAAAATTAGCTGGACGTGTTGGCGTGTGCCTGTAATCCCAGCTACTTGGGAGGCTGAGGCAGGAGAATTGCTTGAACTCGGGAGGTGGAGGTTGCAATGAGCCAAGATTGTGCCACAGCACTCTAGCCTGGGCTCTGAGTCTCGAAAAAAAAAAAAAAATTAGCTGGGCTTGGTGGTGCTCACCTATAATCCCAGCTACTTAGGAGGCTGAGGCAGGAGAATTGCTTGAACCTGGGAGGCAGAAGCTGCAATGAGCCGAGATCGGGCCACTGCACTCCAGCCTGGGTGACAGAGCAAGATTCCATCTCAAAAAATAATAATAATAAAATAAAATAAAATAGAAAGCACCTTAGCAGGATGCAATCTCCTGTCTTGGCCCTGCTGTCCTGTGCCCCACAAATTCCTCCTGGCCACTTGGGGACCAGGGAGAAAGACACCACCAGGGAACCCTGGGCCCACCATCCATGTCTCCAACCTCCCTCTCCAGGGCACTCCTGTCCCCTTTCACTACACCCCTGTTGGCCCTGGGCCCACCTGCCTCCCTCCTCCCCTCCCCAGTGCCCCCTCCTTTGCCCTGCCCAGGACGCCGGCTCCCCTGCCTGCCAGGGACACAGGCTCCCTCCACACCCACCCCCCAGGCAACTGCAGCCCTCACATTCACCACATCGGCCTTTTTTGTTGGTAATTTGGATTTTGTTAAGACTTAGTTTGTGGGTGAGGCAGGGGGGCGGGGCTGCACTCTTTATTTCTCTTCTGAGTCGTGTTTCTTCCAGCTGTCCAGAATGTACTTAAGAAGGAGGCCGAGCTTCCTGCAGGTTGAGAGTGGGGCTTCCTCCCCACCTCCCTCCCCGGAGCCCCCCTTTTCCACGCCATTGTCACTGGCCACTTCCAAGCTGACCTCCGGCTGCGGCTCGTCATCCTCCAGGGCCTTGATGCGGACACGCTGGGCGTCCTCAGCCATCTCGTTGAGGCAGCCCTGGAGCATGGTGTAGACAGCGCCAAAGCTGATGCCGCCAGCCACCAGCGTCCCAAACACAGGGATGCCCCTCTCAAAGGCGCGGGCCACCCGCATGGCGCCGTCGGACGACTGGGAATAGAGCCGCAGGACAGTCTCAGGCGAGACCTCGTTGGCCAGTGGGGAGCGGATGACCGAGCGCAGGTCACCTGCCTGTTTGCCCACCTGCTCGGCCAGCTTGGCCAGCGAGTCGTCGTCCAGACCAAAGCTGCGGTGGTAGCCACGCAGTGAGTGGATGAGCAACGCATCATCGTAGGCGGCCGCCAGCCCTGGGACCGGCAGGGCCTGGATGACGCCCAACACCAGGGCGGTCTTGAGGACTTGCTCTTGAAGCATGGCCTTCTTCTTCTGCAAGGCCTCCAGCGAGATGTCGGGGAGCGACAGCAGGCCAGCGTGGCGCCGGTGGGAGGGCAGGTCGTGCTCCCAGGTGGACACCAGCGTGGGAAAGTCGTAGCGGGCCGGCGAGAGGTTGGACACCAGGAAGATGCGAGGGTCAGCCACGCCGGCCTCCCGCAGCCGCTCGGCACAGTGGTCTCGGATCTCCTGCAGGACAGCGGCCTCTCTGAAGCCCGACGGCCGCTGGGTGCGCGTGGCCGCCAGGTCCTCGTCCACCTTGGTGCGCACAAAGTAGAACTTCTTGCCCTGGCACAGGATCTCAGCGGCCAGGCGGGTCTCGACGGCCCCGCAGCGGCGGGGGGAGACCAGCAGGAAGAAGTCATAGCGGCTGAAGTCTACCTGCTTTAGGTACTTGTCAGCCGGGCAGCCTGGAGAGCCGGCTCCTGGCAGGTCCCAGAGGGTCACGTCAGGGAACTGTGGGTGTGGATAGGGCGACGGTTGCATCGTGGTCTCCATGACGCCCGTGAGAGCCGCGCCAGGGTCCTCGGCCTCCAGGCCACGCAGGGCATTGATGAGGGAGGACTTGCCCGCGCCCGACTCGCCCGTGACGCCCACCTCCAGGCGGATGCTTTCCGTGGAGGCCAGCAGCTCCTGGAGGTGAGAGGCGGCCTGGGGGAGGTCACCCGACTCAAAGGCTGTGCGCAGGGCCTCCAGCCTTTCCTTGGCCATAAGGATGGTGTTTTCCTCCTCCCCAGGCACCACGGGCAACTTTGAAGTAGCCATGGTGGCCAGTGGTTCAGAGGGTGGCGGGGGACAGGGGAGAGTCACAGGATGCGTGATCCTCAGCGCCTGCAGAGGAGAAGGGAGCCATTCACACCTCCTGGGCCTTGGCATGGGGCAGGGAGAGACAGATACCACGGATGTGAAGGGAGTCGCCCTGGAAGCCCACAGCTCTCTTTTTCCTTCAAGAATTGGGGACACATTTTTGGCACAAGTTAGAGGGCTTTGGGGTCTGGCAGGCCCAGGTTCACATCCCTTTTCTGCCACTAACTTGCTGTGTGACCAGGGGCAAAATGAAGCACCTCTCTGGGTAATGGGCATGACCACCAAGCAGCCTCTTGGAGCACTATTGGAGTCTCCAGGGTAACCTAGGCACAGGTCAGTTTTCTGGGTGTATGTGTGCCCTGGAGGGTTCTGTGCTTAGAATGGCCCAGTGCTTGGTTTAATGCTCTGCTGACACTAGCTGAAATTGTTTGTTTGTTTGTTTGTTTGTTTGAGACAGGGTCTCTCTGTCATCGAGGCTGGAGCACAGTGCTACGATCATGGCTCATTGCAGCCTTGATCTCCTTGGCTCTAGCAATCCTCCCACCTCAGCCTCCTGAACAGCTGGGACCACAGGCGCATGCCACCATGCCCAGCTACTTTTTAAATTTTTTGTAGAGATGGGAGTCTCACTATGTTGTCCCAGCTGGTCTTGAACTTCCGAGATCAAGGTCCTCCTGCCTCAGCTTCCCAGAGCGCTGGGATTAAGGGCATGAGCCACTATGCCTGGCCTGAAATTCTTTATAATATTTGAACCAGGGGCCCCATATTTTCATTTCGTACTGGGCCTTGCAAATTATATAGCCAGGGCAAATTACATAGCCAGGGCTGCATAGGAAAGGGTGGTACAGGCCCATTCAGAGGAAACAGCTGCACTCCTGCGGTGGCTGGGATTGGAGGGTAGGGTGGAGGGGACCCAGACCCGGAGCCAGACTGCCTGGGATCAAATCCTGGCTCCACCACATACTTACTGAGTGATGTGAGGCAAGTTACTTAACTCTCTCCTCACTCTCCTCATCTGAACACTGAGAATGATACCTACAATCCTGGCAAACCACCTCCTAGGATCTCTGTGACTTGAATGAGTTATGACATAAAGCAGCCCATAAAACGGCGCCTGGCTCAGGGCAGGTGCCTCGTGTCATTGGCATCACCATCATCGTCATTATTCTTATCATTAGTAATATTCTTAGCTGTGTGACTTTGAGCAAGTCCTCGCCCTGTCTGAGCCTCAGCTGCCCCGTGGGGGATACTCCTCCCCACCTCGCAGGGCTGCTGTGATGCCCACAAACCCCGTTCAGCTAGCCCTAGGCTGACTTTGGGTTCAGACGCCCTTGGGTTCGGGAAGCCAGACATGGGGACCACCTGGACACCAGGAGTCATTTCCATGAAACCCCACCCCTGCCATGGCAGCCCTTGCCTCCCGGGGTTCAGTTCCCCTCCCACCGCCCAGAGCTCCTGTCGTGATGGTCCCCCCTCAGATCCCTCCTCCTCACCAGGAGCTTCCCTGGTCCTCCCTCTTCCCACTCACCCTCCTCTGGCCCATCATCTCTAAAATACATTTACTCACTAAGGGTCTTCAGGGTGCCCTGGGAGAGCTGCTCATGTCTGGGATCACTGTCCCCATTTGACAGGGAGAAGGACTGAGGCTCAGACAAGACAAATGAGGTCTCCTCATCCAGAGGCATAGCCAGGACCCCAACCCAGGTCCCCAGGCTCCTTCACCCACCTAGAGAGCTACTCTCCCTTCAGCTGCATGTCCCTGCCTCCTGCATTGTCTCCTTGCCCCCTGCACCCCGTCTCTTCACCTCCTACCACTCACCCCATCCTCTGCTACCCCACTCCACCCCCCACAGAAATATGTCCTTAAGACATTGTTCCCGGCTGGGCATGGTGGCTCACGCCTGTAATCCTAGCACTTTGGGAGGCCGAGGTGGGTGGATCACTTGAGGTCAGGAGTTCGAGACCAGCCTGGCCAACATGGTGAAACTCCATCTCCACTAAAAATACAAAAATTAGCCAGGTGTTGTGGCGCATGCCTGTAGTCCCAGCTCTTGAACCCAGGAGGCGGAGGTTGCAGTGAGCCAAGATTGCACCACTGCACTCCAGCCTGGGCGACAGAGCGAGACTCCGTCTCAGAAAAAAAAAAAGGAAAAAAAAAAGACATTGTTGCCTCCAGATCTGAGCCTCCTATCCTGGGTGTGCCCTCTCCCTAGTATGGTCTGCGGTGGGAAGAGTAGGAACCTGGAACAGGTCCTGGCAGCAAGGGGCAGACAAGTCAGTGGTTGGAATTTGGGCTGAGGGGGTCCGGATTAGACCATAAGCTCCTGCTCCGCCCACGCACAGGGGCCCAGCGAGAGAGCCCTGGGGGACTCACCTGCCCTGCAGGCTCTCCCTCTCCCCTCACACTCTCCCCACTGATAGGATCTCCTTCCCTCTTAGCCAAGGTCAGACACCGTTGCTAGGACCCATTATCATAGCAAGCAGCAGCTTATTGGTCAGCCAGACCTGGTGCAATAATGCGACAGTGATGTCAGGGGGTGGGGCCCGGAGGTGGAGCAGGGACCCCAAGCCCCAGCTGCTCATGGGGTCACCACCCACTCACACTGGGCCCTCCAGTTCCCCTGAAGACTCCAGAGAGATCTTTCTAACACCAAGACCTGTTCAAAATCCTCCATGGTCTCCATCACCCCCCAAGGACAAAGTCTCAGATTCACAGATTGGTTTCCAAGGGCTTGGCCCTGCTACCACTCCACCCTCCACCCAGGGGACTGTCAGTTCCCCAGAGAAGTGTGAAAGTTGATGATACAAATTCGGTCATTGCTGGTGGGCACAGTGGCTCACGCCTGTAATGCCAGCACTTTGGGAGGCCGAGGCGAGTGCATCACTTGAGGCCAGGAGTTTGAGATCAGCCTGGGCAATGTGGTGAAACTCCATCTCTACTAAAAATACAAAAATTAGCCAGATGTGGTGCATGCATGTAGTCCCAGCTACTCGGGAGGCTGATCTGCTATCTTGTAAGCCCAATAATTTAGTCATTGATTTCTTTTTTTTCTTTTTTTGAAACAGTGTCTTGCTCTGTCACCCAGGCTGGAGTGCAGTGACACAATCTTGGCTCACTGCAACCTCCGCCTCCTGGGTTCAAGTGATTCTCCTGCTTCAGCCTCCTGAGTAGCTGGGACTACTAGCATGCACCACCAGGCTTGGCTAATTTTTTTTTTTTTTTTTTTTTTTTAGTAGAGGTGGGGTTTCACCATGTTGCCTAGGCTGGTCTTGAACTCCTGACCTCAGGTTATCCGCCTGCCTCGCCTCCCAAACCTCCTGACCTCAGGTTATGCCGCCTCCCAAAGCGCTAAGATTACAGGTGTAGCCACTACACCCGGCCCCTTCTTGTCCTTTATAAGTGTCTCTGTCCTGTCTCCCCTCCGGGCTTCCTCTCTGCCCAGGCCAGGCTCCACAGGGCCTTCTCCATTCTCCTCTTGTAGGGAATTTACAATAACGCTACTCAGAGGATTTTCCTGACCATCTGCAGGCCAGTTCTGGAAAGGAGCCTCTGAGAACAACTAAGGAGAGAGAGGCCCAGAAGGGGAATAGACTAGCTCAGAGCCACCCTGAGAGCTGGGGAAGAGTGGGCTGTTGGCCGCATAGTACAGAGTTCTTAAGCCACAGGTGAAAGGGAGGTGCAGGGCAAAAGACACACGACTCACTCATGCTCTCACTGACTGACACAAACACACAGAGCTGAAGAGAGTGAACAACATGGTTCTCAGACTTCCCCGGACACCGAGCACACAGACCAGCAGACAGCAAGGACTCCTTCCCAAAATGCATGGACACGCACCCCTGGCCCAAGAGAGAAGGGAAAGACACAGAAAGAGCCTCAAATACAGAGTTACTTCGTGGCTGGGCATGGCGGCTCACTCACGCCTGTAATCTCAGCAATTTGGGAGGCCGAGGTAGGAGGTTTGCTTGAGCCCAGGAGGTTGAGACCAGCCTGGGCAACATAGCAAGACCCTATCTCTTTTTTTTTTTTTTTTTTTTGAGACGGAGTCTCGCTCTGTCTCCCACGCTGGAGTGCAGTGGTGCAATCTCGGCTCACTGCAAGCTCCGCCTCCCGGGTTCCTGCCATTCTCCTGCCTCAGCCTCCCGAGTAGCTGGGACTACAGGCGCCTGCCACCGCGCCTGGCTAAATTTTTTTGTATTTTTTAGTAGAGACGGGGTTTCACCGTGTTAGCCAGGATGGTCTCGATCTCCTGACCTCGTGATCCGCCCACCTCGGACTCCCAAAGTGCTGGGATTACAGGCGTGAGCCACCGTGCCTGGCCAAGACCCTATCTCTTAAAAAAAAAAAAAAAATGAGCCAGGTATGATGGTGCACATCTGTAGTCCCAGCTACTCAGGAGGCTGAGGTGGGAGGATTGCTTGAGCCCAGGAGTTCAAGGCTGCAGTGAGCCGTGATCATGCTACTGCACTCCAGCCTGGGTGACTGAGCAAGATTCTGTCTCTAAACGAAACAAAACAACAGAGTCACTGAAGGAAAGCAAGACTCAGACAAACACACACTTACCAAAGCCTCGCAAACACACACATTCCGGGACACAGATGTGCAGACTTTAAGAGACACAGTTACACACTGACAACATATACAGAAACCCCGAAACCCACTGACTCCATTCAGGAACCTCATTCATTCTGCTGCAGCAGCTAGGGCTCCAGAGATGCATCAAACCCAGGCACTGCTTCAGGGGCTCCAGGCCCGAGAAAATGGAGATTATTGCAGCCCAGGATGATTGTGGACCAAGAAAGAGAGCCACTGCCACCTGCACACATGCACCGATGCAGACTGGCATGTTCCCAGGGATGCCCCTAGCAGCTCCTGAGAGCACCAGCCAGAGAGAGAGGGGTTGCACCCTGCCTATCTGCATGCTGGAAACGCAGCAATGGACAAGACAGCCAGGCTCTGCCCCCACAGGACTCAGAGTCCAGTGGTGGAGTCAGATCCATCCCAAGATAATGATGACAGAGGGGGCAGCACTGGGATGGGGGACCCCAGAGGGCTGTGGGAGCACAAAGGAGGAAGCCCGACTCAGCCTGGGAGTCAGGGAGGGCTTCCTGGAGGAGGGGGCACCTGACCTGAGATCCAAAGGATGAGTAGGAGTGAGCCAGATGGCACATTAGGGAGTTGCATCCCAGGCTAAGGGACCAGCCTCTGCAAAGAACCTGAGTTGAGAGAGAACTTTCATTCGTTCAATAATAAACTCAATTTCAGGCACACCTCATTTTATTGCATGCAGCTTTATTGTCCTTCACAGATACTATGTGGTATTTTTTGCGGGGGGGCGGGGATGTGGTGGAGAAGAGGGTCTTGTTCTGCCACCCAGGCTGGAGTGCAGTGGCGTGATCTCTGCTCACTGCAACCTCCACCTCCTGGGCTCAAGCAATCTCTACTACCTTTGCCTCCCAAGTAGCTGGGACCACAAGCACGCGCCACCATGCCCAACTCTTGTTTTATTTATTTATTTATTCATTTATTTATTGAGACGGAGTTTTGCTCTTGTTGCCCAGGCTGGAGTGCGTGGTATGATCTTGGCTCGCTGCAACCTCCACCTCCCAGGTTCAAGGGCTTCTCCTACCTCAGCCTCCCGAGTAGCTGGGACTACAGGCATGCGCCACCATGCCCGGCTTGTTTTGGTATTTTTAATAGAGATGGGGTATTGCTATCTTGGCCAGGCTGGTCTTGAACTCCTGGCCTCAAGTGATCTTCCCGCCTTGGCCTCCCAAAGTGCTGGGATTACAGGCATGAGCCACCCCGCCTGGCCTGATACTATGGTTTTTACAAATTGAAAGTTCGTGGCAACCCTGTGTCCAGCAAGCCCGTTGGTGCCATTTTTCCAACAGCACGTGCTCATTTCATGTCTCTGTGTCACATTTTGGAAATTCTCACAACATGTCAAACTTTTTCATCATCATTATCTCTGGTATGGTGATCTTTGATGTTAGCATTGTAATCATTTCGGGGCACCATAAACTGTGCCCACAGGTAACAACAAACTTAATTGATAAACATTGTATGTGTTCTGACTGCTCCACTGACTGGCCATTTTCCTGTCTCTCTCCTTCTCCTTGCACCTCCCTCTTCTGTGAGACACAACTATAATGAAATTAGGCCAATTAATGACTCTAAAATGGCCTCCAAGTATCCAAGTAAAAGGAAGAGTCACGTGTCTCTCACTTTAAATCAAAAGCTAGAAATGATTAAGCTCAGTGAAGAAGGCGTGTCCAAAGCTGAGATAGGGGCCAGGCATGGTGACTCACACCTGTAATCCCAGCACTTTGAGAGGCCGAGTTGGGAGGATCCCTTGAGGCCAAGAGTTTGAGACCAGCTTGGGCAATATCGTGAGACCCCATCTCTACAAAAAATGTTTAAAGTTAGCTGAGTGTGGTGACACTTGCCTGTAGTTCTGGCTACTTGGGAGGCTGATGAGGGAAAATTGTTTGATTCCAAGAGTTCAAGGTTACAGTGAGCAATGACTACAACACCGTACTCCAGCCTGGGCAACAGAGCCAGACCCTGTCTCAAAAAAACAAAAAGGCCGGGCATGATGACTCATGCCTGTAACCCAGCGCTTTGGGAGGCTGAGGCGGGTGGATCACTTGAGGTCAGGAATTTGAAACCAGCCTGGCCAAAATGACAAAATCTCGTCTCTACTAAAAATACAAAAATTAGCTGGGCGCGGCGATGTGCACCTGTAATTGCAGATACTTGGCAGGCTGAGGCAGAAGAACTGCTTGAACCTGGGAGGCGGATGTTGCAGTGAGCTGAGATCATGCCACTGTACTCCATCCTGAGTGACAGAGCAAGACTCCATCTCAAAAAACAAACAACAACAAAAAAAAGACTTCAGTGGAGGCATTTACTGCAGATGTGGTAGAAATAGCAAGAGAACTAAAATTAGAAGTAGAGCCTGAAGATGTGACTGAATTGCTGCAATCTCATGATCAAACTTGAATAGGCGAGGAGTTGCTTCTTATGGATGAGCAAAGAAAGTGGTTTCTTGAGATGGAATCTACGCCTGGTGAAGATGCTGTGAATATTGTTAAATTGACAACAGGGGATTTAGGATATGACATAAACTTACTTGATAAGGCAGTCGCAGGGATTGAGAGGATTGCCTTCAATTTTGAAAGTTCTGCCATGGGTAGAATGCTATCAAACAGCGTCGCATGCTACAGAGAAATCTTTTGTGAAAGGAAGAGGCAAGTGATGCAGCAAACTTCATTGTTGTCTTTATTTATTTATTTATTTATTGGGACCCAGTCTCACTCTGTCACCCAGGCTGGAGCGCAATGGCGCGATCTCAGATCCCTGCAGCCTCCGCCTCCGAGGTTCAAGCAATTCTCCTGCCTCCGCCTCCCGAGTAGCCGAGATTACAGGCATGCACCACCACGCCTGGCTAATTGTTGTATTTTTAGTAGAGATGGGGTTTCACCAAGTTGGTCAGGCTGGTCTCAAACTCCTGGCCTCAGTTGATCTGCCTGCCTCGACCTCCCAAAGTGGGATTACAGATGTGAGCCACGGCACCCAGTCAATTGTCTTATTTTTAAAATTGCAGCCAGACCCAGTGGCTCATACCTGTAATCCCAACACTTTGGGAGGCCAAGACAGGAGGATTGCTTGAGCCCAGGAGTTCGAGACCACCCTGGGCAATATAGGGGGACCCCATCTCTACAAAAAAATTTTAAAATTAGCCAGGCATGGTGGCGTGTGCCTGTGGTTTGTTACTCAGGAGGCTGAGGTGGGAGGATTGCTTGAGCCATGGAGGTCAAGGCTGCAGTGGGCTGTGATCACATCACTGCACTTCAGCATGGGCAACAGTGAGACTCTGTCTCTTAAAAAAAATTGTTAAAATGTGGGAAAAGAAAAAGGAAAACGAATCTCTCTTAGAATCAATGAAGGTGATTTGTGAGTGTCTACTCTGTGTCCCTCCGGGGTGAGAATACAGCAGTGATGGGACGGCTCTGCCCCACAGAGAGGAGGTTGATGCAAAGTATACTTACTACCTCCAAGAACCCCTTGGTTGATGTTGGGGACCCAGTGGTGACTGAGACAGCACCAACCCTATGGACTCTGAGTCTTGTAGGGAACACACCTCCGTCCTCAGACAGTGATGACCCACAGTGGTTACAATGGGGTTGAAGCTGCCCAGAGAGGTGTGGGAGCCATGGGGGTTGCCTGACCCAGCCTGGGGGTGGGGGTGGAGTCAGTGAAGGATTTTTGGAGAAAGTTCATTCATTCAACACATGCTTTCCAGACACCTACTGTGAGTCAGGCCCTGGCTGGTCGAGGCTGGAGACACAGCAGTGAAAAAGACAGTCCCTGAACGATTTCTTCTGCCCACTCCCAAGCCTCCTTTCCTCCCTGCCCTTTCTCTCTGTGTCTCTTAGAAATTCTAAAGCACTTTCCTAGGAATATCTACATGTGGTGGCCTCCACCTTCTCTCCACTCTCCACAACCTGGGTAAACCTGAAGTCAGTCCTCAGGGATTCATTCATTCATTCATTCATTCATTCATTCATGTAAATACTGGCTGCCTTTTAGGTGCTAGGCACAGTTTTAGGTACTGATACAGTGATGAATAAGACACAGAAGGCCCTTGCTCTCGTGGAGCTTATATATTTTTTAAATATGTAGAGAATAAACAAAAGTAATTAAGATAGTGTCAAGTAGTGATAAGAAAAAAGAAGAAAAAGGGCCAGACATGGTGGCTTATGACTGTAATCCCAGCACTTTGGGAGGCCGAGGTGGGTGGATCACTTGAGGTCAAGAGTTTGAGACCAGCCTGGCCAACATGGCAAAACCCCATCTCTACTAAAACTACAAAATAAGTAAATAACGAAATAAATAAATAAATAAATAAATAAATAAATAAATAAATAAACAAAAGAATAGTCAGGTGTGGTGGTGGGCACCTATAGTCCCAGCTGCTCGGGAGGCTGAGCCATGAGAATTGCTTGAATCCAGGAGGCAGAGGTTGCAGTGAGTCGAGATTGTGCCACTGCAATCCAGCTGGGGTGATAGAGCAAGACTCTGTCTCAAAAAACAACAAAAAACAAAACAAAAACAGTCCTTGCTCTCATGGAGCTTATAAACAAAAGTAATTAAGATAGTGTCAAGTAATGATAAGAAAAACAAAGAAAAAGCAAGCAAGAGGATAGAGGTGGGCAGTTGGGGAAGGGGTTTGGGGAAGGGATAGACTGCCACTGGCAATTTTCCCTTCCCTGTGGGCATGTACCACTCTTTCTAGCAAGAGGCAGAGTCTCTTTCCCCTTCCCTTAAATTTGGGCCAGTCTGGTGACATTCTTTGTCACAAGAAGTGACACTCTGGGACTCCCAAGCCCAGGCCTTAACAGGTGGCAGCTCCTGTTTTCTCCTTCTTTCTCCAGAACTACTATGCAAAGAGGTCCTGCTACCGTGCTGGAGAGACCTCATGTAGAGACTGCAGCCACATGGAGATGAGCTTGAAGCCATCCAGGACATTTCAGCCACAGATGAGCTCCAGCTGAATGCAGGCACAGGTGTAACCCCAGCCAACACCACATGGGGGGCAGAAGAACCATACAGCTGAGCCCAGCCAACCCACAGGCTTTCCAGAAACAAGCCAGGAGTGAGGTGGGACTCTTCTACATTCAGTGACTCAATTTGGTCAGAACTAAGGACAATGAGGAACTGGCCTTGGGTGCAAAATTTAAGGGAGTGCGAAAAATTGAGTCATTGAGATAAATTATATTTTAATGCAATTTTTAATGCAATATTTTAACTAATAAAAATTAATGCCAAAAAATCCATGGTTTGTTCTTTTGTTTTTTTAGACAGAGTCTTCCTCTGTCGCCCAGACTGGAGTGTGATCTGGGTTCATTGCAACCTCTGCCTCCCGGGTTCAAGCGATTCTCGTGCCTCAGCCACTTGAGTAGCTGAAATTACAGGCGCCTGCCACCATGCCCAGCTAATTTTTGTATTTTTAGTAGAGACAGGGTTTCACCATGTTGTCCAGGCTGGTCTCAAACCCCTGACCTCAAGTGATCCACCCTCCTTGCCCTCACAAAATGTTGGGCTTACTGGCGTGAGCCACCGTGCCCAGCCCTGATATTTTCATGAACAAAATATCAAAATTCTAAATAAAGACCAATGCCACACCAAGCCCTAAATATACACTCCAGCTTTGATGGAAAAATAACTCATCAATAATGTTTTCAAAATCTACATCTTGGCTTATTTCATTTTCAATTGAGAGAATCTCCACGCTTGACAATTTCTCTTAACCAAGTGATGATGTTCAATAATTTTTAATTAACTTAAGCTGAAATAAAATTATAATACATTTTATATTGTTGTAATTAAAATATTTTAACTTGAAATAGCGTGAGTTTTAATACACCCACTCAAGAATTTTTCAATATTATTTTGACTACTTTAATGTTCTGGAAAAAAATTAGCCACTGAAAAAACATGAAGGGCCAGGCACGGTGGCTCACACCTGTAATCCCAGCACTTTGGGAGGCTAAGGCGGGCAGATGACCTGAGATCAGGAGTGTGAGACCAGCCTGGCCAACATGGCAAAACCCTGTCTCTACTAAAAATACAAAAATTAGCTGGGCATGGTGGCATGTGCCTGTAGTTCCAGCTACTTGGGAGGCTGAGGCAGGAGAATTGCTTGAACTCGAGGGGCGGTGGTTGCAGTGAGCCAAGATCATGCCACTGCACTCCAGCCTGGGTGACAGAAAGAGACTCTGTCTCAAAAAAACAAAAAAATTACATGAAGGCCAGGTGCAGAGGCTCACACCTGTAATCTCAGCACTTTGGGAGGCCGAGGTGGGCGGATTGCTTCAGCCCAGGAGTTCGAGACCAGCCTGCGAAACGTGACAAAACCCGGTCTCTACAAAAATTAGCTGAGCTTGGTGGCAGGCGTCTATAGCCCCAGCTACTTTGGAGGCTGTGGTAGGAGGATGGCTTGAGGCCAGGAGGCGGAGGTTGCATTTAGCTGAGATCAAGCCAGTACACTCCAGCTTGGGCAACAGAGCCAGGCCTTGTCTCAAAAACACAAAACAAAAATGAAACCATGACAGAGGGGCATGGGTAAATAGTGCCTTTTGTGTCAGGCCCCACGTGGCTCAGCGCAACACTGGTCAGAACCCCACGTTGTGACCTTGGAAGGTTCAGAGAGAGAGGGTGGGAGGAGGCAGAAGGGATGGCTGGGAAGTTGGATTCGGCCTGATGGAGAGAAATAGGTGTTCTCCATGCAGGAAGGCCCCAGATGAAACACTTGAGGCAAATCTGACAACACTTATTAATGAATTAAACGCACACATTTCCTTCAGTTGAGCACCCCTGCTCCTAAAGATCTATCTGATGGAACTTTTCATGACTGAAGGAATTTCATTGACCACTCCCTGGAGCCTGCAGGGGAAAAAGGATGTCTAGGGGGCCCCATCTGGATGGAAATGGCACATGGGGAGTGGGGCACACCCGGGGAGGTGAGGGCCACTTCACTGTTTCTTACTTCTTCTCTCTTTTTTTTTTTCTTGAGACAGAGTCTCGCTCTGTCACCCAGGCTGGAGTGTAGTGACATGATTTAAGCTTACTGCAACCTATGCCTCCCAGGTTCAAGCGATTCTGCCTCAGCCTCCGGAGTAGCTAGGATTACAGGTGACCGCCACCACACCTGGCTAATTTTTCTATTTTTCAGTAAAGACAGGGTTTCACCATGTTGGCCAGGTTGGTCTCAAACCCCCAACTTCAAATGGTCCTCCCACCTTGGCCTCCCAAAGTGCTGGGATGACAGGTGTGACCCACCGCACCTGGCCTCTTACTTCTAATTTTTAAGTGTAACTTTCAATTTCATTTAATTACACATTTTTGAATTTTTTAAAACATGCATGAAAGGGATATGATATCCAAGCTTTTTTTTTTTTCTGAGACAGAGTCCTGCTCTGTTGCCCAGGCTGGAGTGCAGTGGTGCAATCTTGGTTCACTGCAACCTCCGCCTCCTGGATTCAAGCGATTCTCCTGCCTCAGCCTCCTGAGTAGCTGGGATTACAGGCATGCAACACCACGCCCGGCTAATTTTTGTATTTTTAGTAGAAACAGGGTTTCACCATGTTGGTCAGGCTGGTTTCGAACTCCTGACCTCGTGATCCACCAGCCTCAGCCTCCCAAAGTGCTGGAATTACAGGTGTGAGCCACTGCACCTGCCCCAAACTTTTAAAATTCATTAGAAATTATTCAGGACACAGAGACACATAACAGATGATAACTGTCTTGTCAGGAGGATGTTTACTGCTGCATCTCTCATAGTGGGAGGGACAAAAGAGAAAACAGCGTCAATTCCCCTCAATAGGACGATGACTGCTGAATAAATGTTGGTAGATCCATGCCATAGGCCATGGAAACCACACCACACAGCCATTAGAAAGGGTGAATCAAATGACTCGGAGGGTTGAGAAAAGCAAGATGCAGAGAGTTGGCCAGGCACAGTGGCTCTTGCCTGTCATCCCAGCACTTTGGGATGCCAGGGTGGGCAGATCGCTTGAGCCTAGTAGTTCGAGACCAGCCTGGGCAACATAGTGAGATCCCATCTCTACAAAACATATACATACAGCTCAGCATGAGGGTGCATGCCTGTGGTCCCAGCTACGTGGGAGGCTGAGGTGGAAGAATCACTTGAGCCCGGGAGATCAAGGCTGCAGTGAGCTATGAGCACCCCTATGAAGGAGTCTGTGGGGGAGAGAAGAGAAAGGTGAGGAGAGAGCCAAGCAGAAAAGAAGAGAAAACTTTCCTTAAAAAATTAAAGGTGGCTGGGCATAGTGGCTCACCCTGATAATTGTAATCCCAGCACCTTGGGAGTTCGAGGCAGGAAAGTTGCTTGAGCTCAGGAGTTTGAGAACAGCCTGGGCAACATAGGGAGACCAGAAAGAGAAAGGAAGGAACCGGGCATGGTGGCTCATGCCTGTAATCCCGCACTTTGGGAGGCCGAGGCGGGTGGATCACCTGAGGTCAGGGGTTCAAGACCAGCCTGACCAACATGGTGAAACCCCGTCTCTACTAAAAATACAAAAAAAAAAAAAATTAGCCAGAAGCAGTGGCATGCACCTGTAGTCCCACCTACTTGGGAGGCTGAGAGAATCACTTGAACCTGGGAGGCGGAGGTTGCAGAGAGTTGAGATCATGCCACTGCACTCCAGCCTGGGCAACAGAGTGAGCCTCCATCTCAAAAAAAAAAAAAAAAGGAAGAAGGGAGGGAGGGAGGGAGAGAGAGAGAGAAAGAAAGGAAGGAAGGAAAGGAGAGAGAAGCGGAGGGGAAAGGAGGGGAGGGGAGGGAAAGGAGAAGGAAAGGAAAGGAAGAAGGAAGGAAGGAAGAAAGAGCTGGGCATGGTGGCACATGACTGTGGTCCCAGCTACTCAGGAGGCTGAGGCAGGAGGATCACTTGAGCCCAGGAGGTTGAGGCTGCAGTGAGCTATTGATAGCACCATTGCCCTCCAGCCTGGGCAACAGAGTGAGACCTTGTCTGAAAAAAAAAAAATCAAAAGCATGCCTGTAGGTGGCAAAATTGGAAATACCATGTTCAGGATAGAGGTGATCTCAGGTGAGGAGAGAGGAAAGGAGCTGTGGCCAGGGACAGCTATGGCCACTGGGTATGTATTTCAAATGTTTTGATGTTTCTTGTCTTTCAACTGAGTGCCAAGAGACTCCACTTATTCTTTATTTGTTTTTGTTTGTTTTAAATAATTTATAGTAAAATTTTAAAACTTGAATAATATGCCTACATGTATGCCCCTATGGAAAATTAGCAATGTACAATAACATCAAATTCTTCACCCAGGTTAGCCCCACCCCATCCCCAAAGTCCCTTTTACCCCTGCAGATTCCAGGACCATTAAATGACTGTTTTCCACAAATGTTTCCTGACCACCTGCCATGGACTCTGGACTCAGCCAGGACAGGTCATATCCGGGACCCATCCCCCGAGACTCCAGTCTGGCAGAGATGTTGCTTCCTTCCTCACCACCCCCAGGTTCCTTCACACCCATACCTTGGGGTAGGCAACCTTCACAACGGGAGGCCATGTTGGGTAACAGACAGAAACGGGACCCATGACCCAAAGGGCACTCCCCCTCCCCAATAATGACAGTAAGGGCCACCATTTACCTGTGTTGAACTCTGAATTCCAGGCGCTGTTCTGAGTTCTGTGTATGTGTGGACTCTCTCAACCTTTGTGTCCACTCTGTGAGCAGGAACCACTATTGTCCCATTTCACAAATGGGAAAGCTGAGGTCAAGGTACTCACCTGAGGCCACTAGTAACTGAACTAGTGACTGGGCTCAGTGGCTCACAAAATGGTGGTAATCCCAGCATTTTGGGAGGCCGAGGCAGGCAGATTGCCGGAGCTCAGGAGTTGGAGACCAGCCTGGGCAACATGGCAAAACTCCATCTCTACTAAATATACAAAAATTAGCTGGGCATGGTGGCACGCCTGTAATCCCAGCTATTGGGGAGGCTGAGGGAGGAGAATCACTTGAACCTGGGAGGCAGAGGCTGCAGTGAGCTGAGTTTGCGCCACTTCACTCCAGCCTGAGTGACAGAGTGAGACTCTGTTTCCAAAGGTAAAAAACAAAAACAAAAACAAAAAAACAACTAGTAACTGGCAAAGTGTTGGCTTTCGAACCCAGACAGACTGGAACCTGAGTACATCCTCTGAACCACTATGCTGAGCTCTGTGGCTATGTCTCTTGTACGCATATTCAACTAGTCACTTTTTTTTTTTTTTGAGTCAGGGTCTCACTCTGTCGCCCAGGCTGGAGTGCAGTGGCGCGATCGCAGCTCACGGCAGCCTCAACCTCCCAGGCTCAAGTGATCCTCCCACCTCAGCCTCCTGAGTAGCTGGGAACACTGGTGTGTGCCCCCACACCCAGGCTAATTTTTGATTTTTTTGTAGAGACAGGTGAACTAGTCACTTTTGATATGAGCTTTCTATGAAGGATTTAGAAGAATGTCACAGATCCATGGGTGAAGGGAGATCTCCCCTGAAGGATTAGGATATTCTAGGCCTTCTGCAAACAGGCAGGGATGGGTGTGGGTTATGCTAAGCTCTCAGTATGCTTTATTTTATTCCATCCTCCCTCCCAGAAAGGATGTGTCCGTCCTACAAGAGTCGAAAGCATGGGCTCTGATGCACAGGGAAGTATTTATGGGTGAAATATGATATCTGGGATTTGCTTTAAATGTCTCAGCACAAAAAGGAAAGAAGGGAAGAGGGAGGGAATATAGGAAGGCAAGAAGGGAGAAAGGAAGAAAGAAGTATGAAGGAGAGGAGGGAGAAAGAGAGAGAGGAGGAAAGAAGGGAGAAAGGAAGGAGGGAGAGAGAAAGAGCAAAGGAGGGAGGGTAAAAGCAAAGGAAAGGCCAGGAGCAGTGGCTCACGTTGTAATCCCAGCACTTTGGGAGGCCAAGGCGGGCGGGTCACTTGAGGTCAGGAATTCGAGACAGGCCTAGCCAACAAGGTGAAACCCCGTCTCTACTAAAAATACAAAAATCAGCTGGGCACGGTAATGCGTGCCTGTAATCCCAGCTACTCTGGAGGCTGAGGCAGGAGAATCGCTGGAACCTGGGTGGCGGAGGTTGCAGGGAGCCGAGATCACGCCACCGCACTCCAGCATGGGCAACAGAGCAAGAGACTCCATCTCAAAAAAAAAAAAGCAAAAGAGAGAGGTGAGGAGGGAGGAAGAGGGGAAGGTGTAGGAAAGGAGGAGGCAGGGAAGGGGGAAGGAAGAGAGAGATAATTTGGCAAAATGTGCATAATTTTGGACACTGAGAGATTGATACTGAAGGGTCATTTAATGACTGCTTCCAGCTGCAAACATCTCCTGGGCGCCTGCTATGGGCTCTGGGCTCAGTCACATTTTGGTCCCATCATAGATTGGGGTATCAGTCTGTCATAGATATTATACTATTTTCTCTACTTTTGTGTATATTTGGACATTTTCTTAATGTTTAAGGGGGGGAAATTTTATCTTCTAGAGTCAGACAGATGTGTGTTCAGTCCCAATGTTCTTCATACTAGCAGTCTCTTAGCCTCCTTCAGCCTCAGTTTCTTCCTCTATACAATGTGGATAAATAATAGCACAGTCCTCATGATTAACAACCTGAAGACATGACTATTTCAATTGGTTGAAAGCTTAGGGTGGGCCAAGCCTTGTGCTTAATGTACCTTACAATAACACCTTACAATATGGGAACACAAGGCTCAGAGATGTTATGAAACTTGTCCAAGACTACACTGCAGATAAATTGTGAATCCACACCACAAACCCAGGTCTGTTTGAGTCTAAAGATCTTTTATTTTTTTTCAATTTTTTTATTTTAATTTTTTTTTTTTTCCTGAGACGGAGTCTCACTTTGTCGCCCAGGCTGGAGTGCAGTGGCGCGATCTTGGCTCACTGCAAGCTCCACCTCCCAGGTTCACGCCATTCTCCTGCCTCAGCCTCCCGAGTAGCTGGGACTACAGGTGCCCACCACCACGCCTGGCTAATATTTTTTTTTTTTTGTATTTTTAGTAGAGACGGGGTTTCACCATGTTAGCCAGGATGGTCTTGATCTCCTGACCAGCTGGGACTACAGCTATACCTGTAGTCCACCACCATGCTAGGCTAACTTTTCAATGTTTTGTAGAGATGGGATCTTGCTATATTGCCCAGGCTGGTCTTGAACTCCTGGCCTCAAGCAATCCTCCTACCTCAGCCTCCCAAAATCACACTGTGATTACAGGCATGAACCACTGCGTCTGACCCACATTAACTGTTTCTTACTGCATCTGCCTTGGAGCCTTTGCCTTTCCAGTTCCCTCTGCCTGGAATGTCCTCCTCCCCCACCTCAGACAACTGCATGGCCTTCTCCCTTGCCCCACGTAGGTCTTTACTTCCTCAATTAGGTCTTTACTTACGTCACCTTACTGAGGCTCTTACTCACCATGTATAAGATCATATCTCTTTGGCAGCGTTCCCCATTCTCCTTCCCCGCACTGTTTCCTTCCTAGTACTCACTGATATGTGATGTACGATATGTGATATTTATTTATTATGTGTCTCCTCCACTAAAATACCACTTCCATAAGAGCACAGAATTTTGTCTGTATCGCCAGTGTCTCATTTACAAAAGAATACATAGCTTGTGACTGATAAAGATTTGTTAGATGAATGTTAAATGAATTGTTTCTATTCTTTCGGTTGGGCTTTCTGTTACTTTCAGTTTTTGTTTTTGAGACGGAGTCTCGCTTTGTTGCCCAGGCTGGAGTGCAGTGACGCAATCTCAGCTCACTGCAACCTCCGCCTCCCAGGTTCAAGTGATTCTCCTGCCTCAGCTTCCTGAGTGACTGGGAACACAGGCACTCGCCACCATGCCCGGCTAAGTTTTTGTATTTTTAGTAGAGACGGGTTTCGTCCTATTGGCCAGGCTGGTCTCAAACTCCTGACCTCAAGTAATCTGCCGGCCTCGGCCTCCCAAAGTGCTGGGATTACAGGCGGGAGCCACTGCGCCTGGCGGGGGCGGTCTCTTTCAAGCCCCCTAGAGCCACGCCGCCTAATCTGTCTGGTGCATGGCCTGGAGTGATTTCTTAGGTAGCCCTCCCTCCCACTGTCATAGCCCCCAGGCACTGGGATTACAGGCGTGAACCACTGCGCTCAGCCACTTTCAGCAGAAAGCAAATGGTTCCTGGCATTCTGCCTGTGGTGAGCAACCCAGTTTCACTTCTCCGCTCAATCCTCTGAGTTCAGTTCCAGATGCAGCATTTGGTCTTATGCCCACCCTGGCCAGACACTGTTGTCGGTTTGTCCCCTCCAGGTTCACCAGTTGAAGTAACTTAACCTCCCCTGGCCTCAGAGGAGAGAGGACCACATCAGGGCCCTCTTTGAGGCTAAAACTTCAGAAAAAGGAAACTCAAACCACTTGGCATTGTGAGATGTGATTCATTCAGATCTGGTTACAGCTGGGAGATTGGGCCCACACAGAAGAGGGGCTCCTCACCCCACCCATGCCCCCTGCCCCGTCTTGGCCCATGGTGGGGGTGGAGGAGGCTGCTCTGAAAACCTTGGAAGAGGGTGTATCGGATCCTCAAGCCCCGCCTTGGCTGCCCAGGATTTTGCTAGACCCCAAACAGGGAGAACAAAAGAGAAGTTGCTTGTCAATGTGTGGGAGAAGAGACACATCCCTGGTGTCTGGGAGCAGCCGGATATTGGGTATCCCCTCGTTTGAAGAAGGAGGCTTAGTAACTTGAGGAAGAAGAACAGCCCTCTTCTGAGGGAGGAGGTTTGGCCTTGGGGAAGGTGCTAATCTGAGGGGGGAGGTATAGCGCCCCGCCCCAACTTAGTTGAGCAGACGCCTGATCTCAGCAGCAGGTGAGTGGCCTTAGTCTGAGCGGGGAAGACACACCCTAGGCTGATGGAGGCATGGCCTTTGGGACCCTGGTGTGAGGAAAGAGGACTTAGCCTTGAGTAAGCCCTGAGTCTGGAGCAGAAGGTCTGGCTTTGGGAAACGCTAGTCTGAGGGAGGAAGCTCATCCCTGCTTCCTGAGTTTCTCACCAGAGGCTTCCAGGTCTCCGCATTGCCCCAGCAGAGGGGAGCCAGGGCACCATCTAGCGACGTGCCGAACAAGCAGGTGGAGGGGGCCTCCCGGGCGGCGGGGTGGTCCAGGCGGGATTCCTTAGCACAGCGTCGCGGTTGCCAGGACTACCACCAGAACCGGGAGGGAGAGGCGGAGGCCGGGCGCGGCGCCCGAGCGGCAGTGGGACTCTAGGACGGCGCGGCGGTGGGGGCTGCAGTGGCTCGACAGCCAGTGTCTTGGGAGCACAGAGAGCCCGTGGGTCCAGTCCAGGGCGCTGCACAGGTCTCGGGAGCCGCAGCCGCGTACGTTCACGTTCCGGCCGCCTGCCGAGACGGAGACAGGGTGCAAGGAGGGGACGTGGGGGCGCGCGCAGGCAGAAGGCCACCCCCGCGCGCACCCAAGCGCACACGCGCGCGCCTTGCACACGCACAGGGCCCGCGAGCCCCTCGAGTCCATGTCCTTCGTGAAAGCTCATCAGGAATGTTCTTTTCTTTGAGCTGGGAGCTGGTCACGGCTGTCTCTCTCTCGTTGTCACTCTTTCTACCTTACACGTATGTTACAGGTGTGTTTTCACTCGTGTGCAATGTTTGTTTCCTTTTTTAAAAACTTTTTTTAAAAAAATGAGACAGAGTCTCGCTCTGTCACCCAGGCTGGAGTGCAGTGGCACAATCACAGCTCACTGCAGCCTCGACCTCCTGGGCTCTGGTGATCCTCCCACCCCAGCCTCCTGAGTAGCTGCGACTGCAGGCCGTAGCACCAGGCCCAGCTAATTATTTTGAAAATTTTTTGTAGAGATAGGGTCTGCCTCTGTTGCCCAGGCTGGTCTCAAACTTCCAGGCTCAAGCGATCCTGGCCTCCTAGAGAGCTGGGATTACAGGTGTGAGCTACCACACCTGGCCCAGAAAATTTTAAATTACACACGTGTCTTACATTACATTTCTTTCAGAAAGCACTGATATAGTTTAGTGGATTATCTTATTCAATTCTCACAACAGTCTTAGGACTTAGCGACTGTTGTTATTCCCGTTTTGTTGTTGTTTTTTCTTTTTTTTTTTTTGAGACGAGGTTATGAAACTTGTCCAAGACTACACTGCAGATAAATTGTGAATCCACACCACAAACCCAGGTCTGTTTGAGTCCAAAGATCTTTTATTTTTTTCAGTTTTTTAATTTTATTTATTTTTTTTTTCTGAGACGGGATCTCGCTTTGTCGCCCAGGCTGGAGTGCAGTGGCGCCATCTCGGCTCACTGCAAGCTCCGCCTCCCGGGTTCACGCCATTCTCCTTCCTCAGCCTCCTGAGTAGCTGGGGCTACAGGCACCTGCCACCACGCCCGGCCAATTTTTTGTATTTTTAGTAGAGATGGGGTTTCACCATGTTAGCCAGGATGGTCTCGATCTCCTGACCTCGTGATCCGCCCGCCTTGGCCTCCCAAAGTGCTGGGATTACAGGTGTGAGCCACCACGTCCGGCCCTCCCCTGTTTTTTAAAGAACTTGTTGCATACCAAGTTATCCCCTTTTACAGATGGAGAAATTGAGGCACAGAGAGGCAAAGTCACCTGGTCAAGGTCACCCAGCTCAGGTGGTGGATTCAGCATTTGAACCCAGGCAGCCTGGCCCTAGAGTCCTGTTCTTATGCCCTTTACTCTGTCACCTCCCTCATGAGTTCACTTTGTCCTCACAACGCCCTTCAAGGTGTGTGTCTACCATCCCCAATTACCAGAAGAGAAAACAGAGGCTCAAAGAGATAAAGTCACTTGCCTTGAGCTACACAGAGTAAAGGGTGGAGGGGAGACTCCAAACTCAAGCACACCAGTATCCAAATCTAACGTGCTAAGGCTCACTCGTGCACACACACATGTGCACACACACACACATGCTGTCCCCATTACCTTCTTCACACACACACACACACACACACATGTGCTGTCCCCATTACCTTCTTCAGACGTTAGGTCCAGCTGGACACACTCAGATTCCCCACTGGGACACTGCATGTAGAAGGAGGAATTGCAGGGCTCCAAGTAGCTCCCAGGACATGTAGGACACAATATCTCACTCAGGGTGTGTGAGGCCAGATGAGCTGCTGTGTAGAAGAGGATGAAGGTCAGTCAGAAGGAATCTCAGGACCTCCCGGGGCCCCGAGTGCACTCCTAGGCTCTACCACATTGTCACGAACTTAATATTGTCATGACCTTGGTGGGATTTCCTCCCAAGCTGGGATCAGGGTGCCTGAGGGCAGCCTGGTTGGGGTTGAGTGATGTTCCTTCCTGCATTCCTTCCTCAACTCTGCCTCCAGAGTCACCCACCACCTCCTTGGCCACCCATCTGACTGCTTTCTGGTGACAGCATACCGAGAGGGGTGGGCTCCTGGTAGTTGCCTTGGCAACAGGTGGTGTTGACGCAGAAGCCAAAGCCAACACCATAGGTCAGGGCATAGATGGAGTTGCCAAATTTGCAGTCCTTGGAGGTCACGCAGAAACCGTTTCTCCAGGAGACAGGGTTACCTTCGCCAAAGCCTGGAGAGAGATGGAGGCCAGGCTAGTGAGGAAAGGCAATCACAACCCACCACCCAACCGAACTCCCCAAATCTCTCTGAGTATTTCCCTGATGGCATTCACTCTGCCTGAGATCTCCCCATAATACATCCAAAGCTGGTCATTGTTCATTAAGACACATTAAGTTCAGGCTTGGGGCAATTGTTCATGCCTGTAATCCCAGCACTTTGGGACAGGAGGATCACTTGAGCCCAGGAGTTCAAGACCAGCCTGGCCAATATAGTGGGACCCCCCGCCTCTACAAAAAATAAAATAAAATTAGCCAGGCATAGTGATGCAGTCCCACCTACTTGGGAGGGTCGCTTGAGCCCAGGAGGTCAAGGCTGCAGTGATCCAAGGTTGTGCCACTGCACTCCACCCTGGGTGACAGAGTGAGACCTTGTCTCAAAACAACAACAACAGTTAAAAATCACATAGTTCAGAAAGCCTTCCATGATCCCCTGCCTTCTCTCCTTAGGGTTTCAATTAATAGGGTGGCTCTGTATCTGTGAGGTCTCCCCACCCTGTCTATGAGCACCTCATGGACTTAGTAAGAAACTTCTCTAAGATCCCAGAAATGTCCAGAACTGGAGCCTGGAACACTATCTTTACTATGTCTCTTTATGCTGTAAAAAGATAGCAAAGAGCCGGTTTCAAGTTCAACTCCTCTTCCCGTTTACAGAAGAGTCCACTTTTCCTTCTATGGGGAGAGAGTGACAGGAGCCTTAAGTGGGGCTGCCTGCCCAGAGTGTTGTAGTAGATACCAAGATGGCCACAACTGTATCTCCCATCCTGCATGCTCTTGTGCAACATAATCTTGCCACTCTCTCATCAAGAGGTGGAATCTGTTACGTCACCCCTTAAATCTGAGCCTGCCTTGGGATTTGCTCTGACCAATAGACTGTGGCAGAAGTGACACTGTGACAGTTCTGGGTCTATCCCTTAGAAGGCCTGGTTGTTCCCACTTCTTCCTTCTCAGAAGCCGGCCACCGTACTATAAGGAAGCTCAAGCTAGGAAACTGACTAGTGAGAGCTCAGAGGAGCGAGGCTCTCCCCAGCTGTCTTAAACATTCCAGGTGCAGTCAAGCTCCCAGCTGAATGCAATCACATAAGTGACCTCAGCCTTTACCACTTAGAGCAGAAGAACTGCCCAGCTGAGCCCAGTCAGCTGCAGAATTGTGAGAAATAACAAATACTTGTCTAATCCAAGAAGCTTTTTTTCAATTGTGATTTTTTTTTTGAAAATCACACTGTATAAAATATACCCTCTTAATGTTTTTTTTAAAAAAATAGAGATGGGGGGAGTCTCACTATGTTGCCCAGGCTGGTCTTGAACTTCTGGCCTCAAGTGATTCTCCTGCCTTGGCCTCCCTAAGTGCTGGGATTACAGGCATAAACCATCATGTGTGGCTTTCTTAACAATTTTTTTTTTTTGAGACGGAGTCTCACTCTGTCACCCAGGCTG
Source organism: Homo sapiens (assembly GCF_000001405.40). NCBI lineage: Eukaryota > Metazoa > Chordata > Mammalia > Primates > Hominidae > Homo > Homo sapiens. The sequence continues at coordinate 43,695,869 of NC_000019.10, read as the reverse complement.
GAGTGAAGTGGTGTGATCTTGGCTCACCGCAACCTCTGCCTCCCGGGTTCAAGCAATTCTCCTGCCTCAGCCTCCCAAGTAGCTGGGACTACAGGCGCATACCACCAAGCCCGGCTAATTTTTGTATTTTTAGTAGAGACAAGGTTCAAAGCATGGCCTTGAACTCCTGACCTCAGATGATCCGCTGGCCTTGGCCTCCCAAAGTGCTGGGATTAAAGGCATGAACCACTGCGCCCGGCTGGCCTTCTTAACAATTTTTAAGTGCACAATTCAGTAATGTTAACTATATTCACATTGTTGAGTGTAACAGCTCTCTAGAACTCATTTTGCACAACTGAAACTCTGTACCCATTGAACAACTCCCATTCCCCCGTCCCCCAACCTCTGGCAACCACCATTCTATCTTCTGTTTCAATGATTTTGACTACTCTAGATAACTCAGTGAAATCATACAGTATTTGTCTTTTTATGACTGGTTAAGCCACTAAGTTCTGGCCAGTTTGTTATTCAGCAGTAACTTAAACAACTATGGCAGCAGATTTCAAACTCACACCCTCCACTGCACCCTAGCCTCTGCCCTGCATGTCCAGGAAAAGGCTACAATGGCTGAAGCTAGGCAGCAAAGTGGGAGAGTGAGGATAGGTCTTGCTGTACCCCAAGCCCTATTTCTGTCCCCATGGGCACTCACCTGTGATGCCTGCCATCTGAAGGCAGTAGTGATTATCCTCTGGGCATGGAAGGGGGCCACAGCTGTGGAGGTCTCAGCAGGTGAAGCAGTCGGTGGTCTCAGCTTTGGTGTGGGTCACAGTTGCATGAGGACCTGGGGACAGAGGAAGATGAACTGGATGGAAGACAACCAGTGTGCATGCACGTGCATGGAGCTGAGTTTCCAGGCACATCAGTATGTGCCCATGAGTGCGCAAAAGTGCCTTTTGTGCGCACTTCTGCAAGAATGCCATTTGTGTGTGCAAGTTTGCAGGCCTGTTAAGTCTGTGTGCACATCTGGCTGTGCCTTCCTGTGTTGAATTGTCTGTGTGTTTCTGAAACTGTCTGCAGGAGGTCAGGGATGTGTGTTTTTGTAGCTCTGCAGGACACTGTGTGAGTAGGTGTTTACCTGCGTGTCTGTATAAACAAAGGCGTGTGTTTATGTGTATGTGTATAAGGCTGGTTTTATGGGTATGTGTGTGTTTCTGTGGCTGGGTGTGTCTGTGTTTCCATCAAGGTGTGGGGGTGCTTGTATATATATATATGTTGGTATACAGATGTGAACGTTCATGGATGTTGGTAATGTATTTCAGCTTGCCTGTGTATATTTTGTGCTTTTGTATGTTTGTGGGTGTTTATGCCTGTCTCTTTCCCATGTCATATATATGAAAGCCTGTGTGTCCATGCATAGATATGTTCTGTGTCTGTGTCCACAGGGATCATGTGTGCAAAAATTCCGCGTCCCACATTTCTGTTGTTAGTCTTCCTATTTTGCCCTTTTTCTTTCCATCTTGTAAATTTCGAGCTCCCAAGTCAGCCTTTTTTCTTCATTGTGATAATTAATTAAATCCGCTGCTCAGGGCTGGTCACAGTGACTCACACCTGTAATCCCAGCACTTTGGGGGGCCTAGGCAGGTGGATCACCTGAGGTCAGGAGTTCGAGACCAGCCTGGCCAACATGGCAAAACCCCATCTCTACTAAAAATACAAAAATTCACCAGGCTTGGTGGTGGGTACCTGCAATCCCAGCTACCTGGGAAGCTGAGGCAGGGAAAATCGCTTGAACCCAGGAGGTGGAGGTTGCAGTGAGCCAAGATCGCACCATTGCACTCCAGCCTGGCCGACAGAGAGAGACTCTGTCTCACAAAAAAAAAAAAAAAAAAAAAAAAATCCATTGCTTAGTTTAAAAAAGGAAAACTCCTGGCAGCTGGAGATTTGAAGAAGCTAAGGTGAGAATGTTTCGGCTTTGCCTGCAAATTCAGTAACTACACTCTCCTATCAGCCTTTTTTTTTTTCTGAGACAGAGTCTCTCTCTGTCACCCAGGCTGGAGTGCGGTGGCGCAATCTCGGCTCACTGCAAGCTCCACCTCCCGGGTTCACACCGTTCTCCTGCCTCAGCCTCCTGAGTAGCTGGGACTACAGGTGCCAGCCACCACGCCCAGCTAATTTTTTGTATTTTTAGTAGAGACAGGCTTTTGTCGTATTAGCCAGGATGGTCTCGATCTCCTGACCTCGTGATCCGCCCATCTCGGCCTCCCAAAGTGCTGGGATTACAATCATGAGCCACCGCGCCCGGCCAGTAAACACACTCTCTTTTGCATCACAGAATGGTTCTTCAGCTTTGGCAACGTAGGGAGGACCTCACCTCTAAAAAAAAAATTGAAAAATCAGCTGGGTGTAGCAGTGTGTGCCTGTGGTGCTAGCTGCTCAGGAGGCTGAGGTGGGAAGATTGCATGAGCTTGGAAAGTCAAGGCTGCATTGAACCATGATCGTGCCACTGCACTTCAGCCTGGGTAATAGACGGCGACTCTGTCTCTAAACACACATACACACACACACACACACACACACACACACACACACACACACACACACAGAGAGAGAGAATGGTCCTTTCTGGTGTAGTTTCTGACAAAGTTTCCTCTACATCTCTGGAGCTGAGGGAATGCAGCTGTATCCAGAGAAAATTGCCTTTCTCACCTCTAAAACGTCTATCCCTCTGTTCAGTTGGTTGAATTGCTTAATAAACTGTGGCCCCAGTAAATACTATTTCAATTAGCATATCACTTTTGCGGAAGACAAAACTTCTTGTGACTGTTCTTTGTTAAGCCAAAAGAAGACTATTGGCAAATCTGTCTTCTTTCACAAGCAAGGAAGTGAAGAAAAGAGGGAAAACACCATCAGATTTATCTTTTCTTTTCTTCCTTTTTTTTTTTTTGAGAAGGGGTCTTGCCCTATCACCCAGGCTGGAGTATAGTGACACAATCTCAGCTCACTGCGACCTCCGCCTCCCGGGCTCAAGCCATCCTCCCACCTCAGCCTTCCAAGTAGGTGGGACCACAGGTGCATGCCACCATGCCTGGCTTTGTTTTGTTGTTGTTGTTGTTTTGTTGAGATGGTGTTTTGCCATGCTGCCCAGGCTCAGATCCATTTAAAGAGAACGTGGATCTTTAACCTCACTCACATAATATGTTCAGAGTATGTTCATGTTTAGAAATTTGTGTGCCTCTGCATATTTGTTTTGGGTGCTAGGATGTAAATGTGGATGTTTGTGGATATGTGCCAATAGATGTTCTGCTTCTGAGTGTGTCAGGTGGTGTGTGTGTGTGTATGGGTAACTGTACTCATTGGGAGCATTATCGTAGGAAATGTGGACACCCTGGGAACACATAGGTTTGAAAAGAGCATAGGGGATCCAGGGAGGTAAGAAAGGTTGGGTTTTTAGGAAGGCAGGGGTCAAAGCACCTGGATGTGTAGGAGTAAGGCAGTTGCATTCAGGCTTAGCGGTGAGATGAAATCCAGAGTCTTCTGGACCCAGGGTGGCATTCTCATGTAAGTTGCAGACCTCTGGTGTAGCACAGCCCTTCAGAATTTGGGGACCCCCTGTGGAAATGAGATGAGATTGCAACAAGAGGCTCAGAGTCCAAGCCTTCCAACTTGATGTCTATCTTTCGCTATCTGAAAGTTGCCATCTTAGTAGTTCTATATGATTCAGTTTCAAATCTACCTGGTCAGTTTTTACAACCTCTTGTTGCCTGCTCACATTTGTGATTCTAAGTTTATTCCTTCAGACATATCACGTGCCGGTACGCTATGTTCTACAGCTGATAATTACAATAGCTGAGCTCCTCACAGGTCTGTATCTGTGATTTGTTATTTCTGCTATCACTCATGGTGGCTTGTTTCCTTGTGCGTTTCATGAACTATGATTGTGAGCTCATATTTGGTTGATATTCATCTGTGGGAATCCTGGGAGCTTTTCCCTGGGAAGGAATTGCTTTTGATTCTACTGAGTGCCAGGAGGTGCTACTGACCAGGGATCATTTTGGCTTCTGTCCGAGGTCCCTTGCTTATGTGGGAATCTAAATTCCAGAAGCATGCTGCCAGCCCAAGACCTGTTTACCTAAAGCAGGTTATTATCAGCATTTGCTCCCAGGCCACCATGCCTTCCATGTTTTCTCACTGCTCCCATTATGATTTCTGTTCACATTTTTGTTTTGCTTAGGGACACGTGGACATTTTCTTAACTTTCTGCAACCCCAAAAAGTGTGGAAAAATATTTCTGTACAGGATCTTGTTTATCTGTAAACAGTGGCATACCAAGCAGGGGAAGGGAGTGGGAGCAGTCCAGCCTGGGAACAGGCTACAAGGGGCTTAGTGTCTATAGAGAATTTTTTTTTTTTGAGACAGAGTCTCACTCTGTCACCCAGGCTGGAGTGCAGTGGCACAATCTCGGCTCACTCCTACCTGAGCCTCCCAAGTAGCTGAGATTACAGGTGTGTGCCACCATACTCAGGTAATTTTTGTATTTTTAACAGAGATGGGGTTTCACCATGTTGGCCAGGCTGGTCTCGAACTCCTGTGCTCAAGTGATCCACCCGCCTCAGTTTCCCAAAGTGCTGGGATCACAGGCATGAACCACCGTGCCCAGCCTATAGAGAATTTTTTTAAATCATAAAACCAACTAAAAATCAGTTTGCTTTTTATTATCACCAGGTAGTACCAGCAATTCTAAGCAATGTCAGTGATAAACTGCTCCTCCCAACCATGATGGGCCACTTCCTCTATTTCACTGTCTCAGTCCTCCACCTTCCCAGTGTGCCACTGTTTGGAGCAGAAGACCTTTTAGAGGATTGAGTCCACCATACTGCCAAAAGCAGAAGCCCAGGCTACTGCTCTCGATCCTTTGATTGGCTTCATAATTAGTCTATCCTCTGGCTACTGTGGTTATATTATAAATCTTTTGCTGAAAAGGCCTCTCCTCCAACTGTTTGCAAATCATACTGGTGATTTAAAAATACCTTTGCAAATCTATGACACATCAACAGGTGGGGTCCATGCCTCTTTCATCTTGAAACCAGATGGAACTTTTGTGACCATTTTGATCAATAAAGCAGAATAGAAGTTACATTATGTGACTTCCAAGGCTGAGACATAAAGACCAAGCAGCTGTAACTTTGTTTGCTGAATGAAATCGTTAGCCACCATGTAAAGAGCCTTGAGGTAGCCATGATGGGAGGAAGCTCAATCTAACCGATGTGGAGAGGCCACATAGAAAGGCCTGTGCTTACATATATGCAAGAGATGCTCAGAAAGCCCCTGGTTGTTCCTGCCCCAGCAGTTCCAGCTCTTAACACCCTCTGACTACAACATACGAGAGACTCAGAACTCTCCAGAGGAGCTCTTCCTGAATTCCCAAACCAAAGAAACTGGAAGAGATCATTAAATGATTGTCATTTTTAGCCACCCACCTTGTGAGTGATTTGGGGTTTTTTTGTTTTTGTTTTTGTTTTCGAGATGGGAACTTGCTATGTAGCCCAGGTTGGTCTTGAACTCCTGGGCTCAAGTAATCCTCCCACCTTAGCCCCCCAAAGTACTGGGATTACAGGTGTGAGCCACTGCTCCTGGCCTGTGGGTGATTTGTTAAATGGCAATACATAACCAGGACGCACGTGCAAATGAAGCTCAAGCCTTATTTGTGCAGGTGGGAAGAAACCTGCCACAAAAATCACCTCCTGTGAAGGGGCCCTTACCTCTACTCCAGGTCCCGTGGAGGGTGACACATGCAGTCTGTTTCCCAGTGCAGTTCATGGAGCCGACTTATTCCTGGAACAGTAGTGACATTTCACAGTGTTGGGCTTGGCCTTGGGCCCTGCCTCTGGTGGGAGTGGACAAAGTCAGGGCGGGGTGGGGGCTGAGGAACACCCCTACAGCCATCCTTCCTCACTAGGCCTCTGTTCTCCTGCCCTCCCTCTCTCACTGCCTCTACTCCCACAATCCAGATCATTTCCCTCCAAAGTGATTCTGCGCCTGGCCCCAGAATAAGTTTTCAGGGGCTGCAAGGAGTGTTTGAGACCGAGGCTGGGCACAATGGCTTATGCCTATAATCCCAGCACTTTGGGAGGCCGAGGCAGGTGGAAGACTTGAGCCCAGGAGTTCCAGACCAGCCTGGGCAACATGGCGAAACTCCATCTCTACAAAATGCAAAAAAAATTAGCCAGTCATGGTGGCACATGTCTGTAGCCATGGTACTCAGGAGGCTGAGGTGTGAGGATTGCTCAAGCCCAGGAGGTGAAGGTTGCAGTGAGCCAAGATTGTACCACTGCACTCCAGCCTGGGCGACAGAGCAAGACTGTCTAAAAAAAAAATTAATGCAGTTATAATCATACCTGACATTTTATATACTGAATAGCATGCCCACCTCGTAACTTGAACCTGGGGGTTTTATTTTGCTGAGAGACACAATTTAGGAGGGCAATTAGACACAAATTAGGAGGAGGGAAATCGCACTTGTTTGAAAGGATGGCTACCTCTCCCCATTGCTACATCTGCCAAGTACAAATTCCTTCTTAGAAGAAATAACCAAGCAACGAAAAGTGATCTTTGTCACCACCCAGGGCCAGATCTAGGGTGAAACCAGGGGCCCAAAATTTAAGGAGGCACGACTTTTCAGGGTTGTGCAAGTAGAGGGCTATCCCCTCAGCGTGAGCATCTCCTTAAATTTTGCACCCTGGGGCTGTGCATGAGGGCTCACACTTGTAATCCCAGAACTTTGGGAGGCCAAAGTGGGTGTATTGCTTGAGGCCAGGAGTTGGAGACCAGCCTGGTCAACGTGGGGAAACCCCATATCTGCTAAAAATACAAAAAAAATCAGCCTGGTGTGGTAGCATGTGCTTGTAATCCCAGCTACTCAGGTGGCTGAGGGAGGAGAATTGCTTGAACCCAGGAGGCAGAGGTTGTAGCGAGCCAAGATCGCACCACTGCACTCCAGCCTGGGTGACAGAGTGAGACTCTGTCAAAAAAAATAAAAATAAAAAATAAAGAATAAACATTTTTGCATCCTGGGCTCCTGGCTGGGCTCCCCTAGACCTGGGCCTATCACCACTTGTGAGGTTTCTTGTTCTGTTTGACTAGCCTTCAAGGGGAGCCCCTCTATTAAAGACAAAAAGAGAGGCGGGGCACAGAGATTCATGCCTGTAATCCCAGCACTTTGAGAGGCCCAGGCGGGCAGGTCACTGAAGGTCAAGAGTTTGAGACCAGACTGGCCAGCATGGCGAAACCCTGACTCTACTAAAAATACAAAAATTAGCCGGACGTGGTTGTGTACATCTGTAATCCCAGCTACTCGTGAGGCTGAGCCACGAGAATCGTTTGAACCAGGAGGTGGAGGTTGCAGTAGGCCAAGATTGCGCCATTGTACTCCAGCCTGGGCAACAGAGTGAGACTCTGTCTCAAAAAGAGAGAGAGAGAGAGAGAGAGACAGAGAAACAGAAAAGAGCTTGGAGTTCTCTTTAGCCTCCCAGTATTCAAATAAACATGGCAACAAAAGGAGTGTCTACCACGTGCCAGCCTAGGGGATGAACACCCTTTAAAACCTACATCACACCCATTTTCCAGATGAGAAAACTGAGAGTCTCCTTCTTGCCCCAATCAGCCAGACAAAAAGCTGTGAGGCAGGAAATTGAGGCTGGGTCCCCATGACACCCTACCCTGGTGTGTGAGCCTGAGGTCCTCCCAACAAACCTTACTGGGGAAGGTGGCTGCAGTTGTTTTCACAAGAGGCTGTGCTGACCCAGAGGCTTGCATGGGGGCTGTAGGTCAGGGCGTAGACACCTTCTTAGCATTCTCCAGGGGCCACACATGACCCCTTCTCAATGAGAGTCCCATTTTCTAGGGATAGAGTTTGAGGAAGGGAGATTAGGGCCCCTGCTTTCCAAGCCCTCCAGGACCTCTGCCCACTCTATAGCCATCCCCCTGGCCAATCCAGGGCCTCTTTTGCTGTTCAGCTGCCCTCTGCCCTTTACCCCAGTAGCACCAGGCTGAGCTATGAGGCAGGGCTGGCAATCTCCAGTCCCAGGATGGCTCATCCATGCCCCCCTTCCACCCACTGCCTTTGTCCATTCTCTCCACCCAGCCCCTGTCCAGTCCCCAGCCCGGTCCCCCACCCAGCTGCATCTGGCTAAACAAGCAGAAGTCCTGGGCAGAAGGACAAGTTATTTCAATGCAGGTTCACAGCAAAGAGCAGGCTGGACATGTCTTAGAGCTTCCTGCAAGGAAGAAAACAGTGATCAGACTCTGCAGTTTGAGAAGGACAAAGAACACACACACACACACACACACACACACACACACACGATTCAAGAATAGGACTAATCAGGCATGGTGGCTCATGCCTGTAATCCCAGCTATTTAGGAAGCTGAGGATGACTTGAGCCCAAAAGTTCAGGCTGCAGTGAGCTAAGATTGCACGACTGCACTCCAGCCTGGGCAACAGAGTGAGATCCTGTCTCAAAAAAAAAAAAAAAAAAAAAGAATAGGACTAAGGGCTGAGGTGGGAGGGCCATTGGGAGATCAGCAACCTTCTTTGTTGTGAGGAGTGCGAATGGCATTCCAAGTCGATGAAACAACGCAGACAAAGGTTTGGAGATGAGAATCACAGAATCTCTAAGTGGGAGCTGCTGGGTTTAGGGTTTCAATTCAAGATCGCACAGTGAGGTCCTGGCTAGGATCCAAACCACTTAATTCCCAACTCAGGCAAAGGTGGCAGAATTAGAGCCAAAGGGGAGACAGGCAGGTGAGGTAAAAGAGTAACAGTAACTGCTCCTGGATAATCCAGCAGAGCTCACCCTCAAACAGAGCCACTGCCAGGCTGGCACTGTTCTGAGCTCCTCAAACGTGTGGATTCAACCAATGTCTCAACAACTGTCTGAGGCAGGGGCATTGTCACCACTTCACACATGGAAAAAATGAGGCACAGAGAGGTTATGTGGTTTGTCTGGAGTCACACGGCTAAGAAGTGACAGAGTCAGGATTTGAACCCAGGCAGCCTGGTTCCAGAACTAGGTTCTCAGCTGCCCTGTTCTTCTGCCTGCTAGACAATGAGCCCAGTTGGAAGGACCTGGGGCCCAGACTCTGAAGCCAGACTCCCAACACCACATGTGACCTTGAGCCGACCCTCTCCCTTTCTGATGGACCATGACGCGCTTACCTGCTGGGGCAGCCAGTGCTCCCAGGAGCAACAGGGCAGAGAGAGCCAGAGCATGATCCAGGCAGGAGAGAAGGAAGCAGGACACAGGTGCCCTTGCCTTTTATTCAAGGGCCTTGGCCAGGGTAGCAGCCCCGGAAGAGGGAGAGCAAATAGGCCGGGAAGATAGCGGTGCCACCCACCATCCTGGCCACTGGGACACCCAGCAAGAGAGGGGACTGAGAGAGCATCGAGATGGGGAAACTAAGTCCTGAGAGGCATGTGGGGAAAGCCTGGGACTACTCAGTGAGGCCAGAGAAGGACAGGGGGACATGTTGTTATTATTATTATTACTATTAATAGGTTGTGGCCAGGTGCAGGGGCTCGTACCTGTAATCCCAGCACTTTGTGAGGCCAAGGTGGGAGGATCGCTTGAGCCTAGGAGTTAAAGACCAGCCTGAACAACATAGTGAGACCCAGCGTCTTAAAAAAATTTAAAAATTAGACAGGTGGGCCAGTCGCCGTGGCTCATACCTGGAATCTTAGCACTTCGGGAGGCCAAGATGGGCAGATCACTTGAGGCCAGGAGTTCGAGACCAGCCTGGCCAACATGGTGAGACCCTGTCTCTACTAAAAAAAAAAAAAAAAAAAAAAAAATTAGCCGGGCGTGGTGGCACGCACGCCTGTAATCCCAGCTACTCGGGAGGCTGAGGCAGGAGAATCACTTGAACCTGGGAGGCGGAGGTTGCAGTGAGCCGACATCACACCACTGCACTCCAGCCTGGGCAACAGAGCGAGACTCTGTCTCCAAAAAAAAAGGCATTTGAAGCCCCAAATCTTTCTCTCTCAGGCCTTATCTACTGGTTCTTAACCCTTCTCTTTCTTTCTTTTCTGATGTCTTTCCCCACTAACACCCCTTTCCTTTCTGCTTCACAACCTCAACCTATAAAAACTTATCCCCTTAAGACCAGGCTGTCTAACGACACTGAGGTCCTCAGATTTCTTATGTCTCTGGAACTAAAGCTGAACTCTGTGCTATATCCAAGGCATTTCCTGAGGTTACTGAAGAGCCCCATCATTTTGCCGATAAATCTAACTTCACAGTTCAGGCTTACCCATCCAGCTTCTCTGATCTTTACCAACTTGTTTTGCACCCTTGCGGGAGAAGGCCAGGCCCAACACTGGATGGCAAAAGCCAATTAGGGCCTGGCGCGGTGGCTCACGACTGTAATCCCAGCACATTGGGAAGCCGAGGCAGGCAGATCACAAGGTCAAGAGATCAAGACCATCCTGGCCAACACGGTGAAACCCTGTCTCTACTAAAAATACAAAAAATTAGCTGGGCGTGGTGGTGCATGCCTGTAGTCCCAGCTACTCGGGAGGCTGAGGCAGGAGAATAGAATTGCTAGAACCCGGGAGGCGGAGGTTTCAGTGAGCCGGGATCACACCACTGCACTCCAGCCCAGTGACAGAGCAAGACTCCGTCTCAAAAAAAAAAAAAAAGTTAGCCTGGTGTGGTGGCACATGCCTATAATCCCAGCTACTCAGGAGGCTGAGGCACAAGGATCTCTTTAACCTGGGAGGCAGAGGTTGCAGTGAGCCAAGATTACACCACTGCACTCCAGCCTGGGCGACAGAGTGGGACTGTGTCTCAAAATAAAAAATAAAAATAAAAATAAAAATTAGCCAGGCGTGGTGGTGCACACCTACAGTCCCAGCTACTAGGGAGGCTGAGGTGGGAGAATCGCCTGAGCCCAGGAATTCAAGGTTGCAGTGAGCTATGATGTCACCACTGCACTCCAGCTTTGGTGACAGTGAGACTCTCCTCTAAAAAAGAAATAATAATAATAATATAAAATAATAATGGGTTGCCTCATCACTCATTACACACATTAGCTCACTAAATCCTTACAGTAGTCCTACCAGCCATTATCATTAACCCCACCCACGGAGGATACTCAAAATATTTGACCACCTGTCAATACAGGCCAGGGTATTGGTAGTAACAATCCTGCCCACTTGCTAGAGTAGCAGCCTGTTGGCCTCCAGGGACCCGGTCTTTCCCTCATCTTTCTAGAATATGAAGATGTCTGGGAGGACCCAGAGATGCCATCAGGGCACTCAAGGCCTCCAGGCAGGGGAATTTTATCAACCAAATCTGGACATACCTCAATATTTTAACAACCAGTACAACTGAAATCAGCCCTGGGGTTCCCTCTTTTACAAAAAAGGGAACCAGGGCTCACAGCAGTCAAGGCCTTGTCCAGGGGCACATAATAAGAAAATCAGCACAACCAGGATTTGAACCCAAATGTCTCTGGCTTGAGCACAGGGCTGCACCAAAAGGGAAATTGATCTGCCCTCTCTGGATGAGACCCGTGTCATTCTCCTCCTGCTCCTCCCTGGGCCACCTTGATTTTCACACTTGTTCAGTGGGAATAAGATCAATTTCAACCACCCCATGAGGGGCCTTCCAGCCTGGTGCCTGGCAAGTCCACCCTTCATGGGCTTTGACACCCCACCTGCTCCTCCTATGAGGTGTAACTCTGGGGATGTCCCTTCCCCTATTTCAGGCCTCAGTGTGTTTATCTGCTAAATGGGTGTAGCCCAGGGCCTGGATTGCTGTAAGTGCCCTCCTTTTTTTTTTTGAGATGGATTCTCACTCTGATGCCCACGGTGGAGTGCAGTGGCAGGATCTCAGTTCACTGCAACCTCCACCTCCCAGGTTCAAGTGATTCTCCTGCCTCAGCCTCCCAAGTAGCTAGGACTACAGGTGCCCGCCACCATGCCCAGCTAATTTTTTGTATTTTTTTAGTAGAGACAGGGTTTCACCATGTTGGTGGCGGTCTCGAACTCCTGACCTCAAGTGATCCACCCGCCTCGGCCTCCCAAAGTGCTTGGGATTACAGGCTTGAGCCATGGCACCCAGCCTGCCTCTTTACTAATGCTAATGGTGGCTCTGTTAGGATTGGAGGTATTTGTAGTAGTGAGCTTTAAGAAAACCACACACCCGTCCAGAGGGGTGATGAACGCTTTAGAACCAGACAACCCGAGTTCAAATTCCAGTTCTGCCACTTCCAAGTTAAGTGGCCTTGGGCAAGACATTTTACCTACTGGGCCTCAGTTTCCTCATTTGTAAAACAGGGCAACTAGGAGGACCTCCATCGAAGGGCTGCTGTGAGGATTGAGTTGATTTATGTAGAGCACTTAGAACAGTGGGCAGTAACTGCTGTGTCATTGTCGTTGTCATCATCATCATCATCGTTATTTAGCAATATAAATAAGGCTGCTAAGGGGACAAGTTGAGGTTGACCTCCCCTCTTGGCTCAGAGGAGAGATCTCAAGCGAGAGAAAGGACGAGTTCAAGGTCACCCACAGGCCTGCCAGGCTTCCCAGAATCCCAGGTGGGGCCCCTCAATCAGTGTGTACAATCAAGGAGGTGACTCTGGAAGGTGCCAACCCTAAGGAGGAAAGATAGCAGCCTGGGGATGGGAGATGGCTTTTCTCAATGGGGTGCTAGGGCAGGGAGAAGTCTGGGGACTTGGCTCACATCCTTCCCAGGTAAACCAAGAACCCTTTGGTGCAGGAGAGGTGAGAAGATGGGACAGAGAGTCCCTCAGCCAAGTCTGGAGTTTGGGGAGGAGGGAGCAGCGCCTGACACTTCATGACTAGAGGAAGCCAGTCTCTCTAGATGTTATCGTCACCGATAACTCGGGCTGGGTGACAGGCCAGGAGCTGCACAAACACGAGGCTTGTGGACTGAAGAATGAAGAGCAGGCATGCAGGGAAGGGACATTTCCCTGCACTTCACTTGAAATGTGGTGGCAGGGGGGCATCAGACAAGTTGTTTTGTATTTTATTTTTTATTTTGAGACAGAGTTTAGCTCTGTCACCCAGGCTGGAGTGCAGTGGCACAATCTCAGTTCACTGCAGCCTCAACTTCCCATGCTCAAGCAATCCTCCCACCTCAGCCTCCTGAGTAGCTGGGACTACAAGCACGCACCACTACACCCAGCTATTTTTTTTTTTTTTGTAGGGACAGAGTCTTCCTGTGTTGCCTAAGCTGGTCTCAAACTCATGGGCTCAAGCAATCCTCCCACCTTGGCCTCCCAAAGTGTTAGGATTACAGGCATGAGCCAGCACACCCAGCCCAGACAAGTTATTTAATGCATATACTCTACAAGCAAATATAGACACATGCCCTTCTCCTTTTTCTTTTCTTTTCTTTTTCTTTTCATTATTATTATTATTATTATTATTATTATTATTATTATTTTGAGACAGACTCTCGCTCTGTTGCCCAGGCTGGAGTGCAGTGGCGTGATCTCAGCTCACTGCAACCTCCGCCTCCCAGGTTCAAGCGTTTCTCCTGCCTCAGCCTCCCGAGTAGCAGGGATTACAGGCACCCACCACCATGCCTGGCTAATTCTTGTATTTTCAGTAGAGACAGGGTTTTGTCATATTGGCCAGGGCAGGCCTCTCTCCTTTAATGCACAGTGGGGTATTCCCTGCACTGTTCTGCCCCTAGATTTTTGAACTTGGCCATAATGTAACCTGAATTGCATGAAGAGTTTCTTCTTTCTTTTTCCGCTGGATAAGTGCACCTCTTGTAGCATTAGTATTTTCCCATCTGACGTTACAAACTATGCTGCAATGAAGAGCCCTGTGACCATATCATTTCACGCATGCACCAAGTTCCTGGACGTGGTGAGTGGTTTTGGAAAATGACGAAGGTTTTGCCACACTTGTGATTTTGAGAGCAATTGCAAAATTACCTCTTATAGGGCTGTACCAGTTTACACCCCCAGGAGAAACAATGGGGAGTATCTGTTTTCCCACAGCCTCATCAACTCCATGCATTATCAAACTGTTTTATTTTTGCCAACCTGAGAGGTGAAAAGGTGTGTGGTCGAATACAAGTGGCCACGAGTTCTGTGCAGCTCCTTCCATCAAGAGATAGCGTCGATCCTCCTCCTTTCAAATCTGAGCTGGTCTTGTAACTTGGTTTGGCCAATAGAATGAGACATATTGATGTCCCATGAGTTCTGAGCCTGGGCCTTGAGCTCCTGGCCTCAAGAACTTGCAGCTTTGTCAGGGCGCAATGGCTCACCTCTGTAATCCCAGTGCTCTGGGAGGCGGCACGGTAGGGGGATCACTTGAGCCCAGGAGATCAAGACCAGTGTAGGCAACACAGTGAGACCCCGTTTCCAAAAAAGAATAATTAGGCCGGGTGCAGTGGCTCACGCCTATAATCCCAACATTTTGGGAGGCCGAGGTGAGTGGATTATTTAAGGTCAGGAGTTCGAGACCAGCCTGGCCAACATGGTGAAACCTCACCTGTACTACAAATACAAAAATTATCTGGTCATGATGGCGGGTGCCTATAATCACAGCTACTCAGGAGGCTGAGGCAGGAGAATCGCTTGAACCCAGGAAGTGGAGGTTGCAGTGAGCCGAGATCACACCACTGCACTCCAGCCTGGGCCACAGAGCAAGACTGAGTCTCAAAATAATAATGATAATAATAATAATAATTAATAATTAGGCCGGGTGCAGTGGCTCACCCCTGTAATCCCAGCACTTTGGGAGGCCAAGGTGGGTGAATTGCTTGAGCTCAGGAGGTCAAGATCAGTCTGGGCAACATAGCAAGTCCCTGTCTCTACTGAAAATACAAAAAAATAGCCAGGCATGGTGGTGTGCACCTGTATTCGCAGCTATTCGGGAGGCTGAGGTGGGAGAATTGCTTGAGCCCAGGGGATGGAGGTTGCAGTGAGCCGACATCTCACCTCTACACTCTAGCCTGGGTGACAGAGAGAGATCCTATCTCAAAATAAATAAATAAATAAATAAATAAATAAATAAATAAATAAATAAAATTAATAATTAGTTTTAAAAATTTAAACAAAAAGAACTTGTCACTGCTGTTCTCACTTTCTTGCTGCTGAAAACCCTTTGACACTGGATGAAGGAGCCCAGGCTTACCTCTTGCAGGGTGAGAAATCTTGAGGAGAGAGGCTCCCAGCACCCCAAACATCACGGTTGAGAGTCCAGACATATAAATAAGACCATCTGTCAAACTGAATACCTATAAACAATAGACATTTATTTCTCACAGTGCTGGAGGCTGGGAAATCCTAGGTCAAGGCACCAGTAGATTTAGTGTCTGGCAAGATCCTGCTCTCTGGTTCATGGAAGGCATTTTCTTGCTGCATCCTCACCTGTTAGAAGGGACGAAACAGATCTCTGGGGTCTCTCTTATTGACTAATTTTTTTTAGAGCATAGTCTCACTCTGTCACCCATGCTGGAGTGCAGTGGCACAATCATAGCGCATTGCAGTCTTGAACTCTTGGGCTCAAGAGATCCTCCTTCCTTAACCTCCTGAGTAGCTGGGAAGATGGGCATGTCCTACCACGCCTGGCTAACCTTTTTTTATTTTATAGAGACAAGGTCTCCCTTTGTTGCCTAGGCTGGTCTGGAACTCCTGGGCTCAAGCGATCCTCGTGCCTCAGCCTCCCAAAGTGCTGGGATTACAGGCGTAAGCCACTGTGACTGGTTAGTGTCATTTTTATAGGGGTCATTTGTGCTTCTTTTCCTGTCCTCTATTAATTATTATTATTATTATTATTATTATTATTATTTTTGAGACGAGTCTCACCCTGTCCCCCAGGCTGGAGTGCAGTGGTGCAATCTCAGCTCACTGCAACCTCCGCCTCCCAGGTTCAAGCAATTCTCTTGCTTCAGCCTCCCAAGTAGCTGGGACTACAGGTGCACTCCACCATGCCCAGCTAATTTTTTGTATTTTAGTGGAGACGGGGTTTCATGGTGTTGCCCAGGCTGGTCTCGAACTCCTGAGCTCAGGCAATCCACCCATCTTGGCCTCCCAAAGTGCTGGGATTACAGGCGTGAGCCACTGTGCTCCACCCAATTGATTCATAGAAGCTCTGTTAGCCTCCTATGGCTGCTGTAACAAAGTACTACAGACTGGGTGGGTCAGAACGACAAATGTATTGTCTTACAGTCCAGAGTCCAGAAGTCCAAGATCAAGGTGTCATCAGGGCCATAAACCCATAGAGGACTCCTACCTGGCTCTTCCCAGCAGCAGTGGCTTTCTGGCAATCTTTGGCGGTCCTTGGCTTGCAGCTGCCTAGCTCCACTCTCTTCCTTTGTCTTTACATGGCATTATTCCTGTGTCTCTCTGTCGTCACAGGGCCACCTTCTTCTTTTTTTTGAGATGGAGTCTCACTCTGTCACCCAGGCCGGAGTGCAGTGGCACAGTCTCGGCTCACTGCAGCCTCTGCCTGATGGGTTCTAGCGATTCTCCTGCCTCAGCCTCCCAAGTAGCTGGGTCTACAGGCACGCGCCACCACGCCTGGCTAATTTTTGTATTTTTAGTAGAGATGGGGTTTCATCATATTGGCCAGGCTGGTCTCAAACTCCTGACCTCAGGTGATGCACCCACCTCAGCCTCCCAAAGTGCTGGGATTATAGGCGTGAGCCACCGCGCCCGGCCTAGGGCCACGTTCTTATAAGGATGCCAGTCATAGTGATTTGGGGCCCAACCTACTTCAGTATGACTGCAACTTAACTAATTATATCTGCAACAGCCCTATTTCCAAATAAGGTCACATTCTGAGTACTGGGGGTTAGGACTTCAACCTATGTTTTTCTGGTGTGGAGGGGAAGCAATTCAACCCATAACAGGAGCTCCTTATATATTCAGAATATTAGGCCTTGAATTGCAAAGATGATTTCTGCTGTTGCATCTAGGCGGTGGAATAAAAGAGCTGCAAGGTGCTAGAGGCAAGGAAAGCTTTTTTCTTTACACAAACTCAGTGAATATTATTCCTCTGGTCCCTGCTTCTTTCCAAGTCACCCCTAATACCATGAAGCCAGAGAGAGGCATAGCAAAGAAGGCTGCTGAAGGATGAGATGGAAAGAGGCGGGAGCTGGGAGAGAACAGGATGAAACTTCTATTAATAGCTCCTAGTCTTTGCTTGCCCTACTCCAGGGCAGCACCCCTCAGCATGGTGGGTGTAAGTGTAGGAAACAGAGCCAGAATGCAGGGGTTCAAATCCTGACACTACACTTAGCAAGTCAGTTTATCTTATTTTATTTATTTATTTATTTATTTTTGAGACAGAGTCTCGCCCTGTTGTTTAGGCTGGAGTGCAGTGGCGCGTTCTCGGCTCACTGCAACCTCCACCTCCCGGGTTCAAGTGATTCTCATGCCTCAGCCTCCTGAGTAGCTGGGATTACAGGCACCTGCCACCATACCAGGCTAATTTTTATATTTTTTTAAAGTAGAGACGGGGTTTCACCATGTCGGCCAGGCTGATCTTGAAATCCTGACCTCAAGTGATCCTTCCGCCTCGGCCTCCCAAAGTTCTGGGATTACAAGCATGAGGCACCACACCTGGCCTAACAAGTCAGTTTAGAAGCCAGATGTGGTAGTTCAAGCCTATTAATTCCAACACTTTGGGAGGCCAACACTGGAGGAATGATGGAGGCCACGAGTTCAAGACCAGCCTGGGCAACATAGTGAGACCCCCCACCCTCCCCCACCGTCTCTATTAAAAAAAAAAATTCAATCAGCCAGGCAGCCAGACACGATGGCTCATGCCTGTAATCCCAGCACTTCGGGAGGCCAAGGTGAGTGGATCAACTGAGGACAGGAGTTCAAGCCCAGCCTGGCCAACATAGTGAAACCCCGTCTCTACTAAAATACAAAAATTAGCCGAGCATGATGACAGGCATCTGTAATCCCAGCTACTCAGGAGGCTGAGGCAGGAGAATTGCTTGAACCTGGGATGTGGAGGTTGCAGTGAGCTGAGATTGCACCACTGTACTCCAGCCTGGGCAACAGAGCCAGAATCCACCTCAAAACAAACAAACAAACAAAAAAGCTCTCTAAAATCAGCCAGGCTTGGTCACATGGGCCTGTAGTTCCAGTTACTCAGGAGGCTGAGGCAGGAGGATCACTTGAGGCCAGGAACTGGAGGCCGCAATCAGCTATGATCCTGCCGTTGCACTCCAGCCTAGGCAACAGAGCAAGACCGTGTCTCAAAAAATAAAAAATATCAGCTCAATTTAGGCAAGTGAGTTAACCTCTTGTATTGGTGTCCTATTTTGCTGTAACAAATTAGCTTAGATCTAGTGGCTTAAAACAACAGAAATTTATTCTCTCACAGACTGGAGGTCAGAAGTACAAAATGTGTCTCATGTAATCAAAATCAAGGTGTCAGCAGAGCAGTGCCCTGGTCAAGAGATGTCCGGGGTGAGTGATTTCCTTGTCGTTTTCCAGCAGGAGCTGCATTTCTTACGTTTCTTGGTTCTTGGCCATTTCTCCATCATCAAAGCCCGCAGCAAATACCTTCTGTCTCCCACCCTGTTTTCCTCTGCTTCTCTCCCATGACTTACTTTTCTTCTGTCTACAGTCAAATGTCCCTGTCCCTCCTTCCTCCAGGGGCACTTCTGATTACACTTAGGGCCCATCTGGATAATTAGGAAAATGTTCCTGATTAAGTTCCTTAACTTAATCATATCTGCAAAGACCCTTTTTTCCTTTAAGGTAACACCCATAGGCTCCAGGGCTTAGGACCTGGATATTTTCGGGGACCATCTCTCAGCCCACCACACCTCTCTAATCCTCAGTTTCCGTGTGTGTGTACGAAATAGGATATTTACAGATTCACCAATAATATAGATAATACTCTCAAAACAGTACCCACTGTAACACAAACACAATAAACTTGAGACGGGGAGAAACTCATTTAAAGTCTCCTGTTTTAGGCCGGGCGCCGTGGCTCATGCCTGTAATCCCAGGACTTTGGGAGGTGGAGGTGGGCAGATCGCTTGAGCTCAGGAGTTCAAGACCAGCCTGGAGAACATGGTGAAATGTTGTCTCTACAAAAAATACAAAAATTAGCCAGGCGTGGTAGTGCACGCCTGTCATCCCACCTGCTTGGGCAGCTGAGGTGGGAGGATGGCTTGAGCCCAGGAGGTGGAGGTTGCAGTGAGCTGAGATCTCACCACTGCACTCCAGCATGGACGATAAAGCCAGACGTTATCTCAAAAAAATAAAAAGTCTTCCCTTTGGACCTCAGTTTCTCTGCCTGGAAAACGGGGGAAGAGGGTTATTGGACTCAAGGGTTTACCAGCTCTTCCACTCCCCAGGGAGGCCCTGAGTGGAGAGGTCCTCTACATCTAAGAGGTGTCCAGGCCAGGATCTGAAAGCCACATCAGTGTGGCCTGTTAGGCGTCCCAGAAAGGGGAGGTTATGAGCGATGGCCCTTTCCCTACCATCAGCTCAGCCACCCCCCATCCCCCCCACCTCCCCAACCAGAGAAGGACCTTCCCAGCGGCCAGGCCAGAGGGCAGTCACTTCATCATGGCAGGTGGCAAGAGGATGAGGGAGCCCCAAACAGGTGCACACACACACACACACGCATGCATGCAGGCACACTCACACACATGCATGCATACACACACTCACACATGCACATATGCACACACACACACACAGGCACACAAACACGTGCGCGCACACACACATGCACACACATGCACACAAACACATGTGTGCGCACACACGCATGCACGTACACTCACACACATGCACACGCATGCACACACGCGCACACATGCACACACGCACACACACAGTGTCCCTGTATCTCTGTGTCTATTTTGTGTTCTCTGAAGGCAACTGTGTGTTGTTTTCTCTAACTCCTCTGTCAGTCTCTTATCTTCTCTCTCTCCCTGCTTGCCCATTTTTCTTTCTCCCTGTCCTTGTTCTTCGGTTGCTGTTTTCTGTCTCTCTCACTCCCCCCACACCCCCATCTCAGATTTCCCCTGAGCCAGTCTGTCTGTGGGTCTCTTCTCTCTCCCTCTCCCTCGTTTCCCCACCTCCATCTCTATCCCCAGCTCTCTCTCTCTCTCTCTGTCTCTCCCTCTCTTTGCCTCCTCCTCTATCACCCTCTCTGTCTCTGCCTGAAATTCTCCTCTCCACAGGCTGGGGAAGCCCCCGAAACCCATGGGCCTCACCCATGATCCCGCAGGCAGGCAAGAGCTGGGTGAGGCCCAGGTGAGTCACGAGGAGGAAGGAGCCGACATCCCTGCCGTGTTTCTGGAGAGTGTCCAGGTCCTGATCCCTGCATTTCCCTTCCCTTTACACGTCAGCAGAACCTTACAGGTGTGTGTGTGTGTCACTTGAGGGAGAGACAGAGAGAAAGAATCAGAAAGAGAAACAGAAACAATGACACAGAAAGAGAAAGAGAGCCATGGGGAGAGACAGAGAAAAGGGAGAAGCAGAGATAAAAAGACATGAAGAGAGAGACAAACAGATACAGAGATCGAGGTACAGAGAGAGAAAGTGATAGAGTTGGAGAGAGAGAGAGATAGGCATTGAGAGAGAGAAAGAGGGACAGAGACAAAGAAAACAACAAAACAGAGAGATAGAAAAAGACAAAGACACAGGGAGAGACAGAAATTTCAGGAGGCGAGGGCAGCCTTGGGCAGGGATGAGTGGGCTCTGAAATACCTCTCATTCGTTAAAGAGGAAATTGGCTGAGCATAGTGGCTCACACCTGTAATCCCACCACTTTGGGAGGCCAAGGCGGGAGGATCACTCGAACCCAGCAGTTCAAGACCAGCCTGGGGAACAGACCAAGGCTCCATCTCTACAAAAAACACGAAATATGAGAAAATAGCCAGGCATGGTGGTGCACACCCCTAGGTCCCAACTACTCAGGAGGCTGAAGTGGGAGTTTCGCTTGAGCCCAGGAGTTCAAGGCAGCAGTGAGCTATGATCATGCCTCTGTCTCAAAAAAAAAAAAAAAAAAAAAAAAAGGGAAATTGGGAAATTGTGGCTTAGAGAAGTGAGGTCATCCCACCAGGAAGTGGTAGCAGCACAGCACACAGCTCCGCATGACCCTCAAACCTGAGTTTTCTCTTCACTGAGAGATGCCCCCTACCCACCCCAGACCCATTTCATAGGTGGCAAAGCCGGGGATTGATGGAGTGAAGCCATCTGCCCAGGGTCACCCAGAAGCAAGTGGCTGAGCTGGGTCTCAAGCCTGCTTGGACCAACACCCCAACTGTCTATTTCCCCACCTCATGTACATTCCGATCTAGTTTAGTTTTCACACCAGCCCAAGAGGGATCCCCTTCTCCAGCTGAGAAAACTGAGGCTCAGAAAGAAGAATGTCATTGGCCCAGGGTGACCCAGCCAGGGAAGTGCCCACTTCAGCAGCTGACGCGTGATAACTGTTGACGTCAGACTCAATGACAGGCCTCCATCTCCCTTCCTACTCCAGGAAGAGGTGAATGTCCAGAGTTGCAACAATGATAATACTGGCAGCTATCGCTTTTATTGAGCACATACTATGTACCAGGCACTGTGGCAAGCATCTTAGGAGCATTCTTCTTTTTGTTTGTTTGTTTGTTTGTTTTAGATGGAGTCTAGCTCTGTCGCACAGGCTGGAGTGGAGTGGTGCGATCTCGGCTCACTGCAATCTCTGCCTCCCAGGTTCAAGCAATTCTCGTGCCTCAGCCTCCTGCGTAGCTGGGACTACAGGTGCATGCCACCACACCTAGCTAATTTTTTTGTATTTTTTAGTAGAGACAGGGTTTTGCCATGGTGGCCAGGCTGGTCTTGAACTCCTGACCTCAAGTGATCCACCTGCCTTGGTCTCCCAAAGCACTGGTATTATAGACATGAGCCACCATGCTCAGTCATTTTAGGTGGATTCTTTTACCTCCGCAGTACACCAGCCCTGGGAGGGTGATACTTGCTATCTCTACTTTCCAGATAAGGGGCTTGGGCACAGAGATAGATTAAGTAACCTGCTAGAGGTGACACAGCCAATATGTAGATGCAATTTAGATTTTCACAATCTGAGACCAGCTCCCACACTCTTAACCATTGGGCTATACTACCTCTTAGGAAATTCTCTGGGAGTTCTTTTTTTTTTTTTTTTCAGTCTCACTTTTGTTGCCCAGGCTCGAGTTCAGTAGCTCGATTTTGGCTCACTGCAGCCTCAAACCCCTGGGGCTCAAGTGATCCTCCCACCTCAACCAGAGAGTAGCTGAGACCACAAGTGTGCACCACGACACCTGGCTAATTTTTCTATTTTTCATAGAGACAAGGTCTCGCTATGTTGTCCAGGCTGTAATTTTATTTTTTTATAGATACAAGGTCTTACTATGTTGCCCAGGGTGGTCTCGAACCCCTGAGCTCAAGCAATCCTCCAGCCTTCGCCTCCCAAAGTGCTGAGATTATAGGCATGAACCACTGTGCTCACCATTGGGAGTTTTTTTGTTTTTTGTTTTCTAACCTTATCTTAAAATCATTAGCTTACAGCTTCAATGAGTTAGTAAGAATCACATAGTACAGGCTGGAAGCGGTAGCTCATGTCTGTAATTTCAGCAATTTGGGAGGCCAAGGTGGGTGGATCACCTGTAGTCAGGAGTTAGAGACCAGCCTGGCAGACATGGTGAAACCCCATCTCTACTAACAATACAAAAATTAGGGCCGGGTGCGGTGGCTCACCCCTGTAATCCCAGCACTTTGGGAGGCTGAGGCAGGTTGATCATCTGAAGTCAGGAGTTCGAGACCAGCCTAGCCGACATGGCGAAACCCCATCTCTACTAAGAATACAAAAATTAGGGCTGGGCGCAGTGGTTCAAGCCTGTAATCCCAGCATTTTGGGAGGCTGAGGCGGGTGGATCACCTGAAGTCAGGAGTTCAAGACCAGTCTGGCCAGCATGGTGAAACCCCATCTCTACTAAAAATGCAAAAAATTCGCCAGGCATGGTGGAGAATGCCTGTAATCTCAGCTACTCAGGAGGCTGAGGCAGGAGAACCTCTTGAACCTGGGAGGCAGAAGTTGCAGTGAGCCGAGACCGTGCCATTGCACTCCAGCCTGGGTAACAAGAAAGAAACTCCGACTCAAAAAAAAAAAAAAAATAGCCAGGCATGCATGAGAATCCCTTGAACCTGGGAGGTGGAAGTTGCAGTGAGCCGAGACCACGCCATTGCATCCAGCCTGGGAGACAAAGTGAGACTCTGTCTCAAAAACAACAACAACAACGACAACAAATCACATAGTATAATCATTATTACAGCAGTAGAAGTAGCTACCACTTACTCATCCCCTACGACTCTCTTCCTCTCCTAATCTGTTCCAGCCACACTGACATCTCTTCTGTTCCTAGAATCTCATCAGGCTTCCACCTCAAGGCCTTTGCACTGGTTGTTCCTGCTCCTTGGAAAGGTTCCCTGCCCATCTGCCCTACTTCTTCCCTCACTGCATTCAGCCTCTGCTTGAATGCCACTTGCTCAGGGAACCCCTCCTGGATCACCCACCTAAAACAGCTCACACCTCATTTGCACCCAGATACTTCCTTCAGCCTGCTTTGTTTTCTCCAGTTTGCTTATCCCTCTCAGACAGTGAAAGATTAGATAACACATATCTGCTCCCCACTGTCAACACAACAAAAGGTGGGAACTTTGCTTTGCGTCCTGCTGTGCCCCTAGCTCCTGGACCAGTGCCCAGCACAAAGTAGGTCCTTGGTAGATGTTAAAGGAATGTGTTGAGCCCTCCATTTCGGCCAGCAGCTATTCCAGGCATTGCACCTACATTAAATTGCTCTGTTTAGTTAGATGCATCCTAAGACGGGGAGACAATTTTATCTTTAGTATTTTATTTTACTTAAAAAAAAAAAAAACTTGGCCAGGTGCAGTGGCTCATGCCTGTAATCCCAGCACTTTGGAAGGACAAGGCAGGTGGATCACCTGAGGTCAGGAGTTCGAGACCACCCTGACCAACATGGTGAAACCCCATCTCTACTAAAAATACAAAAATTAGCCGGGTGTGCTGGCGTGCCCCTGTAATCCCAGTTACTCAGGAGGCTGAGGCAGGAGAATTGCATGAACCCAGGAGGCGGAGATTGCAGTGGCCGAGATTGCACCACTGCACTCTAGCCTGGGTGACAGAGTGAGAC
The DNA here is from genome assembly GCF_000001405.40 of Homo sapiens. Classification (NCBI taxonomy): domain Eukaryota; kingdom Metazoa; phylum Chordata; class Mammalia; order Primates; family Hominidae; genus Homo; species Homo sapiens. The sequence continues at coordinate 43,671,696 of NC_000019.10, read as the reverse complement.
TTCGTCTCAATAAATAAATAAATAAATAATAAAAAGAAAGAAAAAACTTATTATAAGCCTTTTCAAACCCACAGAAAAGGAGACAGAATGGCATAATATGCCCTTATATACTGATTACCTTTATATAATTGATACAACCATTTGGCTATTTTGCCTTTATTTTCTACTCAAGTATTTATTTATTTATTATTTTTTTGAGACAGGGTCTCGCTCTGTTGCCCAGGTTGGAGTGCAGTGGTGCAATCATAGCTCACTGCAGCTTCCAGTTCCCAGGTTCAAGCGGTCCTCCCACCTTAGCCTCCCAACTACCTAGGACTACAAGTACGGGCCACTGCACCCAGCTAATTTTATTTTATTTTTAATTTCTTTTGGAAAGATGAGGGCTCTTTATGTTTCCCAAGCTGATCTTGAACTCCTGGCCCCAAGTGATCCTCCTGCCTTGGCTTCCCAAAGCATTGGTGTTACAGGCATGAGCCACCTCATCTGACCTCTTCTAAAATATTATAAAATAAATACAGACATCAAAATGAAAACAAAAGAAAAAGAAAAAACAAAACAAAAATCCCCAAAACAACAACAACAAAAAATGCAGACATCAATAACATTCACCACTAAATACTCTAGTAAGCATCTGCAAAAACAAACAAACAAACAAAAACCAGAATCCCACCTAAGCATACAGCCATTGTCGTAACAGTGATATCTACTTTTTTGGCTGAAGTGTCTTTTTTTTTTTTTTTTTTTTTTTCTGTGAGAAGGAGTCTTGTTCTGTTGCCAGGCTGGAGTGCAGTGGCACGATCTCGGCTCACTGCAACCCAACCTCCGCCTCCCGGGTTCAAGCGATTCTCCTGCCTCAGCCTCCTAAGTAACACACACACGCCACTACGCCCGGCTAATTTTTGTATTTTTAGTAGAGACGGGGTTTCACCATTAAGTGTTTTAATGTAGGTGCAATGCCTGGAATAGCTGCTGGCCAAAATGGAGGGCTCAACACATTCCTTTAACATTTACCAAGGACCTACTTCGTGCTGGGCACTGGTCCAGGAGCTGGGGGCACAGCGGGAAGCAAAGCAAGGGTTAAGTGTTTTAAGTGTTTAAGAGATGCATATTTCAGGATGCATCTCTAGATAAGGACATTTTCCAAAATACCAGTATCCCTCCTGACAAAACTAACAAAAATCCTGTTAGCCAAATAATCAGCCACATTCATATTTACCGTCAAAGTTTTTATCCTCATTTTACAGCAGTGGAGAGCGATTGCCCCGGGTCCCACGTTAGGAAGAGAGAGAACTGGGATTTGCACCCAGGCAATCTGGGGACAGAGCTGTGATCACAACTCCATGAGTCAGGGCCGAGCCAGCCCCTTCACCACCAGCCGGCCGCGCCCCGGGAAGGGAAGTTTGTGGCGGAGGAGGTTCGTACGGGAGGAGGGGGAGGCGCCCACGCATCTGGGGCTGACTCGCTCTTTCGCAAAACGTCTGGGAGGAGTCCCTGGGGCCACAAAACTGCCTCCTTCCTGAGGCCAGAAGGAGAGAAGACGTGCAGGGACCCCGCGCACAGGAGCTGCCCTCGCGACATGGGTCACCCGCCGCTGCTGCCGCTGCTGCTGCTGCTCCACACCTGCGTCCCAGGTAGGGGCTGGGTCCCGAACGCCTGCGCCTGGAACAGGGTCTAATTGAGGGGGTTGGGGGTTGTCAGAGGATGAGTTGGAGGAATGCGGTTCAGTCCTCAGCATCCTCCCTAATCAAATAATAGTAATTCTCGTGCTTTGTGCAACGCCACGCGGCGCAGTACCTGGCACTCAGTAGCTAAGGAAATATTAGTGGAGCAAAGGCATTTAGCTTTACATAATTTAGTGAGTGCTTTTTTTTTTTTTTTTTTTTTTTTGACAGAGTCTCACTCTGTCGCCCAGGCTGGAGTGCAGTGGCGCGATCTCGGCTCACTGCAACCTCTGCCGCCCGGGTTCAAGCGATTCTCCTGCCTCAGCCTCCTGGGTAGCTGGGATTACAGGCGCCTGCCATCGCGCCCGGCTAATTTCTGTATTTTTAGTGGAGACCGGGTTTCACTCTGTTAGCCAGGATGGTCTCAATCTCCTGACCTCAGATGATCCACCTGCCTCGGCCTCCCAAACTGCTGGGATTACAGGCGTGAGCCACCGCGCCCGGCCCAAGTGTTCTTTTTTTAAATGGAGTTCTTCGAAGCCTCTTCCTTGCAATTTCAAACTAGGCGATGGGACTTTATTAATTTCGTTTCGCAGAGGAAACTAGGGCACAGAGAGGTTAGATAACTGGCCTAAAATCACACAGCCAGTGCTTGAATACGCAGGATCTGACCCTGCAGCGCCCCCCAGCGCTCTCCACGCTGCTGGGTCTCCCCCTCTGAGAAACGGGGGGACAGGACCCCCTTTTACAAAAGGCCCAAAGGGAGGCTGACTGAGCGGCGCAGAGCCAGTGCTGGAGACCCGGGACTGTCCCTCAGGACCTTTCCCTCTCACTGAGGCGACTCTCACTTACTTCCCCGGAAAATGTGGGGGGCTCTGGGTCGAGGAATTCGAGAAGGAACTGAGTCAGGGCGGGTGGCCACAGGGTGTTGGGGCCGCGATGAATAACCCGGAAAGCGCTCGAGACCGCGGGAGGCCGGGAATGAGTAACAGCTCCGGGATACTCCGAACGCGCAGCTGGAAAGGGATGTCCGGGAAGGCCCGGAGGTCGGGGACCGGGCCTAGGGACTGGGCTGCAATCTCGGGGCGGAGCCTGGGGCGGGGAGAGAGTGTCGGGGAGGAGCCAGAGGGCGGGGCTGGAACCTCAAGGAAGAGCTACGGGAGAGGTTACAGACCGAGGAAGAGCTAGGAGCGGGGCTAGAACCTCGAGGCGGAGCCAGAGGGCGGGGTTATAACCTCGAGGCGTAACCAGAGGGCGGAGTTATAACCTCGGGAGGAGCTAGAAGGTGGGACTAGACTCTTGAGGGGCAGGATTATAACCTCGGGGAGGAGCTAGAGGGCGGGGCTGGAACCTCAAGGAGGGGCTAGGGGCGGGGTTATAAGCTTGGGGAGGAGCTACGGGGCTGGGCTAGGACCTCAAGGGGCCAAGGGGCGGGGGTTACGACCTCGGGGAGGAGCTACAGGGTGGGGCTGAAACCTCAAGAAGGGACTGGGGCGGAGTTATGACCTCAGGGGAAAACTAGGGGCGGGGAGAGCTAAAGGGCGAAGTTAGAATCTCAAGGAGGAGCTAGAGGGAGGGACTAAAGCCTCGAGGAGGAGCTAGGGGCGGGGTTATGGCATCGGGGAGGAGCTAGGGGGCGGGAAGATAAGGTCAGGAAGAGCTAAAGGGCGGGGCTAGAACCTCGACGATGAGTCTGGAGCGGGGCCAAAACCTAGTTGGAGAGCTGGAGGGCGGAGACAGAACTTCGCGGGAAACTAGAGTATCTAACAATAGAAACTCCGGAGGGCTGATGGGGCCGGGCCTAGAATTTGGGAATAAATTAGTGGGCCGGGAGAGGCTCTGGAGCCGGGTAGAACCAGGGGGAGTGAGTGGAGGGATAGTTCCATTAGGGCACTGGGAGTGACGGTATAACATAAAGATCGACGCGGGTGGGGCAAGGCTAGAACGTCCCCAGCAGAACTGGAGAGGCGTAATCGACCGAGGGCCGGTGCGGTGAGAAAGACCTAATAGGAGCAGGAATAGAACGTACTGATAGAGAGGGCGGGGATACGACTGTCAGGATATACGCCTCACGAGGACAGAATGAAAGGAAAAACGGGCCAAGGCAGGACTTTGGGAAAGGACTTGTGGGCAGGGATAGAACGTTCAGTTAGTGGGGTGGAGGTAGAACGTGGACAACGGACAGACTGGAAGTACCGCCGGCCGGAACCCAGCAGAACATGGACACGAATCTGAATGGACGGGGCCTGGAGACTTGGTGTTGGTATTGGGACATGCAGGGGTGAGCGGGGGTCTTGGAGCTAAGCGTAGTTAACCTCTCCTCTCCTCTCCCTCCTTCCCCCAGCCTCTTGGGGCCTGCGGTGCATGCAGTGTAAGACCAACGGGGATTGCCGTGTGGAAGAGTGCGCCCTGGGACAGGACCTCTGCAGGACCACGATCGTGCGCTTGTGGGAAGGTGAGCTTCCCCCCAACCCACACACCCCTCCAGCGCAGCATGGAACGCGAGTGATTGAGAAACCTTCCTCACCAGTAACTGGGACATGCAAACTAAAAACAAACAAACAAGGAGAGCCCATTTCACACCCACCAGATTGGCAAGCATTTAAAAATCTGACAATACCCGGGTTAGTAAGGATGTGGAGTTGCAGACCGTGTCTGTGGTGGGGGAGTAAATTGGCACATCAACCACTTAGAGCGATTCGGCAATATCTAGTCCAGATGAAGATTAACATATGCTACAGCTCAACTCCTCGCCATGCAGAAATGCCAAAGAACCTTGGCCACATATACCCAGGGACACATGTATACGAATGTTCTTAGCAGCAATGTTTGTGACATGGAAAATTGGAAACAGGCTGGGCACTGGCTCACACCTGTATTTCCAGCACTTTGGGAGGCAGAGGCGGATGAATTGCTTGAGGTCAGGAGTTCAAGACCAGGCTGGCCAACATGGTGAAACACCCGTCTCCACACACACACAAAAAAGGAAAAATTAGCCGAGTGTGGTGGCACGCACCTGTAATCTCAGCTACTTGGGAGGCTGAGACAGGAGAATTGCTTGAACCTGGGAGGTGGAGGTTGCAGTGAGCTGAGATCATGCTACTGCACTCCAGCCTGGGCGACAGAGCGAGATCCTGTCAAAAAAATGAACGAAAGAGAGAAAGGTGGGCCGGGCATGGTGGCTCACACCTGTAATCCCAGCACTTTGGGAGGCTGAGGCAGGTGGATTACCTGAGGTCAGGAGTTCAGGACCAGCCTGGCCAACATGGTGAAACCCTGTCTCTACTAAAAAATACAAAAATTAGCCGGGCTTGGTGGCAGGCACCAGTTATCCCAGCTACTCGGGAGGCTGAGACAGGAGAATTGTTTGAACCCAGGAGGCGGAGGTTGCAGTGAGCTGAGATTGTGCCATTGCACTCCAGCCTGGGCGACAAGAGCAAAACTCCATCTCAAGAAAGAAAGAAAGAAAGGAAAGGAAGAGAGAGAGAGAGAAAGAGAGAGAGGAAGGGAGGGAGGGACGGAGAGAGGCAGGGAGGGAGGGAGGGAGGAGGGAGGAAGGAAGGGGAGAAAGAAAGAAAAGAAGAAAATGGAAACGACTTTATGTCAGTCAGCAAGTCAGCAGCAGAAGAGAAACACTGTGGTAATAATTACATAATGGAGCGCTCTACTGCAGCTTAAAGAAGGAAATAGAGCTGCAGATACCAATGTGGACACATCTCAGAAACCTAAGGTTGAGAGGGAAAAAAATGTTGCAGAATATGATACGTTTTTTATAAGCTTTAAGAACACATGAAACAACAGTATATGAAGCCAAGCACAGTAGCTCACATTTGTACCCCTAGCTACTCAGGAGGCTAAGGCAGAAGGATTCCTTGAGCCCAGAAGTTCGAGGTTGTGGTGAGCTATGATTGCCCCAGCTGGGACAACAGAGACCCTGTTTCTAATAAATAAATAAATAAAATAAAGTTACATTTGAGGCATCTCAGTACTGAGATCACTAAGCTGAGGGTGTGGGGGAGGGATAGATGGATCCAGAAAGTCCCAGTTGTAGTGCTGTCACTACAAGAGCAGGAGTGGGACACAGTGGCTCACACCTGTAATTCCAGCACTTTGGGAGGCCAAGGTGGGAGGATCACTTGAGGCCAGGAGTTTGAGATCAGCCTGGGCAACATAGTGAGATGCCATCTGTATAAAAAATTTAAAAATTAGCAGGGTGTGGTGATGTAAGCCTGTGGTTCCAGCTACTCGGGAGGCCGAAGCAGGACTGCTTGAGCCTGGGAGGTCAAGGCTCCAGTGAGCTATGATTGCACCACTCCAGCCTGGGTGACAGAGCAAGACCCTGTCTCCCGGAAAAAAAAATTAATTAATTAATTAATTGAAATAAAATAGAGCAGGCTCCTTGTTGGGGTGGGGGTGGAGGCAAGGTTAACTCTAGAAAAAGACAGAGTTCGACTCAAATAACAGAAGAGGCCTAGCAGAGATCAGCCCTGGGAGTGGATGACCTTGAGACCAGGAGTGTCAGAGGCTGGTTGAGCTGAGAGGAGCCTCTGGGGTAATGAAGATCCCCTCCTTGCAGAAGGAGAAGAGCTGGAGCTGGTGGAGAAAAGCTGTACCCACTCAGAGAAGACCAACAGGACCCTGAGCTATCGGACTGGCTTGAAGATCACCAGCCTTACCGAGGTTGTGTGTGGGTTAGACTTGTGCAACCAGGGCAACTCTGGTGAGTAGGGCAGCCCTTGCCATCCCCAACCCCAAGCCATCCCCAGCTCAACCTCATCATCATCCCAATCCTATTCTTAACTTTACATCAGCTGAACCCCAACTCCATGCCTTATCCAAGTCCCAACCCCAACCCAACCCATCTCTAGCTCAGCTCCATCCCCAACTCATTCTTGACCCCATATCCAACCCCAACTCAACTTCACCTCCAATCCTATGCCCAACTTCATGTTACCCTAACACTGTTCCCAACTCAAACCCAGCCCTGTTCCAAGCACAGTTCCAACCCCATCCCCAAATCAACCCCATCCTTATCTCAGACTACCCAAATCCCCACCCCAACGACACAATTACTTTCATCCTTAACCCAATCCCCATCCTGCATGTTTGTATGTATGGTTGTTATGTATAACTTGCAACTCTGCCCTTAACAAGCTCACACGCATGCATGAGACATAGATGAGATGTCTCAGTGATGTTTGTCCATCTGACTGGGCAGGAGATGGTCCTGCCCAATCCATTGGGACGGGAGATGGTCCAAGCAATAGATACTGAGGGGCCAGGATTCAAGCAAAGACTTGACGTTCTTAAGGGAAGTCGAAAGAGGGGAAGATTAAATGGGCCGCAGTAGGCTGGGAGAATCCTCTGCAATAGATGGTCTCTGACTTGGGCAGTGAAAAAACAAATGTGAGGAAATGTCCATAATAGGCTGGGTGTGGTGGCTCATGCCTGTAATCCAAGCACTTTGGGAGACCAAGGCGGGAGAACCGCTTGAGCCCAAGAGTTTAAGACCAGCCTGGGCAACAACCATAAGCCCCTTTGTCGAATTTCATGGCTTCAGGCTCTGATCATTTTAAGAAAAAGACTTAGAAAAGGTCAAATTTTCCTAAATTCCCACAGGAGAGGAAGGGTGGGGAAGGAATGGGTCCATGGTGCATGGATCCATCCGTGAAAGAGATTCCTCTTTCTGGACCTGGTGAGGAAGGAAATAGGGTAAGGCCAGTCTAGTCATGGTTGGTGACATCAGTGAGCAGAGTGCTGCGTTTGCACTGGGTTTTCTTTGTTCTTCATTCATCCTGATTCTGCCTGGTTTTCATCCATCCTGACCTCAAACACTAATCCGCTGGTGGGGCCAAATCAGATGTTTGTTTTGAGGAAGTGACGAGAGGATGTGGGCTTCCCGTCTCGGTGAGATGTGCTTAAGGAAAGCACCAATACTTGGGTCTAAGTAGTGCATTCAATCAGAGATGATAGCGAAAATATTTAACAATATTGGTCAGTGCTGGGACAAACTCCTGGAGTCCGCTGCTGGGCCTGGTGTTGCCCCTTTCCATGATGGGTCACAGGGACATGAAGGGTCCTGGGGAGAGAGTTGGCAGTGGTCAGGGATCCACCAGGAGCTTAGAGCAGCAGCTATCAATTCAGGAATCTAATAACTGAGATACCTATATCATCCCTTTTTCTTTTCTTTTTTCTTTCTTTTTTTTTTTGTTTCCTTTTGTTTTTGTTTTTTTTTTTTGTTTGTTTGTTCGTTTGAGATGGAGTTTCACTCTTCTTGCCCAGGCTGGAGTGCAATGCCACGATCTCGGCTCTCTGCAACCTCCGCCTCCTAGGCTCGAGCGATTCTTCTGCCTCAGCCTCCCAAGTAGCTGGGATTACAGGCATGCGCCACCACGCCCAGCTAATTTTGTATTTTTAGTAGAGATGAGGTTTCTCCATGTTGGTCAAGCTGATCTTGAACTCCTGACCTCAGGTGATCTGCCCGCCTCAGCCTCCCAAAGTGCTGGGATTACAGACGTGAGCCACCGTGCCCGGCCTCATCCCCATTTCTAATGCCATTGTACCCTGCTTGTGGCAACTTGCATAGTTGGTTAAACTGCACTCAGTACTTACATGATGCTGGGAACACAGCAGGGACCAAGACAGCCTTGTGCCCTGCCTGACTCCATGGGACTCACAGTCCTGTGTGTGTGTGTGTGTGTGTGTGTGTGTGTGTGTGTGTGTGTGTGTGTGTGTAGGGGTGACAGACCCATCCATCACCAGACAGTGACTGATTATTAGGTTAATGCAAAAGTAATTGTGGCTTTTGCCATTAAAAGCAATGGCAGAAACCACAATTACTTTTGCACCAACCTAATAGATTTGTCTGGGCTATGAAGGGGGAAACACAGGCAGAGGGGTCAGGGCTGGGATGAGGGAAGAGTAGGAGCTGTGGGACCCTAGAGGAGATACCTGACTCAGGTCAGGGAAGGTTTCCTAGGGGAAGCAACAGCTAAGCTGGATCTTGAAGGATGAGTAGGAATCAGACTATTAAACAGCTAATGGAGGCTGGGTGCAGTGGCTCACGCCTGTAATCCCAACACTTTGGGAGGCCCAGGTGGGAGGATTGTTTCAGACCAGCCTAGGCAACATGACTCTACAAAAAAATTAAAAAATTAGCCAGATGTGATGGTACATGCCTGTGATCCCAGCTCCTTGGGAGGTTGAGGCGGGAGGATCACTATAGCCCAGGTGGTGGAGGCTGCAGTAAGCTATGATCGCACCACTGTACCCCAGCCTGGGTGACAGAGCGAGATCCTGCAAAAAAAAAAAAAAACAGTGGAAAGGGTTTTCCAGCAGAGGGAGCAGCAGATACAAAGGTGGCCAAAAGCAGTGTGGCTGGACAAAGGAAACAGTACAGTGGGGCGAGATGAGCTGGAAAGCTTGGCAGGGGCATGTTACACAGGGGTTTCTAGACATTGTCCTGGGAGCACTGGGGCATCACAGAAGATTTTAAACAGCGAATGTCATGATCGCAATTATTTATTTATTTATTTTTGAGATGGAGTTTCGCTCTTTTTGCCCAGGCTGGAGTGCAATGGTGCGATCTCAGCTCACTGCAACCTCCGCCTCCTAGGTTCAAGTGATTCTCCTGCCTCAGCCTCCCAAGAAACTGAGATTACAGGCACCCGCCACCATGCCCGGCTAATTTTTTTGAATTTTTAGTAGAGATGGGGTTTCACCATGTTGGCCAGGCTGGTCTCGAACTCTTGACCTCGTGATCCACCCACCTCGGCCTCCCAAAGTGCTGGGATTACAGACGTGAGCCACCGCGCCCGGCCCCCATTTATATTTTTAACAAATTATTCTGACCTCAGGACAGAAGATAGACTGAAAGGAAGCAAGAGTAGATGAGGGGAAACCAACTTGGGGGTGGGCGAGGTTGTCCAGGTGGAGAAGAGGGCAGCAGGACTAGGGTGTCAGGTGTGCAGAGGAAGAAAAGTGGATAGATTTAAGAGCTATTCAGGCTAGGCACAGTGGCTCACGCCTGTAATCCCAGCACTTTGGAAGGCCAAGGCAGGAGGACTGCTTGATCCCAGGAGTTGGAGGCTGCAGTGATCACGCCACTGCACTCCAGCCTAGGCGGCAGAGCAAAACCCTGTCTCAACCAAAGCCGAACAAGAGCTATTAAGAAGCAGGCCTTAGTGGTGGATTAGATGTGGGAGGGGACCTGCAATTCTGGTCATGATGGAGTCACTTGTATCAGACCAACCCTTCTGCCAATGACAGTTGCAAATGCTGGACAAATAATAAACAATTATTGGAAGTCACTGGAGAGCAGCAAATGAAAGGAGAAACTTGGCTGGGCAAAGTGGTTCATGCCTGTAATCCCAGCACTTTGGGAGGCCAAGACAGGTGAATTGCTCGAGCTCATGAGTTCAAGACCAGCCTGGGCAACATGGCGAAACCCCGTCTCTACTAAAAATACAAAAGTTAGCCAGGCGTGGTGGCACATGCCTGTGGTCCCAGCTACTTGGGTGGCTGAGGCACAAGAATTGCTTGAACCCGGGAGGTAGAGGTTACAGTGAGCCAAGATCACACGACTGCACTCCAGCCTGGGCGACAGCGCGAGACTCCATTTCAAAAAAAAAAAAAAGAAAAAAGAAAGAAAGGAGAAACTTGAGGCGCTACAATCTCTGAAATAACAGAAGTGTAGAATTTGGGTTCCACAGACAACCTGGCTTTTTCCCGGAGCGCACTTGCCAATCTGCTGCTGTGGAAGGGAAATAGAGCCCAGACGGAAAGAGAGTCGCTAGACTGAGAAGACGGAGGTTGGAGTTTGGGGCTGCCAGAATGTCTGGAAGATGAGAGTTAAAATCCTGGAATGGATGGGACCACAGAAAAGGGAGTTCCCAACCTGCAAACAAATCTCCCTCAAGTCATTGGCAAGCTCTACATGCACAGGGTGAGAGTCCAAGAAACTTGGAAGAGAAAAATAGCAACTGGGAAGCTACAAAAGCGAACAAGGCTTCCAGCAGACATGTGATGCTGGGGACACAGGTTGCCAAGCTGAAGAGGCCTTGGTAAGCATCTCAGGCTTTCCCCCTAAGACCACCCCAGGGGTAAGGGCCAAAGTGAAATAGACCAGCCCTAAACAAGCCTAGGTCCAGTCCTTGACAGGAATGAAAACCTGACTCTCTGTGGAAGAAGAAAACATCGTTTAGGCCCTTGACAGATTTTTATCTAGAATGTCTGGCGTCTGATCAAAATTTACAAGATAGCTAGGCATGGTGGCATGCGTCTGTAGTCCCAACTACTTGGAAGGATTTCTTGAGCCTGAGAGTTCTGGGCTGTAGTGTGCTATATCAACCGGGTGTCTGCACTAAGTTTGGCATCAATATGGTGATCTCCCAGGAGCAGGGGACCACCAGGTTGTCTAAGGAGGGGTTGAAGCAGCCCAGGTCAGAAATGGAGCAGGTCAAAACTCCTGTGATGATCAGTAGCAGGATTATGCCTATGAATAGCCACTGCACACCAGCCTGGACAACATAGCAAGACCCCATCTTTAAAAAAAAAAAAAACCAGGCCGGGCATGGTGGCTCAAGCCTGTAATCCCAGCACTTTGGGAGGCCGAGGTGGGAGGATTACAAGGTCAGGAGTTCATGACCACACTGGCCAACATGGTGAAACCCCTTCTCTACTAAAGATACAAAAAAAAAAAAAATTAGCCGGGTATGGTGGCACACACCTGTAATACCAGCTACTTGGGAGACTGAGGCAGGAGAATTGCTTGAACCAGGGAGGTGGAGGTTGCAGTGAGCCGAGATCACACCATTGCACTCCAGCCTGAGCGAGAGGGCAAGACTCTGTCTCAAAACAAAACAAAACAAAACAAAACAAAACGCAAGACTCTGTCTCAAAACAAAACAAAACAAAAAACAAAAAATAAAAAACAGTAACAAAAAACCTTACAAGGTATCCTGAAGAAAATAAAAGGGACCAATTGACCAGAAACCAAGAGAAAAATCCAACTGTAGAAACAGAATTGTAGCAACTCAGATATTGGATTATAGGACAGGAAACATGAAAATTGCTACAATCGATATATTCAGGAAAACAGAAGAAAGGATATGTTTTAGCACCTGGAATCCATTTTTTAAAAGAGTCCAACAGAAAATATAGAACAGTGACTCAAATGAAGAACTCGGCAGTTATGCTTGATAGAGGTCAGAAACAGCAGAGCAAAAGGATTAAGGAGCTAGAAGACAGAACAGTAGAAGCATGTCGGTTGATGCACAGATGTGGAAGATAAGGGGGTCTGCCAGGTTTCTGCCCCGGGGACTGGATGGGGCCGCCTTGGACGCGTGGACTTCAAGAAAAAGAGCAGTTGTGGGAGAAGATGGGGAGTTTTGTTTAGGACAGGTGTTTGAGGTATAGCCATGGGGCCTCGAAGAGACAGTTGCGTGTCTGGAGCTCAGAGAGAAGTCTAGACTAGAGAGAGATTTGTGAGTGATGAGCAGATAGATGGAAATGAAGTCATGTCAATATTTACCCCATGAGAGAGTCTATACTGTGAGAGATAAAAAGGGCTTAAAACAGAGCCCTGGCCAGGTGCGGTACTCACGTCTGTAATCCCAGCACTTTAGGAGGCCGAAGCGGCAGGATCATTTGAGTCCAGGAGTTCGAGACTAGCCTGGGTAACATAGCAAGACCTTGTCTCTACAAAAATACAGGAATCAGCCAGGTGAACTGGCACATGCCTGTAGTCTCAGCTACTCAGTAGGCTGAGATGGGAGAATCACCTGAGCTCAGGGAGGTCGAGGTGGCAGTGAGCCACTGCACTCCAGCCTTGGGACAGAGCAAGACCCTATCTCAAAAAAAAAAAAAAAGAAAAGAAAAGAAAAAGGAAAATAGCCCTAAGGATCATTGGCATTTACAAGAGTTCACACCAGAGACCCATGAGTGACCACCCAGAGTGGGCAGAACTAGAAATGGGGAATTCAAGGGGCAGTGGGAGCTCAGAGCAGGTACCCGTTCCAGGCTGATGGGTCAGGGAGGGCTTCCTAGAGGAGGTGAAATTGAAGATGACAGCTGAAGAATGAATAGGAGTTAGAGAAAGTAGGGCTCAAGGAAAAGGTGTTCTAGGTATGAACAGCTATGTTGGCAATGGTGAGAATTTGTGTTTTCATTTTCATGGAAGTTTGTGTGAGAAGACGTGGGTGGCCTTGTAGTTATTTTTCTTTGAGGGGGACGATTGGGCTTTGGATGTAAATGATTCGCCTAATTACAGCTAGCGGCCTGCCAGTTGAGAACCTTGGCTGACATGGTCCTCTCACTTTTTTAAGACTTGGCCTGGACTCAGCTTAGATGTGTCTTGGGTCAGGACGGGGAGGGCATGCCAAGCATGGGAAATGGTGTGAGCCAAGGGCTGGGTAGAGGAATGACTCTGGTGTTTCCAGGGAAAAGTAACGGATCCAGTTGGCCAACACCACAAGGTTCGTGCAAAAGGCGAAGTGATCAGGAATCAGTCAAGTGAGTCTTTGATCCCTGGGACAATTAGGTAGTGTATTATCTATTGCTTATCTATTATCTATTGCTGCATTACAGATTGCAGCAATAAAATAAGCATGTGTTATTTCACAAAGTTTCTGAAGGTCAAAAACCCTGGAGTGGCTTAGCTAGGTGGTTCTGGCTCAGGATCCTTCATGAGCCTGCAGTCGAGATGTCAGCTGGGGCTGCAGTCATCTGAAGGCTCCTAAGGTAGCTTCACTCACATGAATGCTCCCCTCCCATGGCTTTGGCACAGGCCTCAGTTCTGCCACGTGAACTTTCCCATGGTGCTACTTGAGTGTCCTCACAACATGGCTGCTGCTTGCCCCAGAAAAAGTGATCCAAGTGAGAGAGCCAGGCATGTGTTCTATGATCTAGCCACAGAAGGCATACACCATCATTTCCATAATATCCAGTTGACTACATAGGGCATCCTTATTCTTTTCTTCTTCTTTTTTTTTTTTAATTTAAAGACAGAGTCTTGCTATGTTGCCCAGACTAGTCTCAAACTCCCAGACTCAAGCAATCCTCCCACCTCGGCCTCCCAAAATGCTGGGATTACAGGCATGAGCTGCTGCACCCAGCCAGCCCTATTCTTTAAGGGCATGAATACCAGGGAGCAGAGATTATTGGGGGCCATTTTGGAGACAGGCTACCACAGGGAACAATAGAAGGGTTTTAAGTAATTGCTCATTCATTCATTCATTTAACAAATATGCATTGAATATCTTATCTGTCCCTGGCCATGTGCCAGGTGGTGTTGGGACACAGTAGTGATCAAGACAGCCCCTGGCCCTGCCCTCCTGGGGGCTCACAGTCCAGTAGAGGAGACATACCTGTCACCAGACAGTGACCACCCAGAGTGGGATGGGGGAGTACAGGGGTGTGTGGGAGCCTGGTGGATCAGGAAGGGCTTCCTAGAGGAGGTGAAATTAGAGCTGACACCTGAAGAATGAGTAGGAGTTAGGGAAGGCAGAGAGCAAAGGAAAGGTGTTCTAGACAGAAACAACGGCATATGCAAAGGCCTGGATGCCAGGGAACATGTGTCGTCGCAGACTGTGGGAAGTCAGTGTGGAGCAGAGTCTCAGGGTGTAGTGGAGGGAGACGAGGCAGGAGAGGTGCTCAGGCCCCAGTATTTGATAGGCTTTGAATCCCATGCTGAGGATCTTGGAATTTATTTTCAGGGCAGTAGGGAGCTATGGAAGAGTCTTGAGCAGAGGAGAGACAGGGTCAGATATGAGTATTAGAAATATCCTTCTAAGGGCCCGAGTGCAGTGGCTCATGCCTGTAATCCCAGCACTTTGGGAGGCCAAGGCATGTAGATCACTTGAGGTTAGGAGTTCGAGACCAGCCTGGCCAACATGGTGAAACCCTGTCTCTACTAAAAATACAAAAATTAGCCCAGCGTGATGGTGCACGCCTGTAGTCCCAGCTATTCGGGAGGCTGAGGCAGGAGAATCACTTGAACCCGGGGAGTGGAGGTTGCAGTGAGCCAAGATGGTGCCACTGCGTTCCAGCCTGGGTGACGGAGTGAGACTCTGTCTCGGGAAAAAAAAAAAAAAAAAGGAAAGAAATGTTTCTAGGGCCATGTGGAGATGCTGCACTGGGGTGAGTAGGGGGTGACAAGAATGGAAACCCAGAGGCTAGGGAGGTAGCTGGAGTTGAAGGAGGTCTGAGCTGGACTGGTCCATGGGGCTGGAAAGGAGGGGGTGGATTCTAGAAAGATTCAGCAGGCAGAATAGGCAGGGCTCAATGACTGGCTGCAGGGTGGGATAAGGAGGAATTGATTTTGAGTGAGTCCTTGCAGAGCTGGGGCTCCAGGACTGTCCCCATGGAGTCTCACTCCCCTCCCCCTCTTCCAAACAGGCCGGGCTGTCACCTATTCCCGAAGCCGTTACCTCGAATGCATTTCCTGTGGCTCATCAGACATGAGCTGTGAGAGGGGCCGGCACCAGAGCCTGCAGTGCCGCAGCCCTGAAGAACAGTGCCTGGATGTGGTGACCCACTGGATCCAGGAAGGTGAAGAAGGTGAGCCCCAACCTGCTGGCAACTCCTCCTCCCTGCTCTGCTCCTCCCTAAGACTGCACTTAACAAACAACCCCAAAGTAACAGGGATGTCAGCAAGGGACTAAGTTCTCTCATACACAAGAGGTCCAGTGATAGGAAGTCCAGGGCCACAAGGACAGGTCCAGAGTCACCAGGAACCCAGATGCCTTCTCATTTCTTTTTATTTATTTATTTATTTATTTTTTGAGACAGAGTCTTGCTCTCTGTCACCCAGGCTGGAGTGCAATGGCATGATCTTGGCTGGCTGCAACCTCCGCCTCCCAGGTTCAAGTGATTCTCCTGCCTCAGCCTCCTGAATAGCTGGGATTACAGGTGTGCATCACCACGCCTTGCTAATTTTTGTATTTTTAGTAGAGATGGGGTTTCACCATGTTGGTCAGGCTGGTCTCAAACTCCTGACCTTGTGATCCACCCGCCTCAACCTCCCAAAGTGCTGGGATTACAAGCGTGAGCCACCACGCCCGGCCACCCTCTTGTTTCTTACACATTACTTCCATTCTCAAAATGCCTCATAGTCTAAAATGGCTGCCAGAGCTCCGGGTCTCACATCTAAGTTCCAGGAAGGAGGAAGAAGGAAAGAAGGGACAAAAAAGGGGGCACTCCTCCTTTTGTAAGGGTTCTCCTTTCTGGAAGTCCCATAAAGCACTTCTATTTATATCACATTAGTCCGAACTTCATCACATGACTACCTGGAGAGGCTGGAATATGTAGTTTTCGACAAGATCTATGACTGTTCTAGATAAAATGAGGGTCTTATGATGAAGGGTGAAGTAGAGAATGGTTGAATGCCTGCTATTTCGGGCAAATCCCATCTTAGTCCCTCATTCACAATCTGACATCTGACCTCTGTCCCCTGGCCCCCATAGGGCGTCCAAAGGATGACCGCCACCTCCGTGGCTGTGGCTACCTTCCCGGCTGCCCGGGCTCCAATGGTTTCCACAACAACGACACCTTCCACTTCCTGAAATGCTGCAACACCACCAAATGCAACGAGGGCCCAAGTAAGGAACGGGAGACACAGGCAAGGCCTGGGGTCGGGCAGGGGCATGCACTCAGGCAGACAGCTGCGCAGTCACTCTCTGGCAATCAAGTCCTCTCTGGGCCTCTGTTTGCTTTTCTGAAAAATGGGAGTATCAGGCCTTTTTTTTTTTTTTTTTTTTTTTGAGACGGAGTCTCACTCTGTTGCCCAGGCTGGAGTGCAATGGCGTGATCTCCGCTCACTGTAAACTTCGCCTCACGAGTTCAAGCGATTCTCCTGCTTCAGCCTCCTGAGTAGCTGGGATTACAGGTGCCCACCATCACCCCTGGCTAATTTTTCTATTTTTAGTAGAGATGGGGGTTTCACCATGTTGGCCAGGCTGGTCTCGAACTCCTGACCTCAAGTGATCTGTCTGCCTCAGCCTCACAAAGTGCTGGGGTAACAGGCATGAGCCACTGCACCCAGCCAGGCCTTTCTTCAAAGAAGAACTTCGTAAGGATTCAATGATACTATCAGCCCTCGCCAAGACCTGTGCTTCCTGTCTCTTTTGTCTCTCTCAAATTTTCCCACTCCTCCCCTGCTCCACTGCCACCACCTGGGCTGAGCCACGCTGACTTCTTGCCCAGGTTGTTGCAATGACCTCCTCTCTGGTCTCCCTGCTTCCACTCCTGCCACCCTACAGCCAAGGCTCAACCCAGCAGCGAGTGATTTTTTGGGGGGTATGGGGGGGACAGGGTCTCGCTCTGTCACCCAGGCTGGAGTGCACTGGCATGATCATGGCTCACTGCAGCCTCAAACTCCTGGGCTCAGGAATTCTTCCCACCTAAGCTACTGGAGTAGCTGCGACTACAGGTGCATGCCACCGTACCCAGCTAATTTTGTATTTTTGGTAGAGATGGGGTCTTGCTTTGTTGCCCAGGCTGGTCTTGAACTCCTGGGCTTGGCCTCCCAAAGTGTTAGGATTACAGGCATGAGCCACCATGCACCACCAATTTTTTATTTTTTAATGTAAATCAGATCATGTCACCCTCCTTTCTCAGGCACTTCAATGACTTCCCCTTCCTCTTAGAATAAGATCCAAAGACCTTATTCTGTTGGCCTATGTAATCTGGCACCTGTCTGCCTCACAGTCTTTGTTTAGATTCGTTTTTGGGGTTTTGTGTTTTCTTTAGACATAGGGTCTTGCTCTGCCACCCAGGCTGGGGTGCAGTGGCACAATCACGGCTCACTGCCACCTCAAACTCCTGGGCTCCAGTGATCCTCCCACCTCAGCTTCCCAAGTAGCTGGGACTACAGATGCGCATCATTGCACCCAGCTACATTTTTTTTTTTTTTCTGAGATGGAGTCTTGCGCTGTTGCCCAGGCTGGAGTGCAGTGGCGCGATCTTGGCTCACTGCAAGCTCCGCCTCCCGGGTTCACGCCATTCCCCTGCCTCAGCCTCCCGAGTGGCTGGGACTACAGGCACCCACCACCATGCCTGGCTAATTTTTGTATTTTTAGTAGAGACAGGGTTTCACTGTGTTAGCCAGGATGATCTCGATCTCCTGACCTCATGATCCGCCTGACTCAGCCTCCCAAAGTGCTGGGATTACAGGCGTGAGCCACCACGCCCGGCCGCACCCAGCTAAATTTTTAAAACTTTTGTAGAGATGGGGTCTCACTATGTTGCCGGGGCTGGTATCAAACTCCCAGGCTCAAGCAATCCTTCTGCCTTGACCTCCCAAAGTGCTGGGATTACAGGCATGAGCCGCTGCACCTGGCCTTCATTTAGTTTCTTTCTTTCTTCCTTTCTTTCTTTTTTTAGATGGAGTCTCGCTCTGTCAGCCAGGCTGGAGGGCAGTGGCGTGATCTTGGCTCACTGCAACCTCCGCCTCCCAGGTTCAAGCGATTCTCCTGCCTCGGCCTCCCAAAGTGCTGGGATTACAGGCATGAGCCGCTGTGCTGACGTTCATTTGGTTTCTATAATCACCAAAGCCCATCTGGTCTCATGGCCCTTGCAGATGAATATCCTCCCTTAGAACACATCTTCCCCAAGAGTTCACCCTGCTGGCAACTTCTCATCCATTAGGCCTCAGCTTTAATGTATCATCTTCAGGGATGCTTTCACTGTCCCTCCCCTCCAGTGTAATCTAGATCCCTGTCTCTATTACCCAGCACTGTCAACAGATAGAAATGTTCCCTATCTGTCCTGTCCAATATTACAGCCACCACTGTATGTGGTCAGTGAGCACTTGAAATGTGAACTGAATTTTAAGATTCGATTTAATATTAATTTATTTAAATGTAAACAACCACATGTGGCCAGTGGCTACCAGATTGGGTAGTGTAGCTCTAAATTGTAAATTCTGGCTGGGCACAGTGGCTCACACCTGTAATCCCAGCACTTTTGGAGGCGGAGGCGGGAGGGTCGCCTGAGGCCAGGAGTTTGAGACAAGCCTAGGCAACATAGCAAGACTCCGTCTCAAAAAAAATTTTTTAGTAATAATAATAGTAATAACTTGTAAGTTCTGGCCAGGTACAGTGGCTCACACCTGTACTCCGAGAACATTGGGAGGCTGAGGCAGGCAGATTGCTTGATCCCAGGAGTTTGAGACCAGCCTGAGTAATGTGTCAAAACCCCATCTCTACAAAAAACAGAAAAATTGGCTAGGCATGGTGGTGCACGCCTGTAGTCCCAGCTACTCAGGAGGCTGATGTGGAAGAATCTCTTGAGCCGGGGTGGTCGAGGCTGCAGTGAGCTACAATTGCGCCACTGCACTCCAGCCTGGGCAACAAACTGAGACCCTGTATCAAAAATAAATAAATAAGTTGTAACTTTTGTGAGAGCAAGGACAGTTTCATCTTACATAGTTTTACCCAGCACCCAGCACGGTGCCTGGCCAGAAATGGGACTCATGGGGAGTTGAAAGTTGGGGTTTCTCTCAAGCCCTCGAAAACCATCCCCCTCCAAATGCCATTCAGACGCCTGACCACAAGGTGGCTCCATGACATCTCTGGCTCGGAGTGGAAGTCCTGGGGAGGTCATTCAAGGAAGTGGAGATCCAAGCACTAATTTTCTTGGTCTCTGTGTCTCTGGTCTTCTCCTAAGTCCTGGAGCTTGAAAATCTGCCGCAGAATGGCCGCCAGTGTTACAGCTGCAAGGGGAACAGCACCCATGGATGCTCCTCTGAAGAGACTTTCCTCATTGACTGCCGAGGCCCCATGAATCAATGTCTGGTAGCCACCGGCACTCACGGTGAGGCCCTCTCCGAGGCTGGGAGGGAACACTTATTGGGGGTGGAGAGTTCCGCAAGAGATTGACTTCCAGTTAAGCTGGAGTTAACTGTGGTGGGTCTCCCTGTGGAAAAGGTGGGATTTCCTTCAGGTGGGTGAATATTATTGTAAGGAATTAGGACTTGTCCATCAGGATGTGGACATTTTTGCCATGGAAAAGTGGAATTCCGGCTGGGTGCGGTGGCTGAAGCTTGTACTCTCAGCACTTTGGGAGGCTGAGGCCGGAGGATCTCTTGAGGCCAGGAGTTTGAGACCAGCCTGGGCAACATAGCAAGACCCCCATCTCTACAAAAAGAAAAATGGAATTCTTTGGTGGATTTCTCGTGGGTTGTGGGGATTTGCTGAAGACATCTTGGGCTTTCATCCTGTGGTGTCCTGGAAAGGTCTCTGTATTCCAGTGGTTCTCAAACTTTTTGGTCTCAACTTCTTCATGCTTTTAAAAATTATTTTTGGCCAGGTGTGGTGGCTCACGCCTGTAATTGCAACACCTTGGGAGGGTGAGGAGGAGAACCACTTGAGGTCAGGAGTATGAGAGCAAGCCTGGCCACCATGGTGAAACCCTGTCTCTACAAAAAATTACAAAAATTAGCTGGGTGTGGTGGCGTGCACCTATAACCCCAGCTACTCAGGGGGCTGAGGCACGAGAATCACTTGAACCCAGGAGGAGGAGGTTGCAGTGAGTGGGGATCACCCCACTGCACTCCAGCCTGGATGACAGAGGGAGACTTTGTCTCAAAAAAAAAAAAAAACTCTTTATTGTTTATATCAGTGATTTCTATAGATAAATGCCACATTAAAATTAAAACTGAGAACCAGGAGTGGTGGCTCACGCCTGTAATCCTAGCACTTTGGGAGGCCGAGGTGGGTAGATCACCTGAGGTCGGGAGTTCAAGACCAGCCTGACCAACATGGTGAAACCCCATCTCTACTAAAAATACAAATTAGTCGGGCATGGTGGCACATGCCTATAATCCCAGCTACTCGGGAGGCTGAGGCAGGAGAATCACTTGAACCTGGGAGGCAGAGGTTGCGGTGAGCCAAGATTGTGCCATTGCACTCCAGCCTGGGCAACAAGAGTGAAACTCCGTCCCAAAAAATAAAATAAAATAAAATTAAATTAAAATTAAAACTGAGAAATCTTTTTTTTTTTTTTTTGAAATGGAGTCTTGCTCTGTCGCCAGGCTAGAGTGCAGTGGCATGGTCTCAGCTCACTGCAACCTCCCCCTCCTGGGTTCAAGCAATCCTCCTGCCTCAGCTTCCTGCATAGCTGGGATTACAGGCATGAGCCACCATGCCCAGCTTATTTTTGTAATTTTAGTAGAGACGGGGTTTCACCATGTTGGCCAGGATGGTCTCGATCTCCTGACCTCATGATCTGCCTGCCTCGGCCTCCCAAAGTGCTGGGATTACAGATGTGAGCCACCGTGCCCAGCCAAAACTGAGAAATCTTTAAAGATTTATTTATGAATTCATCTTATAACAATAAAAACTCATTACACATTAAGATAAATAACATTTTAATGAAAAATAAGTATAGTTTCCAAAGAAAAAATGTAATGATAGCCAGGCATGGTGGCTCATGCCTATAATCCCAATACTTTGGGAGGCCAAGGTGGGCGGGTCACTTAAGCCTAGGGATTTGAGACCAGCCTGGGCAACATAGCAAGATCCTGTCTCTACAGAAAATACAAAAGTTAGCTGGGCATGGTGGTGCATGCCTGTAGTCCCAGCTGCTTGGGAGGCTGAGGTGGGAGGGTCACTTGAGCCTGGGAGGTGGAGGTTGCAGTGAACGGAGATTGCACCACTGCACTGCGGCCTGGGCAACAGAGCGAGACCCTGTCTTAAAAAAACAAACAAAGAAACAACAAAAAAAAAACCAGCCAGGCGCGGTGGCTCACGCCTGTAATACCAGCACTTTGGGAGGCCAAGGCGGGCAGATCACAAGGTCAGGAGTTCGAGACCAGCCTGGCCAATATGGTGAAACCCCGTCTCTACTAGAAATACAAAAATTAGCTGGGCATGGTGGTCGCGCCTGTAGTCCCAGCTACTTGGGAGGCTGAGGCAGAAGAATTGCTTGAACCCGGGAGGCAGAGGTTGCAGTGAGCCGAGATCGTGCCACTGCACTCCAGCCTGGGTGACAGAGTGAGACTCCATCTCAAAAAAAAAAACAAAAAAAAAGCGTAATGAGAAAACTGGCATTATTTTGCTGTGTTGCACATCTCTTTAATGTCCAGCTTAATAGAAGACAGCTGGGTCCTCATGGAAGCTTCTGCTTTCAGTCTCTTGCAATATCACATGTCCTGGAGTTTTTGGAAAAGCCCATTGTACACTTATGAGAGTGAAAAAGCCATGTGAAATCACAGATCTCCTGAAAGGGTCTCTGGGGTCCCTGAGCCACACTTTAAGAACCGCTGCTCGCTTCCTTTCTTTCTTTTTTTTTCTTTCCTTTTCTTTCTCTGTCTCTCTTTCCCTTTCTTTCTTTCTTTCTTCCTTCCTTCCTCCCTTCCTTCCTTCTTTCCCTTCTCCTTCCTTCCTTCCTCCCTCTCTCTCTCTTTCTTTCTTTTCTTTCCCTTCTTCCCTTCCTCCCTTCCTTCTTCCCTCCCTCCCTCCCTCCCTTCCTTCCTTTCTTTCTTTTTATTTGTTTTTTGAAACAGGGTCTCACTCTGTTACCCAGGCTGGAGTGCAGTGGCGTGATCATAACTCACCACAGCCTCCATCTCCTGAGCTCAAGTGATCCTCTCATCTCAGCCTCCCAAGTAGCTGGGACTACAGCTGTTTTTTTCTTTTTTATGTTTGTAGAAACAGAGTTTTGCTATGTTGTCCAGGCTGGTCTGGAACTCCTGGGCTCAAGCTATCCTCTCTCCTTGGCTTCCCAAGGTGTTGAGATTACAGGCATGAGCCACCACACCTGGCCCTGAGAACTGCTGCTTTCTCTAGGTGGTAGTGAAGGTGGCACCCACTGCAAGGTGGCAGGTCACCTACTGGAGAATTCCAGTCCTGGGCCCAGGAGCTGGAAGTCTCACTCCGTCTTCTCTTTCCTCAGAACCGAAAAACCAAAGCTATATGGTAAGAGGCTGTGCAACCGCCTCAATGTGCCAACATGCCCACCTGGGTGACGCCTTCAGCATGAACCACATTGATGTCTCCTGCTGTACTAAAAGTGGCTGTAACCACCCAGACCTGGATGTCCAGTACCGCAGTGGGGCTGCTCCTCAGCCTGGCCCTGCCCATCTCAGCCTCACCATCACCCTGCTAATGACTGCCAGACTGTGGGGAGGCACTCTCCTCTGGACCTAAACCTGAAATCCCCCTCTCTGCCCTGGCTGGATCCGGGGGACCCCTTTGCCCTTCCCTCGGCTCCCAGCCCTACAGACTTGCTGTGTGACCTCAGGCCAGTGTGCCGACCTCTCTGGGCCTCAGTTTTCCCAGCTATGAAAACAGCTATCTCACAAAGTTGTGTGAAGCAGAAGAGAAAAGCTGGAGGAAGGCCGTGGGCCAATGGGAGAGCTCTTGTTATTATTAATATTGTTGCCGCTGTTGTGTTGTTGTTATTAATTAATATTCATATTATTTATTTTATACTTACATAAAGATTTTGTACCAGTGGACAAGGCCAGGTATGCCCTTCTTTGTAGTGTCTATCTTTGGGAGGATAAATGGTGGGGGACACCTTTTCACAGGCTCCTGGAATCAGGGGTCATGTTTGAGGCCCCTGCCTAGGTTGGAAGTCCTCCTGGGGGCTGCCTCCACATCTATTTCTGGACTCCAAATGCTGACAGAGCAGGAGCACTGCCATCTTGAACAAACACCACCATTCTTAGTTCCTCTTGATTAAAAATCGGCTAAATCCGGACGTGGTGGCGGGTGCCTGTAGTCCCAGCTATTCGGGAGGCTGAGGCAGGAGAATGGCGTCAATCCGGGAGGTGGAGCTTGCAGTGAGCCGAGATTGCACCACTGCACTCCAGCCTGGGTGACAGAGCAAGACTCTGTCTCAAAAAAAAATCAGCTAAATCCAGCCCCAAAACATCAGCCTAATGGCTACCATCAGCATAACCAGAAACATTCCAACCCTAAGATAAACCCCTCTCTGACCAGAAACATGCCAACCCCCAGATAGCCTCCCTTCCGACCAGAGACTTTCCAACCCCACAATAAACTTTTCCTCACATGAAAACATTCCGAACCTAGATAAGCACCCCCTTCCAAAACTCTTAAATATCCTTAGTCTGTAAAAAAAAAAAAAAAAAAGGGCTCTCTAACCTAACTCAGCCAAAAGCCCCCCTCAGGTTGGTTTTCTCTAAAATAAACCTGTCCTTCACCGTCAAGCCACATTTCATGTTTCTTTCCTTTTCCTTTTTCTTTTCTTTTCTTTTCTTTTTTTGAGATGGAGTTTCACTCTTGTTGCCCAGGCTGGAGTGCAATGACACAATCTCAGCTCACCACAACCTCCACCTCCTAGTTCAAGGGATTCTCCTGCCTCAGCCTCCCAAGTAGCTGGGATTACAGGCATGCACCACCACACCCGGCTAATTTTGTATTTTTAGTAGAGACAGGGTTTCTCCATGTTGTTCAGGCTGGTCTCAAACTCCCAACCTCAGGTGATCTGCCCACCTTGGCCTCCCAAAGTGCTAGGATTACAGGCATGAGCCACCGTGCCTGGCCTCCTCTTTCTTTAATTCTTACAAATGCAAGCTTCCAGATCACACACTGAACACTAACCTTCTAGTCTTCTCCTAAACTTCAAAGGTTGCAACTATTTTGTTGTTCTAAGGAGACATCCCCACATTTCCCAGCATGCTTTGGGAAAGGAGACGGATAGAAGATAACCTGATGGCCAGAACTCCCTGCATGCACTGCAGTGAGGAATAAGGACAGGAGTGCACTTCCCCTGATGTGCTGGGGACCGGGGATAAAGGCTGGGCTCTATTTCCCGGGATGCCTCAGGACTGTCAGAAAAAGAGACAGAACTACCATTTCAATGGCACTCTAGGAGCACAATATTGAAAAATTCATGTTCTTCTCATCATTTGCTAAGGCAACCCATGGAGACAAAAATTACATTCCCCATCAAATCTTGTGGCTAATGAAGAAAAAATAAGATATCTTCGGCTGGCTGTGGTGGTTCACGCCTGTAATCCCAGCACTTTGGGAGGCCGAGGTGGGCAGATCACTTGAGGCAGGAGTTTGAGACCAGCCTGGCCAATTTGGCAAAACCCCGTCTCTACTAAAATTACAAAAATTAACCGGGTAAGGTGGTGGGTGCCTGTAACTCCAGCTACTCGGAAGGCTGAGGCAGGAGAATCGCTTGAACCCAGGAGGAGGAGGTTGTAGTGAGCCAAGATCACACCACTGCATGACACAGTGAGACTATCCCCAAAAAAAAAAAAAAAAAAAAAAAGACATCTTCCATGGTATTTGGGGGCAGGTGAGGGACAAGGTTCTTGTTTAGGGCTTTCTCTAATGACATATCACCACCTGTCACTGTAGTGGCTTAAAGAAGTGAGGTCTGTACTTCTGCCTCTTGAATATGAGTGACTCTGTGACTGCTTTGACCAGTAGAATGTGGTGGAAGTTTTGCTGTGCTATGTTCTGGAACCAAGTTTTAAGAAACTTTCATTTTTCACTTTCTGAATCTTAGAACGCTCACTCTGGGGAAGCTGGTTGCCATGTAAAAGTACTACTGCCCTGAGACCACCATGCTGTGAGGAAGCCCAAGCTACTCATGTATAAATGCCATGTGGAGATAGAGCCCCAGATGTTTCAGCCATCTCAGCCCAGGCACCAGACAAGTGGGTGAAGAAGCCACCTTGGACATGTAGCCCCAGCAGATGTGATATAGAGAAGAAACAGGAAACTTGGCTATATTAGTTTCCTAGGGCTGCCTGTGATAAATTATTACAAACTTTATAAACTAACACATTGTGTGCCTATATCAAAACATCATGGAAGGACAGGCACAGTGGCTCATGCCTGTAGTCCTAGCACTTTGGGAGGGTGAGAAAGGAAGATCTCTTGAGCTCAGGAGTTCAAGATCAGCCTGGGCAACACAGTGAGACCTCATCTCCACTAAAAATAAAAAAAAATTGGCTGGATGTGGTGGGGCATGCCTGTGGTCCTAGTTACATGGGAGGCTGAGGCAGGAGGATCCCTTGAGCCCGGGAGGTCAAGGCTGCAGTGAGCCATGATCCCACCACTGTACTCCAGCCTGGGCAACAGAGCCAGACTCTGTCTCCAAAAAAAAAACACTAAAACCCAAAACCATATTACATATGTCCTGTAAATATACACCACTATTATGTATTCATAATACTTAAAAATAAAAAATTAAAAACACACACACACAAATCTTACAAGCAAGGTGGCTTAAAACCACAGAAACTTGGCCGGGTTTGGTGGCTCATGCCTGTAATCCCAGCAATTCGGGAGGCTGAGGCGGGCGGATCACGAGGTCAGGAGATCGAGACCATCCTGGCTAACATGATGAAACCCTGTCACTATTAAAAATACAAAAAATTAACTGGGCGTGGTGGTGGGTGCCTGTAGTCCCAGCTACTCGGGAGGCTGAGGCAGGAGAATGGCGTGAACCCGGGAGGCGGAGCTTGCAGTGAGTCGAGATCATGCCACTGCACTCCAGCCTGGGCAACAGAGCGAGACTCCACTCAAAAAAAAAAAAAAAACAAAACAAAACACACACACACACACACAGAAACTTAGGCCAGGTGTGGTGGCTTACACCTGTAATCCCAGCACTTTGGGAGGCCAAGGCAGGCATATCACTTGAGGCCAGGAATTTGAGACCAGCCTGGCCAACACAGTGAAACCCTGTCTCTACTAAAAGTACAAAAAAAAAAAAAAAAAATAGCCGGCTGTGATGGCGCTCCTCTGTAATTCCAGCTACTTGGGAGGCTGAGGCATAAGAATCACTTGAATCTGAGAAGCGGAGTTTGCAGTGAGCCGAGATTGAACCACTGCACTCCAGCCTGGGCAACAGAATGAGCCTCTGTCTAAAACACATACACACACACACACACACACACACACACACACACACACACACACACACTAGAAACTTGTTCTCTCACAGTTCTGAATGCTAAATGTCCAAAACCAAGGTGTTGAAGTCTCACGGGAAGAGCCACGCTTTTAAAGCGTCAGGGGAAGAGCCATGCTTTTAAAGTCTCCGGGGCTGACACCTGTAATCCCAGCACTTTGGGAGGCCGAGGCGGGTGGATCACCTGAGGTCAGGAGTTCGAGACCAGCCTGGCCAACAGGGTGAAATCCCATCTCTACTAAAAATGCAAAAACTAGCCAGGCATGGTGGCGGGTGCCTGTAATCTCAGTTACTCGGGAGGCTGAGGCAGGAGAATTGCTGGAACCTGGGAGGCAGAGGTTGCAGTGAGCCGAGATCGCGCCATTGCACTCCAGCTGAGGCTGACAGCAGTGAGACTCCGTCTCAAAAAAAAAAAAAAAAGTCTCAGGGGAAGAACCCTTCCTTGCCTCTCCTTTGCTTCTGAGGGACTGCCAGCAATCTTTGCCATTCCTTGGCTTGTAGCTGCATCACTCTAATCCCTACCTCTGTCTTCCAATGTCCACCTTCCCTGGGACTGTGGCTATGTCTCCAAATATCTCTCCTTATAACCCCATATCAATCATTGGATTTAGAGCCCACTCTAACTCAGCATGGAAACATTTAGTCATTAATTCAACTAAATCTGCAAAGACTTTCTGGCCGGGCGCCATGGCTCACACCTATAATTCCAGCACTCTGGGAGGCCGAGGCGGATGAATTGCTTGAGGGTGGCAATTGGAGACCGCCTGGGCAACATGGCAAAACCCCATCTCTACAAAAACTGCAACAATTAGCCGGGTGTGGTGGCGCTTGCCCGTAGTCCCAGTGACTCGGGAGACTGAGGCGGGAGGATCGCTTGAGCCTCGGAGGCAGAGGTTTCAGTGAGCTGAGATTATGCAACTGAACTCCAGCCTGAGCGACAAAGTGAAACTGTCTCAAAAAAAAAAAAAAAAACAAGAAAAAAACCCACCTTATTTCCAAATAAAGTCACATGCAAAGATACCAGGGGTTAGAAGTTAATCACATCTGGGCAGGATGCAGTGCCCCATGCCTATAATCCCAGCACTTTGGGAGGCTGAGGTGGCAGATCATTTGAGGTCAGGAGTTCGAGACCAGCCTGGCCAACATGGTGAAACCCCGTCCCTACTGAAAATACAAAAATTAGCTGGGCATGGTGACACGTGCCTATAATCCCAGCTACTTGGGAGGCTGAGGCAGGAGAATCGCTTGAACCCAGGAGGTGAAGGTTACAGTGAGCCGAGATCATGCCACTGCACTCCAGCCTGGGTGACAGAGCGAGACTCAGTCTCGAGCAAACAAACAAACAAACAAAAAAGTGAATTACATTTGCAAAGATTTTATTTCCAAATAAGGTCACATGTACAGATACCAGGGGCTAGAACTTCAACATATATTTTACTTGGAGGACACTATTCAAAACCCACAACACCAACCACCAGCCTTAGATATATGGCCCTTGATGCCCCTCCCCTCCATCTCCAGCTGTTCCAGCTAGTTCATTTTTGGCTCCAGTTCATCATGAAGCAGATACACACCAATCCTGCTCCAATTCCTGACTCACAGAATCATAAAATTAAAAGGTTGTTGTTTCACACCACTACGTTCTGGGGTATTTTGTTATTCAGCGATGGTTAAATGGAACAGTAATTTTTGTTTGTTTTTAGCTAACTTTCCCCATTATAATTGCCAGGGAGGGTAAGGCCGTTTATTTACTTGATGATTTATTCCTAGTGCCTGGAATATGGCAGGTGATGAAGAAAGAAAGGAGAGAAGGGACTGGGTGCAATGGCTCTTGCCTGTAATCCCAGCACTTTGGGAGGCCAAGGCAGGAGAACTGCTTGAGCCCAGGAGTTCAGGACCAGCCTGGGCAACATAGCGAGAGACCCTGTCTCTACATAATAAAAAAAAAAAAAAAGAAAGAAAGAAAGAAAAGAAAAAAGGGAAGGAAGGAAAGACTGCATCTTCTATGGCAACTTACAACAAAAATTGGGCCAGAAGTATATCTCCCATGATGCCCTACAGCAGAGATGAGGCTAAAACGACATTTTCTGAGATGCTCTGTATTATAATTGAGGATAATTTCACCTTTCCCATAATTCCCTACAACATATTGAGGCTAGGACTGCATTGCCTATGAAACTCTATGGCAGAGATTGAAGGTTAGGATTATATATCCCATGATGCCCTACAGTGGGGATCAGAGGATAGAAATACTTATTCCATGATGCCCTCCAGCAGATATTGAGGCTAGGGACAAATTTCTCACGTCCTATACCATAGCTTGTGATCAGGACCTCATTGTTAACGGCTCTGAAGTTGTTGTTCAGGAATCTTTGCTTGCAAGAAATAAAATCTGTTTGTGCTGACTTAAGCAAAAACGGTGTTATTGAAAGTTTAGAAACCAGGCAAGAGCTAGGTCTCCGAGTCTCACCAGGGACAGGCAACAATTGAAAAGCTGTGTGAAATAAAGGTTGTCTCTCTCTTGCAGAATCTTAATCACCCCAAATATGAATCTGGCCCCAGGGGTATCTGCCAGCCATCTTGCTACAGGAGGGGAGCCATGCATCCTTAGGACAGAGATTGACAGACCTCGCCAAAGCCAGCCATAGAAGGACTTTTTGTTATGTGTGAACCAGTTCTCTTTCTCTCAAACCAGTTGGGTTGCACTTGCTGTCACTTGCACTAAATCCCTAATGGACAGGGTACCCTGAAGTAGGATGGGGACAGGACCACTATTCTATTTATTATTATTATTATTATTATTATTATTATTATTATTATTATTTAGACTGAGTCTCATTCTGTCACCCAGGCTGGAGTGCAGTGGCATGATCTTAGCTCACTGCAACCTCTGCCTCCCAAGTTCAGGGGATTCTCATGCCTCAGCCTTCCGACCAGCTGGGATTACAGGCACGTGCCACCACGCCTTGCTAATTTTTTTTTTTTTTTTTGGTAAAGATGGTGTTTCACCATGTTGGCCGGTTGGTCAGGCTGGTCTCAAACTCCTGACCTCAAGTGATCGGCCCACCTTGGCCTCCCAAAGTGCTGGGATTACAGGTGTGAGCCAACGCGCCCGTCAGGACCACTACTCTTGTGATGTCTTCACATGGAATGGTGGGACTTAAGGATGACAGGTGAGAACCAAACCAACATCTCCCAAGGTTCCCCTTCAGCTGGAGCAGGAGACATCTGTCAGAGCACAGAGTGAGCGGGCCTATTGGCTCCTGCGGGAAAAGGCAACTACTAGTTACCCCTTGGACCAGTATTCCAAAGGCAGATCAAACATTCCTCTCCCATCTAGCAAAAGTCACAGAATGTGAGCCCTGGAAAGAGGATTAGAGACTATCTCTTCCCAAGTCTACAGAAGCTGGGAAGCTGAGGACTGAAAAAGAAGGAAGTTGCTCAGGGCTATGGATCTGGGGACACAGGGGCAGTTAGAAGCTTGGGCTCTCAGGACAGAGAGGATTGCTGGAGCCATCGTCCTGGGGACACAGGAGTTGATAGGAGCTTGGACCCTGAGGACAGAGAGGATGCTGGGAGCCATGGTCCTGCTTCACAGGGGTTGATGGGAGCTTGGACCTGAAGGACAGAGAGGATGCTGGGAGCCGTGGTCCTGAGGACACAGGAGTTGATGGGAGCTTGGACCCTGAGGACAGAGAAGACACTGGGAGCCATGGTCCTGGGACACAAGGGTTGATGGTAGCTATGGTTTTGAGGTCAGAAAGGATACTGGGAGCTGGGTACTGAGGACAGAAAGGGTGTGTGAAGCTGAAGTCCCTTGTGGGACTGGATGTAAAATTTTTTAGTCGGAATAAAAAGTAAGGATTTTCAGCCAGGCATGGTGGCTCACGCCTGTAATCCAGCACTTTGGGAGGCCAGACAGATGGATCACCTGAGGTAAGGAGTTCAAGACCAGCCTGGCCAGCATGGCAAAACTCCGTCTCTACTAAAAATATAAAAATTAGCTAGGCATGGTGGCGGGCGCCTGTAATCTCAGCTACTCGGGAGGCTGAGGCAGGAGAATCACTGGAACCTGGGAGGCAGAGGTTGCAGTGAGTCGAGATCGTGCCACTGCACTCCAGCCTGGGCAACAGAGCGAGACTCCGTCTGGGCGGGGAGGGGGGAGGGGGGAAGGAAAGATGTTCATAATTGGCACTTCTGGACCTCAGTTTGCCTGACAAATGGGCATGAGAGAGGTCGAGGCCTTCTTTCCATGGTTTCTCACTCTTTCTGGGTCCCATAGGTAATGATCCCGCATCAGGTCTACAGGGTGTCACAGAAGTGGGCTCAGGGAAACCCACTCCCAGGAGGGAGAAGGGACCTAAGTCTGGAGGGGTGAGTCACCCTCAAAGATGGGGAGAGAGGAAGGGCAGAGGCAAATACATGCAGAGAGAGGGAGAGAGGCTGGGGCAGGGAGACAGCAGGGAGGAGAGGGGACGCCAGGGCTTGGAAGGTGTTCACAGGAGCCTCTCCCTCCTGGGACCCAGGATTCAGGCTTCCTTCCAGTTAGTTCACTTTCAGGGGGCCCCTCCCGGAGAATGACGCGGAAACACGGGGTTTTCAGGTCAGGACAGGAGAGAGGGAGGGAGGGAACTGACCCCACCCCACTCCTGAGCCCCAGCCTCGCCCTGCCCTGGGAGATCCTTGACCTGCCTCGACCTCCGGACCCTCCGGACCTCCAGCTGCAGCCTCCCCTGTCCCGGTGGCTCAGCTCACAGCCTCTCGCTAGACTCCAGACACCCACCTGCCCGCAGCACGCCTCTCACACTCACCTTTCCCACGTCGCACTCCCTCCCTTACGCTCCCCCGTCACGCTGGCCACGCTCTCCCTTCGCACACACCGCACCCCACGACGCCCGCGCCCCCACCCTCGCACAGCCTCCAGCAACACCCTGCCACCCTCCCCTCCGCGCAGCGCAAGCACCCTGCATGCCAGCAACTCCGCACCCTCGCGCGCAGCACCTGGGCCCGCACGCAGCACCCTCACCCAACACCCTCCATTTCCCGCGCTCACCGAGATCCCCCACCTGCTCCCACGCCGCTGTCGCCCTCCCGCGCACCCCTTCCCGCCCTCCTCACCCCTCTCCTCTCCAGCTTTCGCACCCCGCACCGTTCCCCCACCGTGCCGTCCCCCCGATTGTCTCCGGGCCTCTCCTCCGTCTCCCCCTCCCCTCCCCGGCCCCGCCCCGGCCTCGGCGCCCCGCCCCCGGGCGGGCAGGGGGCGGGGCGCGGGGGGCGGGGCGGGCGGCGCGGGCGGTGCAGGTGCCGGGCCGGGAGCGAGCGGCGGCGGCGGCGGCGGCGGCACCATGGGCCGGGCCCGGCGCTTCCAGTGGCCGCTGCTGCTGCTGTGGGCGGCCGCGGCGGGGCCAGGTAGGGTCGGGGGCCGGGGTCGGCCGGCCGGGCTGGGGCGGGGGGCGCGCTGTGGTGACAGCCCGGCAGCCTCGGGGCCGCAGAGGCCGAACAATGCGCGCGGGGCCGGGCCGGGCCCCCTCCCCGGGACAAAGCGCAGCGCGGGCCGGGAGCCGGGAGCGACGAGCGGGGGAGGGGGCGCGGGGCCCGGCCGCCGTGCCGCAGCCCCCCCACCCGCGCAGGCTGGATCCCGGCGGGGACAAAGGGCCCGAGACCCCCCTACACACACAAGTCCGCCCTCCCCAGGCCGGTCCCGCTGTCCTTCTGTCCAGTCTCTGCGTCCCTCTGTCCGCCCGTCTCTGAACCCCCCCGTCTGGCTCCTCGTCCCCCTACCCTTGTCCTCTATCCCTCAGTCTCGAAGTCCTGTCCCTCCTTCTGTCTGTCTCCCTCTCTTCTTGCCTCGGTGTTCCTCATCTATTCTGTCTTTGTCCCCTACCTCTGTCCCCTGGTCTCTGTCCCCTTTTCCTGGGTCACTCTGTCCCCTCCATCATCCTGTCTATTCTCTTTCCCCCGGATTTCTGCCCTCCCTCTCTGCCCCTATTCTTGGTCCCTGTCTCTGTCTCGCTGTCACCCTTGTTTTTCTGTCCCTTTTTCTCTGTCCCCTATCTGCCCCATCCCCTTGTCTCTGTCCCCTGTCTTTCTGTCACTCGTTTCTCTAACCCTTTCTGTCACCTGTCTCTTTCCCCCTTCTCTGTCCCACTATCTCCATCCCTGTCTTTCTGCTGTGCCTCCTCTCTCTACGCTTACAGCCTCCATCCCGGGATCTCCCATTCCCATCCTACCTTCCTCCCTCTCTCTATCCCTCTGTGCCCCTGAAGAGGAATTCAGTCAGGCAGGGCATTCTAAAGAGCCCTGGAGGGGAACATCTGTGTGCATGTGTGTGGGGAAGTGAGAATGGGGGACCTTGGCGTGTAGGCACACACGTGGATTCAGCGAATGCCTCTCCAAACCCTGCTCACCCATTCACACACCCAGGCTTGACTCACAGAGAAGCCCCTGTCCAGGACATCCAGGGAGCCATCCACATACCCTCATCACACACTGTGAGAAGCTGGAGACCCCCGAGGTTGGGTGACCCTGAGAATGGGGACAAGGTCAGGAAATGTCACCCACACACACTCTCACACTGTGTAAGTCTTGAACCTGCCACGGGTCACCCCTCCCTGGTGGATAAGGCCACTTTTGGAAGGAACAGAGGATTGGAAGGTGGCTAGGCAGAAGCAGGAGGGCTGGGTGTTCGGCAGAGATTGGTGAGAGGAGTTATAACCAGGTGGCATGGGGCTGGCGGCCTGGGCTTAAATCTTGGCTCTTGCCATTTGCCATCGCAGCCAATGGTAAACACCTTCCTCTCTCCAGGCTTCTGTTTCTCTTTCTGTAAAGTGAGGATGTTGAACTCAGTGACATGAAAGGGAACGCCAGCTCAGACCGTGAAGGGGTTTCTGGCAAGTTGAGTGCGGTTACATGTTCCCCACTCCAGGGTTTGAGGCAGAGCCATCCTCACCTCGGCCAGGATGAGGGGCAAAGCTGTCCTCTCACTGTCTTTCTTTCTTCTCTAGTCTTCTGTGACTGCTTTAGAACTTGCATCATTACCTCCTTTCTTTACAACAGACATGCCACAATTTCCCAGATGAGAACTTTGGTACCTCAGTGACATTTCCATCAATTTTAATTTATCTTTATTTTTTAGGCTAAACACCAGGCTCATAGAATCCTGGAACTAATGAATCCAGTAAATAAAGAACCTGATGGTACTTTAGAATGCTGACATCTACAGGATTCTAGAATCCAGAAGGCTTTAGAATCTTGACACCTTTAAAGTTCTAGAACCGTGATGGTGTTAGCATGCTAGCATCTTGACGTCTTAAAAATCGTGAAATCTTGATGTCTTGGAGTTCCTGGATCTTGACATCTATGACATTTAGAATCCTGACAGCTTAGAATCATCAGACTTTGAATTCTCAGGATCAGAATATAGCTTAAGGTGACCACCCGCCCCGTGCAAAAGCCTTTCTCTGGTGCTTCTGGGAGTTAGGTCTACAGCCCTGTCCCTCGTTTGATTTCCAAGTCACTGCTTCCTGGCACCCTAACCCTCTCTGTAAACTTTCTCTAAAGTAAATAGTATGTGGCTTTTACCAGTAGAAACTGAGCTTGGTGTCATGGGAAGAGCTCTCAGCTGGGAGCTAAGGAACTTGGGTCCAAGCCTTACCCAGGACCCTTTAGTATAATTTTGCATCAGTCCTTGTCCCTCTCTGGGCCTTACTTTCCCGTTCTGTAAAGCATGGGGTAGGAGGCTGTAGCATGTGGTCTTGGAGGGCCCTTCCTGCTCTCCTTTCCATTGGATATTTCTCAGTGGCCTTGGCTACCACATTTTAGGGGGTATCTGTTGTTCCCACATTTCTCTCTTAGTCACTTCTTCCTCTCTCACCTTGCCCAGCCAGCAGGAATCGGGGGAGATGGGGTGCATTTGCGCCATTTTAAAAACATGTTCTCTCTCTCCTGGTTCATTCATCTTCTGAGCATAGCAGAAGAAGATGAGATTTATGCCCAAAGAAGGATCCAGGGTGGGCAGAGGAGAGAAAGCAAGAGGGAGGGATGGGTTGCCTGCCCAGGGATGCACCCAGGCAGAAATGGGACCCGCAGCCAGAAACTGGGTAGAACAGAAAGGAGGAGAGGAAACAGATATCCAATACAAAGAAAGAATAGAGAGGCTATTAGGAGTTGAGGGGTCTTGTGGAGGGGGCAGTTGTTGGTCCCTAAATAATGTTTCCTTCCCAGGGTGACTCACTTTTTCCTGCTAAAATTCTGACCAGCCACTCTTGAGAATAGGGGGACCCTCCCTCCATTGTGAGTCACCCCAAGGAACAGGTTTTGGAGGTTTCTATCACTGACCCCCCCACCCACCCACCCATGAGCCAGGCGCCTGTGTCCCCAGAGCCTGGGGGTGGGGGTCAGGTTCTGCAGTGGATTCCAAGACCTTAGACACAGCAGGGCTGGGGCCTAAGGCTGGGTTAATGTCGTGCGAGCCTGGCCTGTCCCCATCTTGGAGAACACAAAGGCAGCTTTCTCTCTCTGGGAGGGGTGGGGGGTGGCCTGGAGACAGTCAGACCCGCCAGCATCCAATGGCCTGTGGCATCAGAACGGAAGCACCCACTGATTTCCGCCTGTGCAGACCCCAGGCCCATAGGGAGCAGGCACGCAGGCTCCTCCGTGGGCACCCAGTGGGGCAAGGGGCAGGTGCTGAGCCTGGGCTCTTCTGGGAAGAGGGGGTGAATAGAGGGCACTGGGCGTGGAGGTTCGGACAGAGGGAGCTCAGTGCAGGCCTGCACCCTTCCCGGAGCAGGAATTCCTCTCGTACCCCACACCCAGGGAGGACCTCTGGGGGACTCCCCACTCCCTGGCTGGGCCTGAGGCCTGGAATCCAGGGAGTCCCGAATATCCCAGGAATGTGGGGGCCACAGCGGGGACTTTGTGTGTGAGGTTGCTGACTCACCCCTACGCCCCCACCTGATGCCTAGGTCCCCAGATGGGAGGGGACAGAGGATTGAGGAAAGGCAGGACTGTGCTTCTAGGGGTTGAGGACTGGGGAGTTAGAGTCAAAAGTTTTCAGGAGAGGAGGGGCTGGATCTGATGGAGGAGGGGCTGGGGGCCTGGACTCCTGGGTCTGATGGAGGAGGGTCTGGGGGCCTGGACTAATGGGTCTAAAGGAGGAGGGAGCTAGGGTCTTAGACTCCTGGGTCTCAAGGAGGAGGGGGCTGAGGTCTTAGGCTCCTGGGTCCAGGGAGGAGGGGGCTGGGGTCTTAGACTCCTGAGTCTGAGGGAGGAGGGGCTGGGGTCTTAGACTCCTGAGTCTGAGGGAGGAGGGGCTGGGGTCTTAGACTCCTGGGTCTGAGGGAGGAGGGGCCTGGGATCTTAGACTCCTGAGTCTGAGGGAGGAGGGGCCTGGGGTCTTAGACTCCTGAGTCTGAGGGAGGAGGGGCCTGGGATCTTAGACTCCTGAGTCTGAGGGAGGAGGGGCCTGGGATCTTAGACTCCTGAGTTTGAGGGAGGAGGAGGCTGGGGTCTTAGACCCCTGGGTTTAAGAGAGGAGAGGGCCGAGGGCTGGAACTCCTGTGTCCGGAAGGAAAAGGGGGCTGGGAGTCCACACTCCTAGGTCTTGAGGGAGGAAGGGATGAGGATACAGACTCCTGGGTCCTGAGGGAGGAAGGGGCTGGAGGCGGGGGATTCCACTGCAGGTTTCTGAGGGAGGAGGGGCTGAGACCCTGACGCCTAGGTCCTGCGAATACAGGCGCCTTCACAAGGCTGAGCTGGGGAAGAATTGACGCTTTGTGCGAGGATGTTCGGACTCCGCCATTGATGGGGGGCTGAGGGGGGTTCAGTCAGGACGCAGGGATGTACCACCTCCCTAAGGGAGGAAGGGGGAAGGAGGCAGGATGCCAGGAGCCCCCTGGGGAGCGGATACAGAGGGGGTGGTGGTGACCTTCCCGGAACTATGACCTTGAGACTCCCTTGGGTATTCGCTGACTCAGGACCCAGGAAGCGCTCCCCCCACCCTGCTTAGTCTCCGTGGAAACATCCACCAGCTGTGTACTCTGGACCCCTGGCTCCTGGGTCCTGAAGGAGGAGGGGGCTGGAGGCCCAGACTCCTGTGTCTAAGCTAGGAGAGGGCTGGGGGCTCTGACTCCTAGGTTTGAAGGAAGGGGCTGCTGACAGCCCAGACTCCTGGGTCCTGATCGAGAAGGGGGCTAGGGGTCTGGATTTCGGGAACCTGAGAGAGGAGGTGGTTGGGGGCTGAATTCCTGGGTCTAAGGCGGAAAGAAGCCGGGGTTCCAGACTCCTGGAACCTGATGGAGGAGGGGCTGGGAGCCTAGACTCCTGGGTCCTGGGAGAGGAGGTAGTTGGGGGCTGGATTCCTGGGTCTTACGCATTACCTGCTCCGCCACTCTTTCCCAAACCCTCCCTGTCCCCTTTTCCAAGCACCATCCCCATGACGACTCCTGGCTGTCAACACAGTTTAAAGGGCCAGTGCCTCAGTCCCCAAAGCTCAGCCCCTCTCTGACCAGAAAGTCCCGCCCCCACCACCCCCAACCCCCCAAACAAAAGCTGCTGAGACATTAATATTCCAGGCACAGACACTGTTGGTTACTGACTCCTCAGGAGGGGGAGGGAGTAAAACAAAAGACCCCCACCCTCACCCCATGTGCACCCTCAAGCAGAGAGCAGGGGATAAATTTGGTGGGGGCAGATCCAGAGGAACCTGATGGCTCCCAGGAGATGGTGAGTTTTGCCACTGACTTGCCTGGGACCCGCTAAGCCTCATTCTCCACATCTGTAAAATGGGGGGCTAGCACTGAACCAGTCTTGAGGTCCAGGATCTGTGGATAGGCTTCGAGATGTTTTTAAAAGCACCAGAATGTGCATGCCAGTTTTCACATGCATGGGCATGTTTCCGGAGGTTGCACTAAAACAGCCTTGCAGAGAGGGCTCCCTGAGCTTCAGGAGCGGGGCTCATCCTTATGAGGCAGGCACTGGCATCATTCCCATTTTATAGATGGGGCAACTGAGGCTCCGAAAGGTAAGGTCACTTGCCCACAGGTCACACAGATGGCAAGTGGTT
This sequence comes from Homo sapiens, assembly GCF_000001405.40. Classification (NCBI taxonomy): domain Eukaryota; kingdom Metazoa; phylum Chordata; class Mammalia; order Primates; family Hominidae; genus Homo; species Homo sapiens. The sequence goes on along the minus strand of NC_000019.10, from coordinate 43,634,073 downwards.
GAGCTGGGATCAACCTAGGTGTTTAAGATGAAAATAATGATGTCACAAAGTTGTCGGGCTGAAATGAGATTCTGTCTGGGCCAGCTGCAATGGCTCATGCCTATAATCCCAGCACTTTGGGAGGCCAAGGCAGGGGGATTGCTTGAGCCTAGGAGTTCAAGACCAACCTGGGCAAGATATTGAGACCCCCATCTCTAAAAAAAAAAAAAAATTTTTTTTTTTTTAATTAGCTGGGCATAGCTACGCACCTCTGTAGTCTTAGCTATTTGGTAGCCTGAGGTGGGAGGATCGCTTGAGCCCACATGTTCAAGGTTGCAGTGAGCCATGATTGCACCACTGCACTCTAGCCTGGGTGACAGAGCGAGACCTTATCTCAAAAAAAGAAAAAAGAAAGAAAGAGAAAGAAAGAGAGAGAGAAAGAGAGAAAGAAAAAAGAGAGAAGAAAGACGAACAGATATCCCATCTGACACATGTAATTCATGTAGCAAGTTCCCCAGACACTTATCAGGTGCCAAGCACTCTTCTGGGTACTAGGGGTGCAGCAGTAAACCCATTGGATTATATCCCTGCCTTCCTAGAGTATACATTCCAGTCATGGGTGACAAACAGACAGTAAACAAATAAGCAAATTAATCTGATAATTCCAGTGAAATCTTCATAGAAGAAATAAAGCAATGGTGAGGAAATAGCAAGTGTTCTGGGCCAGGCGCAGTGGCTCACGCCTGTAATCCCAGCACTTTGGGAAGCCGAGGCAGGAGGATCCTTTGACCCCAGGAGTTGGAGACCAGCCTGGGCAACATGGAGAATCTGTGTCTCCACAAAAAGCACAAAAATTAGCCAGGTGTGGTGGGAGGAGCCTATAATCTCAGCTACTTAGGAGGCTGAGGTGGGAGGATGGCTTGAGCCCAGGAGTTCGAGGCTGCAGTGAGCCATGATTGCACCACTGCACTCCAGCCTGGGTGACAGAGCAATACCCTGTCTCTTTTTTTTTTTTTTTTTTTTGAGACAGAGTCTCTCTCTGTCACCCAGGTTGGGGTGCAGTGGCTCAATCTCGGCTCACTGCAACCTCTGCCTCCTGGGTTCAAGCAATTCTGCCTCAGCCTCCTGAGTAGCCCGGGCTACCACTGCCTAGCTAATTTTTGTATTTTTTTAGTAGAGACGGGGTTTCGCCACGTTGGCCAGGCTGGTCTTGAACTCCTGACCTGAGGTGATCTGCCCGCCTTGGCCTCTCAAAAGTGCTGGTATTACAGGCGTGAGCCACCGCACTGGGCTGACTTTGTCTCTTAAAAGAAAAGAAAGTGTTCTAAAGGTGAAGGGATGAGCAGTGAGGGAAGGCCTCTCTGAGAAGGTACTGATATGATTTGAGACCCAAATGGGAACAGGAGTCAGCCCTGGGAAGATGGGGCTTGGGAGGTGGGGAGAAGAACATTCCAGGCAGAAGGAAGAAAAGGGAAAAGGCCCTGTGGTGGGAGCGAGCTCAGCATGTTTGAGGGACAGCAAGGCTAGCGAGCCCAGAGTGAAGTAAGGTCAGCAAGGGGCCAGGCCATATAGCACCTTGAAGTCCCCGGGAAGGGGTCTCTATTTTATTCTACATGTTACGGGCAGCCCTCGGAGGGTTTTAAGCAGAAAGGTGAATTGATCTGATTTACCTCTTTGAAAAATCGATCCGGCCACTGGGTGGAGAATGGCCCTGGAGGAGGCAGACAGGGATGCAGACAGACCCACGAGTAGGCTTTTGCAGAGTCCAGGTGAGGGATGATGCTGGATGAGAGTGAGGGTAGGAGAGGCAGACAAAGGTGATGAGATCTGGGATATGTCTTGGAGGTAGAATGGACAGATGTTGCTGATGGAATGGATATTGGGGATGAGGGAAAGGGAGAGAACTTGAATGATTTCTAGGTTTTTGACCTGAGCAACCAGGTGGATGGTGGTGACATTTATTGAGATTGAGAAAATTTGGGGAGGAAAATATCTGGGGCAAGGATTGGACATGTTAAGCTTGATATTCCAGGAGGTGCTAGAAAAACCTCAAACAGTGGCTGAAATACCCAAAGTGCTATAGTTTCAGCTACTCATGAAGCTGAGGCAGGAGGACTGCTTGAGCATAAGAGTTTGAGTCCAGCCTAGGCAACATAGTGAGACCTCATCTCTAAAATAAATTAAAAAAATAAAAATACCCAAAGCGTTACACTAAAACATAAAAGAAGTCCAGAACTAGGAGTTGAGGGCTGTTACAGCAGCTCCACATCTTCACCAGAGACTCAGGCACCTTCCAGCTCTTGGTTCCGCCATCCCCACTGCTCTTGTCCTCATGGTTCAATATGGCTGCCTAAATTCCACGCGTCACACTGTTAGTTCCAGGTGGCACAAAGGTGACTCAGTAGAAAAAGGGTTTGTCCACCTGTTTCAGGAAGTCCTCCCAAAATTGTCACGCAACATTTTGGCTTATATCCAACTGGACAAAATTTTATCAGATGGCTTTACCTTGCTGCAAGGAGACTGAGGAATGCCTTTTTCTGCTGGACATAGTGCAACCATAAAATACAACCAGTGTTCTTTTCTTTTACTGAGGAGAAAGGGAAAAATGGATGTCAGAATAGGAAGCCAGAAGTCTCTGTCTCCATCCCCCAGAAATAATCTTTTCTACCCCTCAACTTCCAAATTAGGTTACCTACCCTCTTACAGAAAACATAACACTTTCTTTTATTTATTTCTTTTTTTTTTTTCTTTTTTGAAACGGAGTCTTGCTCTGTCACCCAGGCTGGACTGCAGTGGCGCGATCTTGGCTCACTGCAACCTCTGCCTCCCAGGTTCAAGCGATTCTTATGCCTCAGCCTCCTGAGTAGCTGGAATTACAAGCACCCACCACCACACCTGGCTAATTTTTGTATTTTTAGTACAGACGGGGTTTCACCATGTTGGTCAGGCTGGTCTCGAACTCCTGACCTTGTGATCCGCCCACCTCGGCCTCCCAAAGTGCTGGGATTACAGGTGTGAGCCACCGTGCCCAGCCACATAACACTTTTGATTACCGTGATTGGTTCCTACCTTCCCATAAATCTTAAAGGGCAGGGACCTCATCTAACTCATCTCTGACTACTCAGCCCCTGAAAACCTACGTGATGCTCAGGAAATACTCCTGAATGAATGCAACCCAGCACCTGAATGTAAAAGACATGGATAGTTATCCAGCACTTAAAGACAAATAGCCAGATCTAATCATGGCATATTCCTGCTTCAAAACCTTCACTGGCCCTTAGGATGAAAGCAAATCTCCTAGGTTGGCATTCGAGGCCCATCACAAGCGGCTCTCACAACCCCCTGCCAATGATGGACACTTAATCCAGACAGCCAGGAGTGGATATACAGATTCAGGATACAGAATCAGAGATTTGGACGAAGATTTTGGCACTGCCACTCTTGGCTGTGAACTTGGGCAAGTCATTTCATCTCTGTGGGCCAATTTTCTCACCTATAAAATGGGAATGGGAGCAGGACACGATAGCTCAAGCCTGTAATCCCAGCACTTTGGGAGGCCGAGGCGGGTGGATCACGAGGTCAGGAGTTCCAGACCAGCCTGGCCAAGATGGTGAGACCCCGTCTTTACTAAAAACACAAAGATTAGCCAAGTGCAGTGGCAGGTGCCTATAATCCCAGCTACTTGGGAGGCTGAGGCAGGAGAATTGCTTGAACCCGGGAAGTGGAGGTTGCAGTGAGCCGAGATCGTACCACTGCACTCTAGCCTGGGCGACAGAGCAAGACAATGTCTCAAAAAAAAAAAAAAAAAAAAAAGAAAAGAAAAATGGAAATGGGGGAAAATGGGGATAATAGTAGCGCAGGCCGGGCAAAATGGGGATAATAATAGCGCAGGCCGGGCACAGTGGCTCATGCCTGTAATCCCAGCACTTTGGGAGGCCGAAGCAGGCAGTTCACTTGAGCTCGCAAGTTCAAGACCAGCCTGGGCAACACGGTGAAACTCCGTCTCTAAAAAAATACAAAAGTTAGCCAGGTGTGATGTTGTGCACCTGTAGTTCCAGCTACTGGGGAGGCTGAGGTGGGATCACTCGAGCCTGGGAGGCAGACATTGCAGTGAGCTGAGATCGTGCCACTGCACTCCAGCCTGACCTTGTCTCAAATTAAAAATAATAATAATAATTGGCCAGGCGCGGTGGGTCGCACCTGTAATCCCTGGACTTTGGGAGGCTGAGGCAGGCGGATCACTTGAGGCCAGGAGTTCGAGACCAGCCAGGCCAATATGGCTAAACTCTGTCTCTACTAAAAATAAAAATTAGCCCGGCATGGTGGTGCATGCCTGTAATTCCAGCTACTTGGGAGGCTGAGGCTGAAGAATCGCTTGAACTTGGGAGGTGGAGGTTTCAATGAGCTGAGATCACACCACTGCACTCCAGCCTGGGCAACAGAGCAATACTCTGTCCCAAAATAATAATAATAATGATAATAATCATGTCTACCTTACACAGGGATTGTGAGGATTAAAGGTAAGTTATATGGGTAATGCCCTTAGCACAGGGACTAACACTGCAAGTACCTAATAATTGGTAGCTATGGGGGTTATTGTTATTTTGAAGACAACAGATGATGATATTAATGCTGATGATTAGTCTTGGCTTTCAGCTTTCCTAAATGCTTTTCTCTGATGGTTCTAGATTCCCCACCTTGTTTTTCTGATGGATTAATCAGGGTAGGTTAAAGGCTGTAACAGACACCCCTGAAATCTCAATGGCTTAACAAAAAGGTATATTTCTTGCTCATATCACAGTCCTATACAGGCGGGTCATGGGGGACAGTCAGTTAGAGACCCAGGTTCCTTCTGGCTTGTGATTCTGCCCTCCTCTAGGCTCCTTGGAGTCCTCTCTGTTCAGCCAGTGTGAAGGATTATGAGGGAGATGGGTCAGGCTGCAAGAGGTGTTTCTCTTCCACCTACATCCCATTGGCCAGAATTGGTCACATGGCCCCACCTAACTATAAAGGATGCTGGGAAGTATAGCCTAATTATGTATTGTATCAGTTAACTTTAGCAGTAGAACAGATCACCCACAACTTAGGAGCTTAAAACAACCACCACCTTATTTGTTCATGATTCTGGGGTTCAGCAGTTTGGGCTGTATCAGATGGGCAGATCTTTTATTGGTCTCAACTGGGGTCACTTGTGTGGCTGCTGTCAGCTGGTGGGGCAGCTGGGGCTGGATGATCCAGGATGGCCACACTCACACAGCTGGCGATTGGTGCTGGCTGCCGGCTGGGCTTCTCTTTCACCATGATTGTTCATCTGCAAAGACACTAGTCTGGGTATCTTCATGCAACAGTCTTAGGGCAGGAGTGGAAGCTACAAGGCCTCTTCAGGCCTAGGCTCAATATCACTTCTAGCAAATTCTATTGGTCAAAGCAACTCTCAAGGCTTACCCAGACTAGTAGGGGACAAAGTGCCTTCTCAATGGGAGGAATGGCAAAATCAACTTGCAAAGGGCATGTCCAGGGACAGGAGAATATTACGGCTATCTTTGCAAACGGGCTACAACATGTGCCCAGGTGTGAAAGATGAGGCTTGGTGAACACACAGCAGTCTCCCACACCTTGTGAACTCCTGCTTACTCTTTTTTTTCTTTCTTTTTTTTTTTGAGACAGAGTCTCGCTCTGTCGCCCAGCCTGGAGTGCAGTGGCTCCATCTCGGCTCACTGCAACTTCCAACTCCCGGGTTCAAGCGATTCCCCTGCCTCAGCCTCCCGAGTAGCTGGGACTACAGGTGCGCACCACCACACCCAGCTAATTTTTTTTTTTTTTTTGTATTTTTAGTAGTGACAGGGTTTCACCATGTTGGCCAGGATGGTCTCTATCTCTTGACCTTGCGATCCGCCCACCTCGGCCTCTCAAAGTGCTGGGATTACAGGCATGAGCCACCGCGCTCAGCCTCCTGCTTACTCTTTAAGATCCAGATCCAATGGAGCTTTCTTGCAGAGCCCTCTCTGGCTACCCATCTCTCTAGGCAATTCTATAATAGTCCTCCCTTGCTCTGGGCTCCTAGTGTGCCCTGTGCTGCCCTCATTAGAGCATATTCTACTAAATCTTGACTGCAGCTCTTTTAGAGTAGGGAGCAGATTTCCTCCCTGTCCTGGACTCTAGCCTGCAGGAAATGTTCAGTGCAATGGAATGAATGAGGGGAAAGAGAGGGATTGGAGGTTTGGATGGGGAAGAGGGAGAAAGAAAAAATTGAATTGCAGCTCTCAGTAAGTCTTCTATCCTGTCTCTTTGTCTAATCGTCCAGGGGCAGGACAGGAAGTACAGACAGAGAACGTGACAGTGGCTGAGGGTGGGGTGGCTGAGATCACCTGCCGTCTGCACCAGTATGATGGGTCCATAGTTGTCATCCAGAACCCAGCCCGGCAGACCCTCTTCTTCAATGGCACCCGTGGTGAGTGCTGGGGACCAGACTCAGGAGTCTTAAAGGAAGAGAGGGCTGGGGCCCAGGCTCCCATGTCCTGAAAGAGGACACACCTGAGAGTTTGGTCTCCTGGGTCTCGGAGAAGAAAGGGCTGGGGTCCCGGACTGCTGGTCCTGCAGGCAGGAGGACTTGAATAATGCTGGGTCCTCAAGGGAGTAAATAGTTGGACACCTCAGACTCATAGATATGGCTGGAGAAAAGAGGCAGAGGGCTGGACTCTAAGCTCCTGTCGGAAGGGTGGGACTTGTGAGGCCAGGACTCCCGAAATTCACACCTTCCCCCTCACTCTCTCTAGCCTTGAAGGATGAGCGTTTCCAGCTTGAGGAGTTCTCCCCACGCCGGGTGCGGATCCGGCTCTCAGATGCCCGCCTGGAGGACGAGGGGGGCTATTTCTGCCAGCTCTACACAGAAGACACCCACCACCAGATTGCCACGCTCACGGTACTAGGTAACGCCCTCCCCCTTGTCAGACGCATCCTCTCCTCCTTTCTTCTCTGCTTCTCTCTTCTCCTGAGACTTTCAGACCATGGCTATTTTTAACATCCTGGATGGGCATCTGGCTCCTGACCTCTCCCCTTTGACCCCTGCCACCTGGGACCCTGGTTCCCTATGGTCGCTGGGAACAGGCAGCTCGATCGCTTTGAGCCCACGTTCGTGCCTTCTTTAACCCCTTACTTCCCTTCTCCCTGCGGCAGTGGCCCCAGAGAATCCTGTGGTGGAGGTCCGGGAGCAGGCGGTAGAGGGCGGCGAGGTGGAGCTCAGCTGCCTCGTTCCGCGGTCCCGTCCGGCTGCCACCCTGCGCTGGTACCGGGACCGCAAGGAGCTGAAAGGTACCCTGGGCCGAGTGCTGACAAGGGATGGGGAGGAGGTGGGACTTAGGAGAGGTTGTTTATATGTGGAGAGGAGCCACAGGTTTTCACAGACACTGGACATTCAATATGTAGTGGTTGATGTCGAGCGCGGTGGCTCACGCCTGTAGTCCTAGCACTTTGGGAGGCTGAGATGGGAGGATTGCTTGAGGTCAGGAGTTCAACCTGCCCAACATTGTGAGACCCTGTCTCTAAGTATATATATAAATTTATGTTTTTATATATATAGCAATTAAATGGATTGATAGACGAGAAAGCATGAGCGTGAAAGAGGGAAGAGCTTTGGGAGGAGGCACGTGGGCTTGGTTAGGGGAGGGGCGTAGCTTGGAGGACAAGAGGCGGGGCCTGTGGGTAAGGGGTGGAGCTTGGCAAATAGCCTGCTTTGGCGTTGGCTCGGGTGGGTGGGTGGATGGAGCCGGAATTGTGGCCTGACAGTGTCTGACCGGGGTGTGGCAGGAGTGAGCAGCAGCCAGGAAAATGGCAAGGTCTGGAGCGTGGCAAGCACAGTACGGTTTCGTGTGGACCGTAAGGACGACGGTGGTATCATCATCTGTGAGGCGCAGAACCAGGCGCTGCCCTCCGGACACAGCAAGCAGACGCAGTACGTGCTGGATGTGCAGTGTAAGTGACCGGCGGGCCAGGACCCAAGGGATCCCAACGCCAGCCACCCGCACCCGCGAGGGTCCCCCTTGTCCTGCGTGATGGCTTGGAAACTACTCTCTCCTCTTACTTTTGCCTAACAGACTCCCCCACGGCCCGGATTCATGCCTCCCAAGCTGTGGTGAGGGAGGGAGACACGCTGGTGTTGACGTGTGCTGTCACGGGGAACCCCAGGTGAGCTCTGGGGGCCTCCTGCGTCCTCAGGAGGAGAAAGCTGGGGACCTGGAAGAACAGGGACCAGGGACTTGGACTCCTGGGTCCTAAGGAGGAGAGAGCTGAGGACCTGGACAAACAGGGAGCTAGGACCTGGATTCCTGGGTCCTGAGGAGGAGAGAGCTGGGGACCTGGACGAATAGGGATCTGGGACCTGGACTCCTGGATCCTGAGGGAGGAGGAATCTGGAGGCTCAGACTCCCCAATACTGAAGCTGTGCAGCCTCAGACTCCTGGTTGCTGAGGATGGAATGGCGTGGGAGGGCTAGAATTATTATTATTATTATTATTATTTTTTAATTGTAGTGACGGGGTCTCCCTGTGTTGCCCAGGCTGGTCTGGAACTGCTGGCCTTAAGCAGTCCTCCCGTCTCAGCCTCCTAAAGTGCTGGGATTGCAGGCATAAGCCACCATGTTCAGCCTGGGCTAGAATTCCTGAGACCTTGGTGATGGGTGGAAGTAGGCCCAGGACTGTTGGTTTTCCAGAAAGGAAAGAGATAGCAGGAAGCCTCTTATTTGGAGGTCCCTGCGGGATGAGAGTTGCATGTCTAGATTCTTGACAAGTCAGAATTGGGTGCTGGCACCTCGGTTCCTAACTCTCACTATACTTTATCCCCACCCAGGCCAAACCAGATCCGCTGGAACCGCGGGAATGAGTCTTTGCCGGAGAGGGCGGAGGCCGTGGGAGAGACGCTCACGCTGCCGGGTCTGGTATCCGCGGATAACGGCACCTACACTTGCGAGGCGTCCAATAAGCACGGCCATGCGAGGGCGCTCTACGTACTTGTGGTCTACGGTGAGAGCAGGCTGCGGCCGACTGAGGGCGGGGGCGGGGCGCCAGGTGGCGGGGGCGGGGCTTGAGCAAAGAGGCCACATAACTCAGGGGTTCGGCAGCCAACAGAGTTCTTTTTGTTTTGGGACCAGACTGGCCCGCGGGGCTCAAATTCGGGTTGGCTGCATTCTATTGCAGGTAACCGAACCTGTCTGCGCCTCAGTTTACCCATCAGTAAAGTGGAAATAAACAATAGCACCTATATAACAAGGCTGTTGTGAAGATTATGTGAACTAAATATGTAAGGTGGTTGGAATGGGCTCTAGCACACAGCTGTTCTGTGTTTAGCTCTATGACGGTGGGGCAGAAATTTTGGTAGTTGGGCCCAGCACTTTAAATACTTGGAGCGTTTTAGACAAGGTGGGAAGGGACTTGGACCTGTTTCTTGGACTCTGTTTCTTAGTGGAGGAAGAAACTTGAGTCAAAAGAAAAGGGATGGCTGGGTGCGGTCGCTCACGCCTCTAATCCCAGTACTTTGGGAGGCCTAGGCCGGAGGATCGCTTGAGCCCAGGAGTTTAAGATCAGCCTGGGCCACATAGTGAGACCCCCGTCTCTGCAAAAGAAAACAAGAAAAAGAAAAGGAAAATGTAACATGACTCAGGGGAGGGGTCGGGCAGTGTACAAACCAACAAGCATCTGGAAAGAGAAGAGACTACAAGGTGGCAGTAATTTTTGAGGGGTGTGGCACATAAAAGGGCACGGTTAGACGTGTGCAGAATGGCTTAAAAGCTTGGCAGCGATGGGGCCAGACTGGGATCGTCCTCTGATGACCTGGTCCTGTGCCGTGTCCCTCTGGCAGACCCTGGTGCGGTGGTAGAGGCTCAGACGTCGGTTCCCTATGCCATTGTGGGCGGCATCCTGGCGCTGCTGGTGTTTCTGATCATATGTGTGCTAGTGGGCATGGTCTGGTGCTCGGTACGGCAGAAGGGTGAGTGGGACGGGGCCTGGACTCTACGGTTGGTTGGTTGTAGGGCTCGGAAAGAGGCGGGGCCTAGAGCCAGGGTAACGAGAGGGCGGAGCCTAGGCTCTGGATTCCAAATCCCGCCGCACCGGGGGCGGAGATGACAAAGGGGGCGGGGCTTTCGGCACAATACTCGAAAAGGGGTAGAATTTAGAAGCTGAATTAAAAGCATAGATTTGCGGTTGGGCGCGGTGGCTCACGCCTGTAATCCCAGCACGTTGGGAGGCCAAGGCGGATAAAGCACTTGAGAAGCTAGGAGGTCGAGACCAGCCTGGGCACCATGGCGCAGCCCCTTTTCTACTAAAAATACAAAAAATTAGGGGAAAAAAAGAGCATGGATTTGAATAAAACAATTTATTTTCCTAATTGCTGAATTCGCTGGGAGCAGGGCAAGGAAATACCTCCAAGAGAAAGGATAAGGGTGGCACTTTCGGTGAGCTTTTGGAGTCTTCCTAATTCTGCTTTTACCTCTTTCTCTGCCACTGTTTACCTCTTTCTCTGCCTCTCCCTGTGTGTTCCGTTTCTCCCTCTTCCTTCGCCTGGCATGTGTCTTGTCTGTCTCCCTCTTCCCTTATACTTCTGTCCAACTCCTGGATCCACAAATATGTCCCCCCTGCCCCGGGGGTCTGTCACCCCCTCAGGTTCCTATCTGACCCACGAAGCCAGTGGCTTGGATGAACAGGGAGAAGCAAGAGAAGCCTTCCTCAATGGCAGCGACGGACACAAGAGGAAAGAGGAATTCTTCATCTGACCCTATCCCCACCCCAGGCCTAGGCCTGGGCCTGGGCTGGGGTCCCCCCCACTGCCAGCTGCAAGGAACCAGCAAAGACATTTACCAGAGTCTGGGATGGTGGGCTTCTCCCCCCACCACTAACACCTCAGACGCTTGGGCAGGGATGGGGGTGTTGGATGCCTGGATCTCTGTAAGGGCCAGAAGTGAGGGCCCAGAGGTCTGGGTCCCCCAGGGGGCAGGGGCCAAAGGTCCAGACCCCCCAAGTCCAGTGAGGGCAGTAGGGATTGGGTTGGGGGAAGATAACTGGGGGAAGGCCAGGGCCCCTAGGCTACAAAACCAGGTCTTGTGGGGAGGGGGTCAGTTTCTGGGAAGGGTGGGGGGGGCAGGGAAGGGGAACACAGATTTCTTTGGGGGTCCTAGACCCCATGCCAGCCATTGTAAGAGTTCCACAGAGCTCTGGGCACTTCTTTGCAAAGCCATGTTTGCACGGTGGGGGGATGGGTGGGGGGAGGGCGTGGAAATAGGGATTCTGTGTCTTTGTGTCATAACTTTGATGGGGGCAGTGAGGGAGACAGCCCCAACCCTTTTCTCCAATCCCCCTTCCCCAGGTTCCTGGGCTCCCCTTCTCTCTACCTTCTCCCCCAACGTCTGTCCCATCCATATTTGTCTCTCTGTCCACCCACTCCTGGGGGGGCCTTCCCCATCTCTCCTCCAGGCCCCCCGGGGAGGGGGAAAGGAGTTTGGGGAGGATTCGTGGTCTTCATGGTTTTATATATAATATATTAAAAAATCAAAAGTCTGTATGAAAATATCAGATTGCACCCCCCTCTCCCCATTCCTGGCTTTTGCCCCCTTTTTCTTGTTAAAAAACAAAAAACAAAAAACAAAAAACCACACACACATTTTGTACGGGGTGGGGAGGGGAATGGGGAGGGGGTTTGGCAATCTCACTAACCACCATTAAACTGAGGAGAGAACAAGTGTTTGGGGTGGCTGTGTGTCTGTCCTGCTGTCAAGGGCTGTACCATTGGGAGGGGAACTAAGGGAGAGGGGAGGGAGGAGTGTGATGGTTGCTGGTGGACAGTATAGGCCAGGAGAAGGTCCTGACCTCACTGAGGGTACCTCGACCTCCCCAGAAACCTGGGTTTGGCCATTTCTTCAGCCAAATAGTCACAGTCTTGTCTTTTTGATAGCGACTGAGCTACCCCATTCCATGGCCCGGACCCTTACCCTGGCTTCCCCCTACCCCAGACATTAGTCTCCAAGGGAACTTTGAATTAAAGTTAAACTCTCAAAACCTTTGCCTAGCTCCCCATCACCTTTAGACCAAGTCAAAGCTCTTTAGTCTGGCATCCCAGGCCTCTCATTCATTCATGTACATTTTAGATGTATTATTCTAACTTTAAAAAATAACCTCTTACGATGTGCCAGGTGCTGCTCAAAGTTCTAGAGTCCATGGTGAATAAAACAGGCAAATGTTAAGTGTTAAAGACAGCGCTACACTAATCTGAAATCTGATCCTGCTCTAAGCATTGAGAACCCAAAGTGAAAAAGGGCGACTCCATTCTTACCCTCATGAAGCTTTCATGAGGAAAACACTCAAAACAAGGAAGCAAAGAAAGTTCAGATTGTGATAAGAACTATTAATATAAATGCAGAGTATGGTGATGTGGTATGCCATTGTCATTATGGAAAACTTCAAACCCACAGGAGTAGACAGGACAATAACGTCCCATGTACTCTTTTTTTTGAGACCAAGTCTCGCTCTGTCGCCCAGGCTGGAGTGCAGTAGCGCCATCTCGGATCACTGCAAGCTCCGCCTCCCGTGTTCACGCCATTCTCCTGCCTCAGCCTCCCGAGTAGCTGGGACTACAGGCGCCTGCCACCACGCCCGGCTAATTTTTTTTTTTTTTTTTTTGTATTTTTAGTAGAAATGGTCTAGGATGGCCAGGATGGTCTCGATCTTCTGACGTGATCCGCCCGCCTCGGCCTCCCAAAGTGCTGGGATTACAGGCGAGACCCAGAGTCTCGCTGGGTGGCCCAGGCTGGAGTGCAGTGGCTCAATCTCGACTCAATGCAACCTCTGCCTCCAGGGTTCAAGTGATCTTCGTGCCTCAGCCTCCCAAGTAGCAAGGATTACAGGCACCCCCCATAACCCCTGGCTAATTTTTGTAGTTTTAATAGAGGCAGGGTTTCACCATGTTGCCCAGGCTGGTCTCAAGCTCCTGACCTCAGGTGATACACCAGCCTCGGCCTCCCAAAGTGCTGGGATTACGGGCGTGAGCCACCGCGCCCAGCCCCATGTACTCTTCATGCCAGTTACAACCACCACCAACTCATGGCCAATCCCGATTTATCCATAACTCCAGTCAAATGTGTAAGTGCTATTATGGAGAGATCAGGAAAAGCCTCTCAGATTGACATCTGTACCAAGATATGAATGGTGAGCACAAGAGTAGGTATTCAAAGGTCAGAGGGAAAAGCATTTTCAGGCGGAGGGAACGGCAAGAGCAGAGGCCCGAGCTGGTAAAGAGTTTGGGGTAAGGTGGAGCTGGACAGAAATGGAGGGAGGAGGAAGTAGGTGGGGTCAGAAAGATAAGCACGGCCAGACCAGGTGTATAGCCCTGAGGCCATGATAAAGATTTTTGGATTTTTTTTTTTTCCTAATGGGATCCCTTTGGGGGAGTTTTAAGCCAGAATGTGACAAAGTCACTTACAGGAAGACTGGAATGTAGCCATAGTTGAACTCTAACATCGTCTATAGAACCATTTCCCGTCTCCAGTTAGGTTCTAGGCATACTAAGCTGCTCTTGCTTCCTCAATCAAAACATGCGCTTCTATTTTTTTTTTTTTTTTTTTGGCCTCTGGGCCTTGGCGCTTGCAGTTCATTCTGCCAGACCCATTCCCATTCTAGTTGGCTCCTATTCGTACTTGGCTTAAGGATCACCACCTCCTGGAAGTCTTTCTAGAACCAGAGGCCGGGGCAAGCGCCTCTTAGGCTCCCACAGCCCCCTGTGTTCCTCACTCCAGGTCTGACCTTCTGGGTAGTAGTTGTCTAATTAGGTGCGTATCTCCTTCGACTGGGGTGCCGTGAGTACAGGAGTATGGTTCACTGCAGAAACCACAGAATCCGCCAGCATGGGGCCTGACACCTAGGAGATCAATAAACCTTTATCCTGGTTGGGAGGGGTCCTGGCCCTCGTGCCCTCTCTCAGGATGCAAACTGATCCCCTACGAAGACAAGGCTACCCACTTCGCGTCAGTCTGCAGTCCCTGCGCGCATGCGCTTTGCTCAGGTTGCCCCCGCCATATGCTAATCACTGCGCTCTGGAGTAAGGCCCCTCCGGGGAATATGCAAATCACTCCTTCCAGTGCGGGAGGCCTTTCATTGTCCCGCGCTAGGATTATGCAAATAAGCAGGCCTCGGGCCCAGGATCCAGTCCGAACTAGCGCCCTCCACCCCCAGCGCATCCCAGTTTTGTAAGGCGCGTTCCTGCCCCGCACACGCACGCGCGAACCCTTCAGCTTCTTGTTCCTTTGGGCCGCGGGCTGTACCAAGTAAACCCAGGCAGCGAGGGGCAAAGCACGGCGCCCCCCGCGCGGGTCTCGTCGACGGCCCGACGCGCATAGCCCCTCTTCCCACAGCGCTACAGGACTAGTCCGTCTCGCCGCGCAAGCGCCCTAGGCTCTTCACGCCCCCTGCGCGCTGTCCTACCCTACTTGCGACGCAGGCGCAGAGGCTGGGCGTGCAGCCGCCGCCGCAGAGCCGGAGCGGGGGCCGCCGGCGCCGGTGAGTGTCCCGGGCAGGGGTGCGCGAGGCATGCCGGGAAGCGGGCGCTACGGCCCCGCTGCATGATGGGAGCGACGACTCCCGTCACCGGGGAGCCGGCGGTCTGGGGCCGTGGTGACCCGAGGGCTTCTTTTTCTCCCCCTACGCGTTTGTGCCGCCCTGGGGCATCCTGGGAGAACCGAGCGCTCCGCCTTGAAGCGCTGTGGGAGTCGGTCCGCTAGTCGTAGGCCTGGTGCATCCTGGGAAAGAGTGTCCCAGATCCTTGTCGAGACCGGTTCCTTTTATCCCACACCTGCCGCTGACCGTCCTGGAGGCTTGGAGCGCTTCCACACGGGGAGTCTGGGAAGGTGGTCGCTATAGGCCTAAGGCATCCTGGGAAGAACTGCCACAACGAATTGTGGGAACTGGCCGTTATTGTCCCGTAGTGGAAGGTTTTGCCCTGGTCTCTTTGCTCGAGCATTGGAACGGGTGCCTATTGTGTTCACGCGGGGCATCTTGGGAATTGACTGCTATAGGCCCAGGGCATTGTGGGGTCTCCAGCACTGTGTTTGCCTTTCAGTTTGGCTGCCATAGGCGTGGTAGGAGTGGGACTTGTGAACCAAGGGATGGCCCTACCTGACGTCTGGAATACTCTGGAAGGGGCCTTGTGTGACGTGGGCTTGGAAAAGTGTAGGCTGATGGGCATTGTCTCCTGGTAACTTCAGGGAATGTCTTGATTGTCCCAGGTGTGTGGTTGCCGTATAAAATATACAATGTCTAGTTAAATTTGAATTTCAGATAAACAATTATATCCAAAAGATACAACCTTTTAGAAAAGTATGTCCCAAATATCACATGGAACATAGCTATATTAATTCTTTGGGCTAGTTGCAGTGATACCAATACTTTGGGAGGCTAAGGCAGGAGGATCGCTTGAGACCAGGAGTTCAAGACCAGCCTGGGCAATATAGTGAGACCCCCGTCTCTACAAAAAAAAAAAAAAAAAAAAAAAGTAAAAATTAAGCCTGGCATGGTGGCGCATACCTGTAGTCCCAGCTGCTCTCCTAGGGGCTAGTAGGGTACCTTGAGCACAGGAGTTTGAGGTTACAGTGAGCTAACCTCCCAACCTGGTTATGGGGGAGTACATGAGTTAAGGCCTGGAAGCCCCTTTCCTACAGATCACCCTACTGCACTCCAGCCTGGGCAACTGAGCGAGACCCTGTCTCTTAAAAAATATAAATAAGTAGGCTGGGCGCGGTGGCTCACGCCTGTAATCCCAGCACTTTGGGAGGCCGAGGCGGGTGGATCACGAGGTCAGGAGATCGAGATCATCCTGGCTAACACGGTGAAACCCCATCTCTACTAAAAATACAAAAAATAGTCGGGCGTGGTGGCAGGCGCCTGTAGTCCCAGCTACTCGGAAGGCTGAGGCAGGAGAATGGCGTGAACCCAGGAGGCGGAGCTTGCAGTGAGCCGAGATCGTGCCACTGCACTCCAGCCTGGGCGACAGAGCAAGACTCCGTCTCAAAAAAAAAAAAAAAAAAAAAAAAAAAGCCGGGCATGGTGGCACGCGCCTGTAGTCCCAGCTACTTGGGAGGCTGGGGCAGGATAATCGCTTGAACCCAGGAGGCAGAGGTTGCAGTGAGCCGAGATCGCGCTACTGCGCTCCAACCTGGGCGACAGAGTGACACTCCGTCCCAAAAAAGAAAATTAAATAAATAAATAAATAAGGGCCAGGTGTGGTAGCTCATGCCTGTAATCCCAGCACTTTGGGAAGTGGGAGGCCAAGGCAGGAGGATTGTTTGAGCCAGGAATTTGACAGCAGCCTTCGCAACATAGTGAGACACCATCTCCGCAACAAAAACCCAAAAACAAACAAAAAAATTAATTGGATGTCTTCTGTTTTTATTTGCTAAATCTGGCAATCTTATCTTGGTATAAAGTAGAATTCCCAAATTAGATGGGGCCCTGTAGGCAATAGGGTATCATTAGAATTCTCCTCTGCCAATTATGAAATCTGTCTTTAAAAGCCAAGATTTAGGTGCTTTCTTTAGGAAGTTGCCCTGCCAATGATGCCAATGGTCCTTTGCCCCAGCCACCTCCAGGTTTCAATCTGAAGCTTTTCTCTTTAGTCCCCAGCATTAAACTTGACATCCAGACTTTGAAGGGACCATGTATTTTCCACCATTGTATCCCCAGTGCATGGGCCTTGGCATGTAAGAGATATAGCTGAGGCTGCATCAACTGGCCCTGCTTGGTTCTCTACTGTCAGGGAGTACAGTGGAAGACAGTAGTGGTGTGTGTGTGTGGTGGGGTTGGTGGGGGGCGGGGGCGGTCCGTTGGTGAAGAGGGAGAGAGAGAAGTCACAGAAGGCTTCCTGGCAGAGGCAGTATTTCAGCGGGCAAGAAGTATAGAGGTTCTTATGTTTGTGGTGGGCTTTGAAGGGTGAAAAGGAGTTCTCCAGGCCAAAAAGGGGGAAGGAGGGCTGGGCGTGGTGGCTCTTGCCTGTAATCCCAGCACTCTGGGAGGCCAAGGTAAATGGATCACCTGAGGTCAGGAGTTTGAGACCAGCCTGGCTGACATAATGAAACCCTGTCTCTACTAAAAATACCAAAAAATTAGCCGGGCATGGTGGTGGTGGCTGCCTGTAATCCCAGCTACTAGGGAGGCTGATGCAGGGTAGAGGTTGCAGTGAGCTGAGATCGCGCTACTGTACTCCAGCCTGGGCAACAAAGTGAGACTCCATCTCAAAAAAAAAAAAAAAAAGGAGGAGGAGGACATTCTTGACAGCAACAGTGGGTGTACTAAGACCCACAGATGTGAAAAGGCCTTGTGTGCACAGGGAGAGATGAGAGGTCTGGAACATCTGGAGTTTATAGAGGGGCAGGGGTGGGAGTAGTAATGGCCACTCTTGATGGAATACCAGCCACACACCAGCAATTTCTATCAGTGAGCCTACTGAATCTTCAGAAAAACCTTTTGAGCTGAGAAATCATTTTATGAAAGGTCTGGCTTCCAATCCTAGTTCATCCACTTACCAGATGGTGACCTTGGGCTACTCACTTATCACCTCTGTGTCTGTTTCCTCATCTGTACAAAGGAGATAATTCCCAGTCTAGTTATGGGGAGTACGTGAGTTAAGGCCTGGAAGCCCCTTTCTTCCAGAGAAGGAAACAGGCTAGAGAAGTTAAGTTCTTTGCTTGGTGCTACACAGCTAGAGTGTGGCAAACCTAGACACTATCTTGCCAATTGATACAGAACTAAGGCTGATAATCACAAACTAGTATAGCCATACCAATTGTTTAAATATTAAAATACTTCCAGATGGGTTGGTGTGTCACTGCTACACAAGTACTCCCTGTCCCTAACTGCCACTTTGGACCCCCCTTGTGGTATTATATATATAAATATATTGGTTTTCATCCACAGTTCCTGGCTGGTAACTCCTACAGCCTTTGTTACAGTCTCTTGTTATAATGTTGTGTACCTTAGGCCTGGGGCAGGTCTGAAGAAACAGAATCTCTCTGACCTCCTCCTGCCCTCCATTTCCTGCCCCAGGGCAAGACTCTAATCTTCCCCACCTTCTTGATTGTTGGTCTTAAGACACTTTTCAGAGAAGTCCATGCCCAATGCTGCTGTCTTAAAGCCTCCGTAAAAACCCAAGAGGACTGGGTTTGGAGAGCTTCCGCATAGCTAACCACCTGAGGGTTCCTGTAGGGTAGCACCCCAGGGAGGGCGTGAAGCTCCCTGCCCCTTCCCTTATACCTTGCCCTACACATCTCTTCATCTTTGTTCTTTGCAATATCCTCTATAATAAACCAGTAAATCTAAGTAAGCATTTCCTTGAGTTCTGTGAGCAGCTCCAGCAAAAATTTTTTTTTTGTAAGATGGGTCATCCAGGCTTGAGTGCAGTGGCAAGGTCACGGCTCACTGCAGCCTTGACCTTCCAGGCTCAATTTATCCTCCTGCCTCAGCCTCTCAGGTAGCTGGGACTATAAGCACATGCCACCACACCGGCTAACTTTTGTAATTTTTTTTTTTTTTTTAGAGACAAGTTTGCCATGTTGCCTAGGCTGGTGTCAAACTCCTGAGCTCAGGTGATCTGCCCACCTCGGCCTCCCAAAGTGCTGGGATTACAGGCATGGGTCACTGCGCCCGGCCTTATTTTTATTTTTTTAAAAAAGTCGGGTGTGGTGGCTCACGCCTGTAATCCCAGCACTTTGGAGGGCTGAAGTGGGCAGATTGCTTGAGCTCTGGGCAACATGGTGAAACCCTGTCTCTTCCAAAAATACAAAAATTAGCTGGGTGTGGGGACAGCGTTGGAATGGAATCGGAGGGGACACCTAGCTGTTGTCTGCTGTGTAGTGTGTGGGGAAAAAGCCCCACACATTTGGTCACAGAATTCTGTGTTGATGATTGTTGTGATAGTGTGAGAGTAGAGGAAAAACACAGTTTGAGGGTTTTTTTTCCCCATAACACTTCCCCAACCCCAGACCTCCCCATGGTCCAGCAACTAAAGGGTTAAGGCCTGGTATCCGTCCCGCTCCACTCTCAGTTCTGATTGGTGCCCACACCAGTCCCCACTGTTGAATATTTGGAGTGTCACCTCTCCCTACCCCACTGAATAAGAACCAGAAGGCAGCCTTGTTGCCCACATGCGGAAATTAAGACCTAGAGAGGGGGACGGGTGCGGTGGCTCATGCCTATAATCCCAGCACTTTGCGAGGTTGAGGCATGTGGATCACCTGAGGTCAGGAGTTCGAGCCCAGCCTGGCCAACATGGTGAAGCCCCATCTCTACTAAAAATACAAAATTAGCCGGGCGTGAGGACGCACACTTGTAGTTCCAGCTACTCGGGAAGCTGAGGTAGGAGAATTGCTTGAGCCTGGGAGGTGGAGGTTGCAGTGAGCTGAGATCACACCACTGCACTCCAGCCTGGGCAACAGAGAGAGACTCTGTCTCAAAAAAAAAAAAGACCTAGAGAGGGGCAGGGCTTGCAGTCAAGACCCTGTAGACAGTCAGGGACAGAGCTGGGGTCCTCTGTGCCCCATGCCAGCAGTGAGCACACAGTTGGGCTTGGTGGGGATGGGTGCTATGTAAAAATTTATTGAATCATCACAGGTCTTTCCTTTCCCCCTATCCAGCATCCCTCTCTACCTGCCAACATCCTGTATTAGAGAACTTGTGGCCGGAGGTGTGGCTGTGGAGAGCTGGCCGGGGAGGGACGCTGCTCAGCTGCTGCTCTGCTCCTGTCTCCTGTCCCCTCCCCCGGTCATGACAGAGACCCGTGAGCCAGCTGAGACTGGGGGCTACGCCAGCTTGGAAGAAGATGATGAAGACCTTTCCCCAGGTAAGGTGGCCTTAGAGGTGGTGGCGTCGGCTTGACTGTCATCCTGGCTTAGGGTTTGGCCCCCACTGGGAAATGTTGATGGGGAGTGGCTGCTTGTCTTGCTAGGGGTTCTATTCTGACTGAGACTGCTTGTCCTAGTAGGGGATCTCTTCCAGTCGGGACTTCTGGGGACTGTAGATTGACTGGGGTCGCTCTCCTTGCTAGAGGTTCTAGATTGGCTATGATTTCCTTCTTTGCTGGGGGTTCTAGATCGGCTATGAGCTTTCTCCTTGCTGGAGGCTCTAGGTCGACTGTAACCACTCTGCTTATTGGGGCTTCTAGATCGGCTGTGATCTCTCTCCTCGCTGGAGCTTCTAGATTGTCTGCGCTCTCTCTCCTTGCTGGGGCTTCTCCATCGTCTGCGATCTCTCTCTTTGCTGGGGCTTCTGGATTGTCTGTGCTCTCTCTCCTCGCTGGGGCTTCTAGATTGGCTGCGATCTCTCTCCTTGTTGGGGCTTCTAGATTGTCTGCGCTGTCTCTCCTTGCTGGGGCTTCTAGATCGTCTGTGATCTCTCTCTTTGCTGGAGCTTCTAGATTGTCTGCACTGTCTCTCCTTGCTGGGGCTTCTAGATCGTCTGTGATCTCTCTCTTTGCTGGGGCTTCCAAGTTGGCTGTGATCTCTTTCCTTGCTGGGGCTTCTAGATCGGCTGCGATCTCTCGCCTTGTTGGGACTTCTAGATCGGCTATGATCTCTTGCCTTGTTGGGACTTCTAGATCGGCTGCGATCTCTCGCCTTGTAGGGACTTCTAGATCGGCTGCAATCTCTCGCCTTGTTGGGACTTCTAGATCGGCTGCGATCTCTCGCCTTGTAGGGACTTCTAGATCGGCTGCGATCTCTCGCCTTGTTGGGACTTCTAGATCGGCTGTGATCTCTCTGCTTGTTGGGGCTTCCTGATTGACTGCGACCACTCTCCTTCCTGGGGCTGCTAGATCCCCTGTGATCTCTCTCTTTGCTGGAGCTTCTGGAATGGCTATGACTTCTTTCCTTGCTGGGGTTTCTAGACCAGTTGTGACTTCTTCCTCTTCTGGGGGTTCTAGATTGGTTTTGACTTTTCCCCTTGCTGTGGCTTCTAGACTGGCTGTGTCTTCCCATCTGGCTCAGAATTCCCTTCCGGGTGCGACTTCTTGCCCTGCTATGGTTTCTCTTCCAACTGTGACTTCTCACTCTGCTGTGCGTCCTCTTCTGACTGCCACTTCTTGACCTTCTGGGGCTTCTAGATTGGCTGTGACTTTGCGGCCTGCTGCGGGTGCTGGCCTGGTTATAACTCTTGACCCTGCTGGACATTTCAGTGGGGCTGTAACTCTTTTCCCTACTGGGGATGATCATCTGACCGTAGCTCTTCACCTTCCTTGATGAGGATGGAGATGGGTTGTCACTCTTCTCCTTGGAGGGAATTCCAGTCGGGGTTTGACACTTGGCTGTACTGGGAGTTACAGCCAGCTCGGAACTCCTCCCTATACCTGAGCCTCCTGGTGGGCGGTAACTCTTCTTGCTCAGATTTCTAGGCTGGCTGTCACTCCTTTCCCTGTTGCTGGTTCTAGGCCGGCCGTAACTCTTTCCCCGGCTCCCTTTTTGCTGTGAAGTGGGAGTTCTCACCCTGCTGGCCATGCCTGGTCTGGCACCATGAGTTCTTATCCTGCCAGGAGTGCTGGCCCTGCTGGGTGACCTCTTGGAGCTGCGGCTTCCCCTTCTGCCAGGTGTCCTACCCCGGCTGTGTGTGCCCCTCCGCTGGTGGCATCTCACGTCGCTGGCCTTGCTGGCTTTGCTGGTCCTGGTGTCGGTGCTCACCCTGCTGGGTGTTCTTGCTTTGCTGCGGACTCGGGACCTGCTGCTGGGCCGGTTAGAAGGGGCTCTTTTTGTACTGGTCGATTTGGTGGACTTGGAACTGCTTGGGCTCATGACTGAGTTACGGGATGTCGCTGGTTTGGTGGGCACTAAGGATCTGTTGGGTGTTGCTGATTTGGTGGACTTCAAGGAGGCAGGAGGCTTGGGATCCGCAGTGGGCATGGAGGATCCACTGGGTGCCAGAGACATACTGGGCTTTGAAGATCTCTTAGGTGAAGACATGGTGGGCGCAAAAGGGCTTGTGGTCCTGGAAGTCACAGTAGACATGAAACACCTGGTAGCCGTGGACGATGACCTGATTGCCTGTCACAGGCCAACTGTGTGAAGTAATAGTGGGCATTGAAGACTCTGGAGGGTGAGTGGTATGAAGTCAGAGGTGGGAGGAGAGAGGGGAGGGGTCCCAGCCTGAGGCTGGAGATATTTCCTCTGGTTTGCAGCCATTCAGCAGATGTCTTCTGAGGCTGACTCATGCCCAGCATTGCTGGGGACACAGAGATGGGGCAGACCCAGGCCCTGCCTTCAAGGAGCCCATAGTCAGTGGGTGGGGAGGGGGGCCACTGCCCAGAGTGGTCAGGGTGTGATGGAGAGCAGTGCAGGGGCCGGGGAGCCCATACGAGAGAGACACTGACCGCTTGGGGAGTCAGCGAGGACTTCACAGAGGAGGTGACATGAGCTTGGCTTTAAAAAGGAGCAGGAGTTTTGCCAGTAGAGAAAGAAAGGGTCAGGCTGGGCGCGGTGGCTCACACCTGTAATCCCAGCACTTTGGGAGGCTGAGGCAGGCAGATCACCTGAGGTCAGGAGTTCAAGACCAGCCTAACCAACAAGGTGAAACCCCATCTCTACCAAAAATATAAAAATTAGCCAGGTGTGATAGCACACGCTTGTAATCCCAGCTACTTGGGAGGCTGAGGTGGGAGGATCGCTTGAACCTTGGAGGCGGAGGTTGCAGTGAGCCAAGATCACGCCATTGCACGCCAGCCTGGGTGACAGCGAGACTCTCTCTCGAAAAAAAAAAAAATGAACGGGTCAACCAGGTGGGCGAGGAGCAGAGGCCAAGGCTTTGGGGAGGGAGATCAGGGTCTTGGGGCCACTATCATCCACTCACCCACACGTCCTCTGCTGCGGACCCCAAGATCATACCTGCCCTTGAGGAGTTCCCAGTCAGATAAGGGAGATACCCTGGGGGGCAGCTGACTGCAGTCAGCTTCTAGGGCAGTAACAGGAGGAGGTGCTGGGGCAGGGGAAGCTGGAGAGAGACCTGGCTGGGAGCCTGGGGCTTCAGGGTGGTGGCTTCACAGAGGACAGAGTTTGTGCTGGGTCTTGAAGGATGAGTAGGGGGTCACCAGGTGGATAGAGTGGGGAACAGCCCATACCAAGGCCTCAGGAAACGATTGTTAAATGGCAGGAACTAGTAGGAGAGAGCTGCAGGGACGGATGTTCAGAAGGAAAGAGTTATAACCTGTTCTGGGCTGGTGATGCTGGGGACCCAGCAGGAGGGTGGTAAAAAAAGTGACTGGCTGCCTGGGATGAGGAGGTCTGGGACGGCCTCACCAAAGAGGAAGGCCTCCCACTGGGTCCTAAAGGATGGTGGGAAAAACTAGGGCAGGACATTCCCACCAGAGGGAGGAACAGTGTGTGTGAAGCCTCAGAAAAGGTTTGTCAAATTCCATGCAGAGATATCCATGCCATAAATATGTCATAAGTACTTTCTTTGCACAAAGGAAGTGTTTTAGATGCTGGGGCCACAGCAGTGAACCAGACAAAGTCCCAGCTCTCGGGGACAGGCAGTAAACAAACACACAAGTAAATGTTGAATGCAGTGAGTCAGAAGATGGAGAAAAATGAGCCGGCTGCGGTGGCTCATACCTATAATCCCAGCACTTTGGGAGGCTGAGATGAGTGGATCACTTGAGGTCAGGAGTTTGAGACCAGCCTGGCCAACAAGGTGAAACCCCGTCTCTACTAAAAATACAAAAATTACCTGGGCATGCTGGTGCGCCCCTGTAATCCCAGTTACTTGAGAGGCTGAGGCAGAAGAATTGCCTGAACCCAGGAGGCGGAGTTTCCAGTGAGCTGAGATCACGCCACTGCACTCCAGCCTGGATGACAGAGCGAGACTCTATCTCAAAAGAAGATGGAGAAAAATCAAGCAGAGTAAGGGGCGTAGGGAGTGCTGGGGAGTGGCCAGGGCGTCACTGAGAAGGTGACACTTGAGAAGAGACATGGAATGGAGAGTGACATCGGCAGAAAGGGTGGCAAAGACCCTGAGGCAGGTATGGGCCTGGGGTGTTGGAAGGTGAGGAGCCTGGTATGAAGAGCCTGTGGCCACTGTGATGACAGGAGCAAGGGCGGAGCACAGGGTGCAGTAGCAGGATCCTCTGGGTTCTGGGAGAAACTGAGGAATGGGGCTGGGATGGATACAAGGTGAGGCTTTTGGCAGGCTCCTACCACCAAGGCCGAAGAAGCTGGTACTTCCCACACCGTGGTCACAGGGACCCCATCCCCAACCATTACTCTGTGTGTGCGCCCCCATAATGGCAGCTGATGTCGCCCTTTTCCGTATATCAACTATAAATTTTTCCCCTTTTCTTTTTTTTTTTTGGGAACGGAGTCTTGCTCTGTCACCCAGGCTGGAGTGCAGTGGTTCAATATTGGCTCATCGCAACCTCCGCCTCCCGGGTTCGAGCAATTCTCCTGCCTCAGAGTCCTGAGTAGCTGGGACTATAGGCACCCACCACCCCACACTTGGCTAAATTTTGTATTTTTAGTAGAGACGGGGTTTCACCATGTTGCCCAGAGTGGGTCATGAACTCCTGAGTTCAGGCAATCCGCCCACCTCAGCCTCCCAAAGTGCTAGATTACAGGCCTTTTTCTTTAAACCTAAACTTGTCCTAGGCCTGTCCTTGATAACTGTGAAATCACAGTAATATATCTTACCTATAAATAAATGTTTTAATTCACCTAACTCTCTCTCTCTCTCTCTCCATGGCCACAGATATAAAAGTACATCTGTGTGTATGCATGTGTTTTAATTTGCACAAATACCTTTTCAAATGGTTGTCTCCCTAAAATGATCCAGTGTCAGCCATGGCCCAGGTTCAGCTTTTCCTGCCAGAGCTGTGTAACCACAGGGGAGTGAGTCGTCTAGCCTCCCTGTGCCTCAGTTTCCACATCCATCAACTGGGGATAGTAATAGTACCACCCTCAAAGGGTTGTTGAGGATTTAGTGAGTTAATGTATAAGAACAGGGCTCCTACAATAGCAAGGATGCTGTTGTTACTGGTGGGTTTTTACTACTCCGGCTTTGTCCTTCCTAAATGCCTCCCACCCCACCTCCCCATGGAGTTTTTGTTTTCTTTTGCAATCAATCGAAAGAATCAAATAATTTTTTTTTTTTTTTTTTGCTTTTTTCTAAGACAGCAGAGTCTTGCTCTGTCACCCAGGCTGGAGTGCAGTTGTGTGATCTCGGCTCACTGCAACCTCCGCCTCCTGGGTTGAAGCAGTTCTCCTGCCTCAGCCTCCCGAGTAGCTGGGATTACAGGCGCCCGCCACCACACCCAGCTAATTTTTGTATTTTTAGTAGAGACGAGGTTTCACCATGTTGGCCAGGCTTGTCTTGAACTCCTGACCTCATGATCTGCCCACCTTGGCCTCCCAAAGTGCTAGGATTACAGGAGTAATCTACCGCGCCCGGCCAAAAAAATTCTTTTTAAGTGGTGAGGTCTCACTCTGTCACCCAGGCTGGAAGGGAGTGGCGCAATCATGGCTCAAATGCAGCCTGGAACTCCTCGGCTCAAGTGATCCTCCCGCCTCAGCCTCCCGAGAAGCTGGTACTACAGGTAATGCATCACCAGGCCTGGCTAATTTTTTAATTTTTTGTAGAGACGGAGTCTTGCTATATTGCCCAGGCTGGTCTCAAACTTCTGGGCTCAAGTGATCTTCCCACCTTGGCCACCCAAAAGTGCTGGGATTACAGGCATAAGCCACTGTGCCCAGTCCTGTCCCATGCAGTTCTTGGAAGACATTCATTTGCTTGACACAAAGATACAGGGAATCTACTGGGTGCCAGTCTTGTTCTGTGCCATGGGGACTCATCTGTGGGGAAGGGAAGGGTAGTGTCTAGGCTATCCTTGTCATACTATGGCAAGTCTGAATGTGGGGATTCAGGGAGGGGACAGCTTGGCCTAGCCCTCTTTCCTCTGATACCACTGTCTTCCCCTGTCTGTCCCCCTCCAGGCCCCGAGCATTCCTCTGATTCAGAATACACTCTCTCAGAGCCGGACTCCGAAGAGGAAGAAGATGAGGAGGAGGAGGAAGAGGAGACCACTGACGATCCTGAATATGATCCTGGCTACAAGGTGAAGCAGCGCCTTGGCGGGGGCCGTGGTGGCCCATCCCGCCGGGCCCCCCGTGCAGCCCAGCCCCCGGCCCAGCCTTGCCAGCTCTGTGGCCGCTCACCCCTTGGGGAGGCCCCACCGGGAACCCCACCCTGCCGGCTCTGCTGCCCTGCTACAGCCCCCCAGGAAGCACCAGCCCCTGAAGGCAGGGCCCTCGGGGAGGAAGAGGAGGAACCACCTCGGGCTGGGGAGGGCCGACCAGCTGGGCGGGAGGAGGAGGAGGAAGAGGAGGAGGAGGGAACCTACCACTGTACGGAATGTGAGGATTCCTTCGACAACCTGGGGGAGCTGCACGGGCACTTCATGCTGCATGCCCGGGGTGAGGTGTAGGCAGAGCCCCCATACGGGGAGCTTGGCAGAAGGGGTGGGGTGGGAGGAGGGGGCTGAGGAAATTGGGGTTGTGACAGTGGTCATGGGGGATGGGGTACTGCCGGTCTGTGTTGTCTTAGAAGTAGATGTGTGATGGCCAGAATAAAAGCCAAAATCTGTATCTGTGTGTGTTGGTTCAGAGTGTGTGTGTGTGTGTGTGTATTCCCGCCCGTGTGTGTGTTTGTGTGTGTGTGTGTGTGTGTGTATTCCCCCTGGGCTCCTTCTTGGGGAACCTTGGGGTCTTTTGGGAAAGATAACATTTACTGCGTGCTTGTATTCGATGAGGTTTCCATGTATTTACTTACAGACCCCATAATGTAAAGGCTCTAATAATAGAATTTTGTTTCTCACTCACAAAATGGTGCTGGGTGAGTCATTTGGGGACCCAGGCCATCCCTTAAGCCTGTTGTCTCCCCCATGGTCCAGACTGGGTGGCCATAGCCTGGGTCCTGCTGGCAGAAGAGGACAGGATGCCTGGTGAGGTGCACGTGTTGTCTTACAAGCCCTGGCCTGCCAGGGGCACACACTGCTTCCATTGACACGCCTTTGCTGAGAAATTAGATATGTGGCCGCAGCTAACTGCAAAAACAACCTGGGAGAAGCAGTCTAGCCAAGCGCCCAGAAAGCAGAAAACAGTTCATGGAGGACAGCTAGGGCTTTCTGCCACATAGCCTAGGAACTTCCACAAAGAGGACTTTAATTATAATCACAGCTACGCTTTCTCAGCGCTTCCTGGGTATCTGGTGCCAGTCCAAGGGCTTTATATATATTGACTCATAGAAATGGTGCATCTAGGAACTTACAAAAATAGAACCTTAATGATAATTGCAGCTGCCATTTTCCCAGCACTTACAGAGTGCTGTACTTAATTTGCATGAGATTATCAGCTTCTTAGAATAACCCTGTGAGACAGGGATTGTGATCCATTAATTCATTTAACAAATATTTTTGAGTACCTGCTGTGTGCTAAGCATTGGGAACACAGCAGTGAATAAAATAAAATCGTTGTCCTCATGGAGCTTACATGGGAGTGGGTAGAGGCTGCTGGTGAAGACAGACATAAACAAGTAAGATACAGCATATGCCGGGTGCTGATAAATGCTGTGAGAACAATAAAGCACTGAAAGGAGGCCCGGCATGGTGGCTCACTCCTGAAATCCCAGCACTGAGGTGGGTGGATCGCTTGAGCCCAGGAGTTTGAGACCAGCCTGGGCAGCATGCCAAAACCCCATCTCTACAAAATACAAAAAATTAGCTGGGCTAACGATGGTACACGGCTATAGTCCTAGTACTAGGGAGGCTTAGGTGGGAGGATTGCTGGAGCCTAAGAAGTGTCGCTGCACTCCAGCCTGGGCAACAGTGAGACCCTGTCTCAAAAAAAAACCACACACACACACACACACACAAAAAAAAAACTGAAGGAAGGCCAGGTGCAGTGGCTCACACCTATAATTCCAGCACTTTGGGAGGCCGAGGTGGGAAGATTTCTTGAGCCCAGGAGTTGAAGGCCAGCCTGGGCAACACAGTGAGACCCCATCTACAAAAAATTAAATTAGCTGGGCTTGGTGGTGCATGCCTATGGTCCCAGCTATTCAGGATCACTTGAGGCTTGGAGGTTGAGGCTGGAGTGGCCTGTAATTGTGCCACTGTGCTCACTGCACTCTAGCCTGGATGATGGCAGGAATTTGTTGCAAGAAAAAAATTTAAAAAAGGACTGAAGGGAGAACTGTTCTGGAAGGAGGTTGCAATTTTAAAGAGTATAGTCCTCCCTGAGAAGGTGACAGATCTGAAGCCGGGGGGAGCCATGTACATCAATGGGGAAGAGCACTTCAGGCTGGAGGAGGCAGGAGCCTGCCTGGTGTGCCAAGGAGGCGAGAGCTGTAGGGATGAGGTCAAAGGGTAGCAAAGGACCAGCTCTTTACAGCCTTGCCAAAACTTGGGCTCAGAGATGGGAAGTACTAATTCGTAATTCACAGAAGCTTGGCGCCGAAGCTACTTTGAAAATAGAAGCCTAATTATAATAATAGCTATCATTTACTGAGAATTTACTGGGCAACCAGCCCTGTTCTAAGGCGCTTTACATGTGTTAACTCATAGAAGGTTGGAGACTAAGAACCTTCAAGAATAGAACCTGAATTACTGTAATGGCCATCATTAAGTCAGCGCTCACGGTGGACCAGGCCCTGGGCTCAGTGCTTTATGTGGACAGTCACATCAGATCCTTACAAGTTAGGGACTGTTACTTGTTTACTCATTCACCCAACAATGATTTATTGAGCACCTATGAGATGGCAGGCACTGCTCTGGGAGTTGGAAATATAGCAGTCAACACAATGAACAAAAACCCCCTCCCTTTGTGGAGGTTATAATGGGGAAGACAGTAATCAAGTATTTAAGTAAAATATACAAATTGTGGCTGGGCGCGGTGGCTCATGCTTGTAATCCCAGCACTTTGGGAGGCCGAGGCGGGCGGATCAAGAGGTCAGGAGATTGAGACCACGGTGAAACCCCGTCTCTGCTAAAAATATAAAAAATTAGCTGGGCATGGTGGCGGGCACCTGTAGTCCCAGCTACTCGGAGAGGCTGAGGCAAGAGAATGGCATGAACCCGGGAGGCAGAGCTTGCAGTGAGCTGAGATCGCGCCACTGCACTCCAGCCTGGGCGACAGAGCGAGACTGTCTCAAAAAAAAAAAAAAAAAAAATACAAATTTTATGGAATGTTAGTCATAAGTGCTATGGAGAAAAAGGAACAGGGTGGGAAGCTTGTGTGTGTGAAGGTTGCAGTTTTAAGTAGGGTGGTCAAGGAAGGCTTCACTGAGATGACATCAGAGCAGAGACCTAGAGAAGGGGCAGGAGTGAGCCTTGTGGCTGTCTGTGGGGACAGTAAATGCAATGGCCCGAGGTGGGAGCCCACTTGGGGTGCTTGGGAAGAGAACACAGGGCCACGAGGCTGGAACTGAGGAAGACAGGTAAGAGGTGAGGTCAGAAAGTAGCG
This sequence comes from Homo sapiens, assembly GCF_000001405.40. Classification (NCBI taxonomy): domain Eukaryota; kingdom Metazoa; phylum Chordata; class Mammalia; order Primates; family Hominidae; genus Homo; species Homo sapiens. The sequence continues at coordinate 43,604,582 of NC_000019.10, read as the reverse complement.
GAGAACCAGGCCGTAAGAGCCATATACTGACTTTGGCATTGTCTCCAAGTCTGAGTCCTCACAGTAATCTGA